>NC_000004.12:2361042-2667539 GCF_000001405.40 Homo sapiens
AAATAAAAATTGTAAAAGAATAAATTAGAACCTAGTAGGAAGCTCTTTTAAAATCACACTACATCAATATTTTCTCAAAGATAAATTTTCTCAAAGATAAACAGTGAAAGTGTTCACTGTTAAAAGGAGTCAAACCCGTAAAGAAGGCATTTCGTTCACGGGGTCAGATGACTACTGAACGGACATCCTCAAAAAAAGCAGGAGAAAATATGCACGAACAAAGCAGCTCTCGGTTCAAAAAATACAAGGATGGACTGACTCTGGGCTAATTTTGTAAAGCTGATTAAACTGTTAATTCATTCGAGCCCCTGGTCCCTAATGTGAGCTGTGGCTGCAGGTGGGAGGTGCGGGTTGGAGGCACGTGCAGGGAGAGAGACGCGGTGCGCACGTGTGAGCTCAGCCCGTCTGACCCACGTGTGATGACCCTGCAGTGTTTCCCAGCAGTTACGAGGGCTGGCCACCGGGCTCAGAGTTTACACGCACTACCCCACCCACTGGGGCAGGCCCCAGCCACCTTGAGGCCCAGGAGGGCTGGGGCTCCAAGCCCTGCACAGGGCACGGAAGCACAGCCCATCACACCACGCCTTCCACCCAGACAAGGAGACTGACACTCCTGAAGGTAACTCATGGCCAAGACCACATCGCTGGATGCCAAGGCGCCAGATCTCAGCCCAGGTGTCACTAGGACTCTCTGGCATCTATGTGCGGTAAGGGGGTAAGGGCCCAGGACTGGATCCCTTTCACACTCTTGTTTGCCAAATATGACATAAATCCTGCAGGTGGGGACCTTAAAGAGACACCTTGTCACTCCAGGGCAGCAGCATCACAGTCTTGGCCGAGCTGCGGCAGGGAGGATGGGAGCAGGCAGGTGGCGGGACAGATGGGAGGACAGGCAGCACAGCCAGGCCAGAGAGGACCAGCCCCGCCCCATGGGCCCCAACAAGGGACGGAAGCCCAGTCCAGCTCCTACTGCCTCCCTCCCCACACAGCTGAACCCAGGACATAAGCTGGGCTCTAAGCTCCAGTTCCCAAGACAGACCACCCCAGGCAGCCAGCTCCCTACCCCTACAGCCCCCACACTCAGCCGTGGAGACCCAGGTGTGTTTGCCTCCTAGATATCAGCAGATCTCCAGGAGACAGTGGTCACATGCAGACTTCAGCTGGACAGAGGCTGGAGCATGCAGGGGTGAGGACCAGGTGTCTGAGGCACCGCCTGGGCCTCTCCAGGGCCAGCTTTCCATTAAAGCCTGGGACTTCTCGCTCCAGCACCAGGAATCCAAGAGCATCGCAAAGAAGCCAGGGAAGAGCCTCTGCCTGGGACACACAAATGCGGCCCCACAGCTGTGACCCCCACAGCAGCTGTTCCTCAGCCCTCACCATGACCAACTAATGGCCGAGCAAGCCCCTCCACCCCTCCACCACTGGGGCTAGAATTGTTCACTGCTGCCAATCACAGGCCCAGCCCCTCCTGCACATGCCCAACCCCTCCTGTCCGCACTGAGGCCAGACGTCCATGGGCAGCCATGACCCATGTCCCCAAGGCAGGCCTCATCCACAGCAGACACCCCAGGGGCTGCCAGGCTGGGGGCCCACTGACCTGGCAGCACCACCAGCCACCGGCAGCAGATCTGGGGCCCCAGACAGGCACACACTCCTGTGGTCCCAGGCACAGCCGTGCTGCCACACCCACCCCAATGTTACTATTGTTGCTACTGTCTCCCTCCCCATCCATCTGTCCCCTTTCTCTGCCCTCCTCTGGGGTCAGGGAGCTGCAGTGGGCACGCTGGGTCAGCAGGAGGCCTGGCAGGGAGTGAGGATGGGACGGTCCTGCTCACTTCCTGCCTTGGCCTCCTGCGGACCCCACCCACCCCTGCTCTCTCTCAGGACTCGGTACTGGCCCTCCCTGTGGCCTTCGGGCCCACACGTGGCACCAAGCCCTGGGCTCATCACCATCCCCGTGGTCCCCTCAACCCCATTACATGGTGAGTGTCCCCAGCACAGCCTGACCAGGGAACTGCTGAGACTGCTGGCTACTTCCTCCGAGACTCAGAAGACCCTGGCAGTTCTAGGGCTTGGTGGGTGGGGGCTGGACACAGTTTAATCCCTCATATGACCGTTGACCGGTCACCTGTGAGAGTGGCATATATGTCACCCAGCTCAGGTCACCTGTGGGAGTGGCATAGCTCAGATAATCCCTGCAGGAATGTTCTCCAGGGGGCCTGGGATCAACCCAGCACTCCCAGCTTTCTTGCTTGCTGGTAGAACGTGCTGAGGACGCGGCATCCAGAGATAGGGAGGGACTGCCCAGAACAGCCTGGAACTTGTCCTTGACCCTCCCAGGGACTGTAACAGCTTGAGTTAGGGAGGAACCGCCTGGGCTTTGCTTCTTTCTCCCTGGAAGCAGGGTGTCCTTCAAAGCTTTGCCCTGGGGGTCACGTGGTCCCTGAGGGCTCTAACCTGCGGCTGCTTGCAGGGCCCTTTAGCCCTGGTGCAAAGAGAAGCATGTGCAGTCAGCAATCCATCTGCCCTGGGCAGCCTTCCCGACACTGGGGACTGGCTCTGTCCCTTGCTTCCTATCTGTAAGTAATCAACCTGTGTTGCGTAACTTGTATGTGAGCATGTAGGTCACCAGCGCATGGAGGACTAAACAGTAGCCCAGGATGCAGTGCCCACAGGCAGAAGTTCCTGGTATTTGGCTATGACGATCTTTGCTGTTCTCCACGAAGTAGGAGTCTTCTCTTGGGACTGGTAATTAGCGAATCTGCTTTGAAGTCCCCACCACCCCAGAGGAGGTAAGGGGCTGTTCCCCAATTTACAGAGGGAAGAACCAAGGCTCAGAGAGGTTCACAAATCCACCCAAGATCCCACTTCCAATAAGCAATGAGGCCTGCATTTCAAAGCCACTCACCCTGCCTGACGGTGGAAGACTTATCCTGTGACCCGGTTTCCCTGCTTGCTCCTGCTAGGTAATAAGGGTGAAAACAGCACAAAGCCACCACCGATGTTGGTGCCACAGCCCCAGGGCAGGCGCTGTGCCCTGTGAAGGGAAGGCCTCCCCAGGCCTCAGGTCACAGCTCCAGGCTCACTGTGGCCTTCTGGCCCAGTGGGGCACAGGGTGCCTGACGCCAGCTGGGAAGGTGTTGCCTGGTGTGGCACCTGGGACAGCCTGCACATCAACTCTGCCCACCCGGCCTGGCTGCAGACCAGGGCTCGGTGCTGAGCCCCCAGTCCCACCTACCCCCTGCAGGTGCCTGTGGGTGGACAGCCAGCCCCACACAGTCCTCCAGCCTGACCTGGAACCACAGGTGTTGTGGGGCCAGCCAGGCCACTGAACGCCCTGCCCGCCCCAAGGGCACAGCCCCCCACCTCTCCAAGCCCTTCAAAGCAAACTGCCAGGAAAGGCTGGCAGCTTTACGTTCAATTCACATCAATAAGTACTTTACCCAGAGGGTGGCTGTGCCTGTTTAGAGGAATCCTCCACAGCCCAGACGCAACAGGAGCCACGTGGGAAGGGAATTTAGACGGTCGGCACTGGGCACAGACGCCCGGGTGGGCTCCAGGTTCTTGGCCGCCTGTCCCCTCTGATTAGCATCTGCAAAGTGGGCTTAAGGACGCAGAGAACCCGCTTAGCCTGGACAAGCCCTTAGCACCTCGCGTCTCGCCGTCAGGGGTGACAGTGGTGGACGCAGGTGATGAGCATAACGTTGTGCATTCCCGCCGCCGCGCCCTCGTCAAGGCGCCCACGGCCTCCGAGCGGGTGACTGGGAATGGCGGGGGCTGTGTTCCGCGATACCGCGATAAAACCCCCACGTCGCCGCGGCAAAGTCGCGAGAGTACCGTGGACCCCGGAAGAGGCGGCGCGGAGGGACAGTGGAGGCGGGGGCGGGGCCCAGCAGGGGCGGCGCAGCCTCAGCCACAGAGCCGGGGTGTCCCGGGCGCACGCGGGGGTCACTCCCTAGGCGTCAGGCCCCGCACGCGGAAGTGGGGGAGGGAGGTGGAGGGGGGCGGTCCAGGCTGAAGGGCGAGCAGTGGAGCTGGGCCACCCCGCAGGCAGTGGGCAGCGGGCAGCGTGGGGAGAGAGGGGCCAGGTGTCCCTGAATGCGGCGGGGGGACGGGGAGGGGGCAGGGGAGGCGCGGGCGGCAGGGGTCAGGGTCTCCACATCTCCCCGGGTGGGCCACGCGGGGTTCGAGAGCGCAGTGCGCGGAGGCCACAGGCAGCAACCGGGACAGCAGGGGACAAGGGCGTGAGGAGGGGCCGCGCGGCGCCTGTCACTCGAGCCTGGAGCGCTGCCTCTGGGCCCGCACGTGCACTCACAAAGGGCGTGTCCCCCCCAACTACCTGCACGCAGCAGGGGCCTCTCAGTGCACGCAGGGTAATAAGGGTAACAACAACGCCAGCCTCCCCAGGGTCTGCGCCAGTCACCCAGGCCCACCTTCCCACCTGCAGAAATGCCCCCGGCCCTGCCTCCCTGGCCCACAGACTCTCTCCTGTCCCTTCTTCAGGTCCACTCCCAAATCTCCCACCCTTTGGTGGGAGCCCTGAGCCCTGGCCCAACCTGGGGGCAAAGGCTCCCGCTCCGGCCTGGGTGGAACAGCTCGCCCCACTCATGCTGGAAGACGGCCAGCACTGGCTGGGCCTGGGTTCTGTGCCTGGAGCTGGGCTACACGGGGAGGACGTCTCCCAGGCCCTCCAGCTCGCCCTCAGCTGGACTTTGGGTTTTCAAGCTCTGAGAGTCACCCCTGATACCAGAAGGCCCCAACTGGACCACCTGCAGAATAAATTCTGAAGGAAAAGGGAGCACACAAGCACGCATGTTTGTTTTCCAGGCCCTGAGGTTCAGACACTGGGGACTGGGGGCTCCCCTCTACCTACAGGAGGGGTGGAGGTGGCAGAGCACGGCCCCTGCCCCCTAAGGGCAAGGTGAAGGCTGACCCATGTGACCTGCTCGTAGGAAGCCAGGGCAAGATACAGCCGGCCTCACTGTGAACTCAGGTGGCCCAGCGCAGCTCCCCCAGCGCAGCCAGTGAAGGAAGGACCCTGAGGCTGAATGTGGATGTCCCCAGGAGGCCACCTCTCAAAGAGACTTCTGGGGGGAGTGCGACGCAGAATTACAGCACCCAGTTATTCCAGCAAAAAACATAGGCGTGAACTCTACACGCACCAAAAACATTCACGTGTACATTCTGAGATGGAATTTTTAACCTCACTAAATTTTTATTTAAAATGCTTTTACAGCTGTTACCAGTGCTCATGTTTCATAAGAACCTGCTTATGCAAAGCTGCACGTGGGCCTCCCTCAGAAGCAAGCCCAGGCCTCTGCAGTTTCCCAGATGGTCTGGTAAATCAGTGCCCTGGGAAGCTTTAGATTGGGGGACTGGTTTAGACACCCCAACAAATCAGTTCCCTGCACCTGCTGTCTCACCAAGCAGCACCCGTCTCCCGGCCAAGTTGCTCTCACTTGCAGCAGAAGCCACAGCCAGCTCGGAGGGGCAGGTGAAGGGTGGAAGAGCTGGCAGCCTTCCCCACAGCCATCGTCTACTCAGCTCAGTGGAGTGTTCAGTGGCCCCAGAGAAAACCCTCCAATGGCAGAGGGTAGAGTTCCACGCAGCTAGAGGCCTCTGCCCCTTGGGGCATGGCAAAGGGCCCCTTTATCACCTCAGTGTAGTCTCTGATGTGGAAACAGACCCCCTCCCACCCACAGAAGGAGATGCTCCCCAGAAGCCGGACCCTGGCTCTAGGAAGAGGCTGGGTTGGCCCCCTGAGGATGAGGCATCCCCTATCATGCAAAGACATCCTCCTTACAGGAGAAACAGCTGGGCACGGCGCCACGCAAACCCCAGGTGATAATGCTGGCCTTGACCGTGGCATTTGTTCTGCAAGCCAAGCCAGACGCAAAGCTGGGAGATAATTGCAAATCTAGCAAAGCGTTTTCAAAGGGAAAATGAATTTTCAAATCAAATTCTGTCAAGTACTGCCTATACAAATGATGTGCCAAGAACACCGACTGCAGAAAATTTAACCACGGTAGCTGCAGTGGGATCATAAAGAAACGAATGAACTGCACAGCCTCTCTGTCGCTGCCGAGGAGGAGAATGGGTGGTGAGAGCGCTCCAGAGGGAAGGGTGCTGCGTGACCAAATGGAATCAGCCTGTATCTGACAGCTGGGCATTTAAACTGCCAGAGATCTCATTTTGAACTCCACAGGTTTAAAGATTCTTTAAAATGCATTTTAATTTTAAAACTATTAAATAGCAAACTTGCTAGGAAGACAATCAATTCCATTCCCACTGTGCTAGCAGGGTGCCCCCGGGGTGTCCCCCGCTCAAGCCCCCCGTTGCAGGGGCTGAGCCTCAGGCTCTGCCTGGCTGAGGGCAGCTCAAGAAACTCTGAAAGGGTGGTGGGGATGGGGGAACGCAGTCCGGTCAACTCCTAGGATGCATGGAAATTTGCTTGTGGAAAATGGAAACTTAAGCTGCTTATTTGTGAATTATTTCTCTCCTTCAAAAATGATTTGAGGTGATTTGCTAAGAGCTCACAAGAACTGGGCTTGTTCCTTTAATCAGAGGAGCAATTCAAACACCCAGACAGGGGTCCAAGGTTGTGGGCCAAGAGAACCCCACAGTGGGCAGTGGGGCCACAACAGCCGGCCCAGGATGCTCTGGCCTTTGCTTTGTTGGCTCAGGCCTGGGGGGCCATGGGTATCCCACACTCCTGGGCACACTGGAAGCCATACTCAAGGAGGCCTCACCAGCCCAGGCAGGTGGACTGATGCTCAGTCCTGGACCAGCTCCCCTTGAAGGACCTAACGGACTTAAGACACCCAGGGTGGTTGCTCCTCTAATCACGGAGCCCCTGACTCTGACCCAACATGCCAGGTGCCCTCCCCTTACCCAGGGCGACTTGGTGCGTGCCAGTCGCGGCAGGTCTGTGTCCAGGTAGCTCCAGCCAGCAGAGACAAGCCCAGGCTCTGCTGCCCAAAAGAGAGCAATCATTGCTTTCTGAAACTGTTTTATTGAGATGGGACTCACATGCCATAAAATTCTACCAAAATGTGCAATTCAAAGGCCAGGCACGATGGCACTTTGGTGCTTTGGGAGGCTGAGGTGGGAGGAGCACTTGAGGCCAGGAGTTCAAGGCCAGCCTGGGCAACAAAGCAACACATCTCTACAAAAAAAAAAAAAAAAAAACACTGTATCTACACACAAAAGATTAGCCAGGTGTGGTGGTCTGCACCTGTAGTCTCAGCTACTCAGGAGGCTGAAGCGGGAAGATCGCTTGAGCCCGGGAGGTGGAAGTTAGAGTGAGCTGAGATCATACCACTGCACTCCAGCCTGGGTGACAGCGTGAGACCCTGCCTCTACAGTATGCGATTCAGCAGTTTTAGGGTATTCTCAGAGCTGTGCAACCATCACATGATCTAGTTCCAGAACATTTTCATCACCTCCGGAAGAAACCACACCTGTTAGCAGTCATCCCCCTACCCCTTCATCGACTTTATCTCTGGATTTGCATGTCTGGACATTTCCTGTGCATAGAATCATACGAAATGGGGCATTTTGTGTCTGTTACTGTCACAGAGCAGTGTTTTCAAGGTTCATCCACATTACAGCATAAATCGGTGCTTCCTGTGTGCCACTGTGTGGATGGACAGACCACATTTTGTTTATCCAGGCATCTGTCGATGAACACTTGCACTGCTCCCACCTTTTGGCTACTATGAATAGTGCTGCTATAAGCAAGTTTTTGTGGGGACATATGTTTTCAGCTCTCTGGGTATATATCTAGAAGTGAAATTCTTGGGCCATATGGCACTTCTGTGTTTAACTTTTTGAGCAACTGCCAGGCTACTTTCCAAAGAGGCTGCACCATTCAACAATCATAGAGCAGCAGTTGGTGTGGCAGGGCTCTGATTTCCCTATGTCTTCGCCAACACTTGTTATTATCTGACTTTTGAGTTCTAACCACCCTGGTGGCTGTGAAGTGGCCGCTCACTGTGGTTTTGACTCTCATTTTCCCAATGGCTGATGACACTGGGCACCCTTCATTGCTGGCTGACCACCTGCACATCTTCTCTGGAGACCATACACTAAGGGCAGGTGGTGCTTAGAGGGGCATCCCTGCCATCCTTCCTCCTGGTGACATCTGTGAGTCAAGGGTGTGGAACGCCGCACTCTGTGGACTGACCAGATCTGCTTTCTCACATCAGAGCAATCTAGGCCAGGCTGTTCCATCTGGTGAGACAAGGGTCCCCCCTGCCACAGCCACAGGACCCCACCAAAGCCATGGGCAAGTGTGGACTGGGCAATGTGGCACCTTTGTTGTGATTAGGACCTAATTTGCCATAAAGAGAGGCCCTTGAGTAAGGAAAAGGTGCCCCCAGAGCCTACTCTGGGACCTCAGACATGGTTCCTACCCACCCACAGTGGGTCAAATGGTGGTCCCCTTGAAGCATGTCTGGAATGTGTGAATATGACTGTTTTTGGAAAAACGGTTGTTGCAGATGAAAGAGAGGTAAGAATCTCAACCTGAGACCATCCTGGACTCTCTGGGTGGGCCCTAAACCCAGTGACAGGTGGCCTTAGAGAAGGTGAAAGGCACACAGAGGAGAATGCCATGTGAAGATGGGGCGGAGATCGGTGTGACGGGCCTGTAAGAAACCCCAAGGACAGCCGGCAACACCGGGAGCTGGAGAAGGCAAGGAGCGACCCTCCCTCAGAGCCCCCAAAAGAAACCAGTGCTGCCCACACCACGACCTCAGACTTCTGGTCTCCAGAACTTTGAAAGAAGGGATTTTTTTTTTTCTTTTCTTTTTTTTTTTTTTTTTTTGAGACAGAGTCTCGCTCTGTCACCAGGCTGGAGTGCAGTGGCGTGATCTCGGCTCACTGCAACCTCCGCCTCCCGGGTTCAAGCAATTCTCCTGCCTCAGCCTCCCGAGCAGGTGGGATTACAGGAGTGCATCACCAAGCTCGACTAATTTTTGTACTCTTAATAGAGACGGGTTTCACCATGTTGGCCAGGATGGTCTTGATCTCCTGATCTCGTGATCCGCCCGCCTTAGCCTTCCGAAGTGCTGGGATTACAGGTGTGAACCAACACGCCCGGCCGATTTTTGTTGTTTTAAGCACCCCACTGTGTGCGACTTGGTCACAGCAGCCATACAGAATGAAGATGCCCCTCTCCCACAGCACCACGATTACCTGATGTCCCACAGCGGAGAGAAGGGGATTTGCCTGGTCCTGTGTCATCAGGGGCACTGAGAAACCCCATGTCAGTGCGTTTATCCTATGGATCGGCCCTGACCATCACTCGGCCTGAGCCCCCTGGACACACCTGGAGTCAGCAGAGCTGGCCGAGCTGCCCAGCCCATGGATGGGGTGCCCTGGGCCCACACCCCAGCTCACACTTGGGGGTAGGGATTCCCTAAGTGCCCCCAGTGCCTCTAAGAATAGCCATCACCCCACATTCTGGGAGATCTCTTTCGACAAATCTTCCCCCCGTGCAGGTGGGACACCGGCAGGACAGAGGTAGCCCTGGACCCAATCCTGCCGGCCCAGGGCCCAGAGCCCACCAGTGAGATGCAGAGATGGGGCCAGAGGGAGCACCCACCATCCTGGGCATCACTGTACCGGGAGAGGGGTGTCTCCCATGCCTGCTGCCACCCCCACCTCTCGGCTCCCCGGACGTGGCAAGGCCATGGGACCACCTGCAGTGGGCCAGTCTGGGGCGCCAGATTGCACACCACATCCCTCGCCGGCCACCCCTCCTGCCCACACTGTGATGCTGGGCGCCTCTCTGACTGCCCTCAGGAGGGATGGGCACCCAACCCTGCCACGTCCATGTGGGTCACGTGTGTCTCGGATCTTCCTGTGTAATGCAGCATTCCAGGTGCTTCCACTGAGAAGACACGGTGCCCACTGTCCACCACGAAGACCCCCAGGGAAGAGGACCCAGGCCTGGGGTGAACGTGGACGCAGCATGTGGGGCGCAGCCCGAGTCTGGCTCTTCTTCTTGACCAGTTGTTAGGTTTCGGGCCCCGCTCCTTAGGAGAAGTTGCAGGTGGGCGACTTGGAGCTGGAGAGAAGATGGGGAGCTCACGTGGGGGCTGAGTGGGGAAGCAAGCAGACAGGGGATGGGGTGACCACAGGAAAGGGCAAAGCCGCCTGGACACATGGACTCAGCCAGCACCTGGCGGGGCTGATTTGTGTGGTTGCCCGCGTCGTGCTCCCTGGCACATTCTTCTTTTGTACTGTGGTTATTGCTGAAATAATCAAATAATGCAAATACAACTTAGAAGCATTTGACTTATAAAGGTGCCCGCCACTAACAGATGATTAAGACGATTCCATCATTCTTTAAAAATAGCTGTCCTAAAGGAACGCCTGCTCTCACCAATGTGTCATTTTATCAGAGGATAAAAATTATTTGCAAAATAGTCCAGTGAGAGCCTGTACTTTATTTTTATGCATTATGAGAGGAAAAATATTGACGATGTTCCAGAGGCTTGACATATGGCAGGAAAAAGCCAAACGGGTATTCACTCAAGAAAAGCCAGGATAGTATCTGCAGAAAAGTAACTCAGGCACAGGGGCTCCCGGCAGGGCAAAAAACAGACAAACAAACAAACAAAAAACAGAAAACAAAAGAGTACAAAGACTCCCTTCAACAATAGCAGGCAAATAATTAAACCTCTTCAGTGTCTTTAAGGGCTAAAGCCAAACTGGAAAAGACACAGTCTGGCCACTAAGGCTGGCCTGGGAAGGCCACGCTGCGGGTTCAGTCCTAACCCAGCAAACAGCTGGCAGCCCGCCCCCCACCCAGCGTGAGAAGCCGGCCTCGGCGGCAACAGGATGAAGGTTGGGCTCCAGGGCCGTGAGCTGATGGCCGTGTGTCCCCAGGATCCAGGGCTGGACAGCCACACAGGAGCAGCCTAGAGGCACAGACCCCAACTATGACAGTGATGGAGCTGGGGGCTGGCAGGGGTGCAAGGCCATGCACGAGCCTCAGGTCAGCCCAGTGGAAGCCTGGAGGGGCGTGCAGCGTGTGGCCGGTTCTGGTGCGCATGGCCCATGTGGACATCTGTCAGAACTGGGGAGCGGGGAGGAGGGCAAATGTTTTGTTTGCTGTTACCTATTCCCGTGACCAACAGGACCCAAAGGACCTTCCAGAGAACCAGAGGTTTCCATCCTAGAAGGATGGTGGCGGGGCTGAGTCTGGTTCCGAGAAGGACTCGTGAGGGGGTAGGAATGGTCCCACCACCCTCACAGGAACACAGAGGCGTGTCTTCACAGCCCTACGCTGCCTCCCCAGCCCTTCCATCGCCGCCTCCTGCCACCACCGCTCCCGCCATCCTCCTTCTAGTCCTCAGCATGCCCAGCAGGTTCCAGTGCTGGGTCTTTGGCCTCAAGGTTCACCCAACACCTGACTCACCCGATTCGGGTCTCTGCCTGGACGTCACCATCATCGAGGCCTCCTAGCCCCTCCAGCACGGCACCATGCCCTATCACCCCATCATGTGGGAGGGGTACACAGAGGTGCGGGCAGGCAGGGGTGCTGGGGTTCTGAACAGGGCCTGGATTCTGGGAAGGGACCTGATGAGGGAGGGCCTGCGGCTGGGCACGGGTGGGCACTGGCTGTCACTCCCTCCGCAGAGGCAGGGGCAGGCACTCCAGGGCTTCGCTGATTGTGTCAGTTAAACTCCGAGGGTTGGGGCTCATGATGGCAGAGCCAGCTGCCTCCCTGGACCAAGGATGCTGCACACCCCTAAGACCTAGCCTCCCCGAGGCCTCTCCCCATGGCTGACTCACTGCAGCCTGGACCCAGTCCCTACCCAGGGGCCCTCCTAGCACCCCCAGCCTCTCTGCCAGCCAACCTTGGACGACTAGGGAGGGAAAAACCACCGCATGCCCACCAGAAGACCACCACGTCTCTGGGCAGACACTCGGGGTACCCTTACCCTATGCCTGAGCCAGCCTCTACCCCCACAGCCACCCCCACCACAGGGACAGAAGGCTCAAGAATGCAGTGGCAGACAGACAGCATTCACCAGTCACCCAAAGTTGAATGAGATGATCCACTTCAGCTATGCTCAGACCTTCTTAGAGAGTGACCATGTCTGATAGGGCCTGTGAAATACAAAATGACTTTTAAATAATTTTTTATTATAAAAAGTATGAGCTGGGTGCTGTGGCTCGTGCCTGTAATCCCAGCACCTTGAGAGGCTGAGGTGGGAGAATTGCTCAAGCCCAGGAGTTCAAGACCAGCCTGGGCAACATAGTGAGACCTACATCTCTACAAAAAATTTAAAAATTAGCTGACTGTGGTGGCATGCACCTGTAGTCCCAGCTACTCGGGAGGCTGAAGTGGGAAGACTGCTTGAGCCCCAGAGGTTAAGGCAACATTGAGCCATGATCACGCCACTGCCACTGCACTCCAGCCTGGGCAACAGTGTGAGACCCTGTCTCAAAAAAATAATTTTAAGTATGGAAGTTCTGAAAAATGTAAAAGAAAAACAGTGTTTCCTGGAGCTGAAACACTGTCAACATCTTGGTCTTCTGCCTGTGTGAACCTGAGAACACATCGATCCATTCTTAATTGTCTCAAACCTTCAAGCAGGGGCTCTAGAACCCATGCAGTGGCAAACATGCACTCGTATGCCCTGGCAGAATCTCCGTTCCCCACGGAGCCCCTCAAATGCACTGATGTGTTCAGCTCATTCTAAAAGCTAGAGATGATGTGAGCAGCATACCACACGGTTTTAGTATATGATAAAACAGCAGCACAGAGCACATGCCACGCCTCTCCACTTTCAAAACCCAAAAAGTAGGGGAACGCACAGGGATTCCTGCCCAGGCCCTCCCTGTCATGCCCCAAGCCCTGCCTCCCTGTGTCCTCTCTCCTCAGCACCGCCCCCCATCTCTCCCAGCCCCTGGCTCTGCCTTTGCTACCTCATCCCAGCCAGTCCTGACCTTGGCCCTGACTGCCTGATCCACCAAGATGGGCTTCATCCAACCCATGGGTCTCCAAGAGCTCCTCACTCTGAACAGCAAAAGGTAATGTTTTTACTCTAAAATCATGATGTGTGCATGGTCACATACAGCCCACCATGTCCGTAGGTGCAGCCCTTCCAATCTAGAAAAAGCTCAGGGGCAGCCAGAGTGCAAGTACACGGAAAAAACCAGAACCCATGCAGAGATCTCTCTCAAAAATAATAACGTGTTTTCAACTAGTGTTGTTAGAAGCTGAAGGCTGTTAGTACAAGGACAGATGTCAGTCAGAATCCTGTTTCAGGCCAGGCATGGTGGCTCACACCTGTAATCCCAGAATTTTGGACGGCCAAGGCGGGAGGATTGTTTGAGTCCAGGAGCTCGAGACCAGCCTGTACAACACAGTGAGACCTCATCTCTATAAAAAAAAACAAAAATTAGCTGGATGTAATAATGCACACCTGTAGTCCCAGCCACTAGGGAGGCTGAGGTGGGAGGATCACTTGAGCCCAGGCAGGTTGAGGCTGCAGTGAGCTGAGACTGCGCCACTGCACTCCAGCCTGGGCGACAGAGTGAGACCCTGTTTCAAAAGAAGAAAAGAAGAAGAAGGAGAAGGAGAAGGAGGAGGAGGGGGAAAATTGGTTTTTAAGCAAGTATTTGTGTGCTCATATAGAAAAATGCCCACATATCTATGAAAGAAACCTAAACTTTTAAATTGAACTCATATAAACCCCAACATCAGACGCTGTGGCTCCTGCCTCATCTCCCCACCTTTGGGCAGAAACTTGATGTTCTTTCTAGAAAGTTCTTAGGACATATCTTTGTACCCAGCCCCACATGCCACATTCGGCTCCTCCTCGGTGGGTTTGTGGCTCAGCAGCATGTGATGACCATGTCCCCTGTTGGCACCTGGTGCCCGTGGATAAGGACAGAGCCCAGTCCTCCTGTGGAAGACCCTGAGGTTCCAGACAGAATCCTCCTAAGTCCTTGTCTTTCTCTACTGCTTATGAAAGTGTAAACTCAGATGATATGAACAGCAGTTCAGACCTCCAGTACAAAGCTCTGAAAGTGCCGTGGCCTTTCCCAGGCACTGGCCCCTGGGCTCACGTCCCCTTCCCTCCCTGCTGCTGTGGCAAAATGCGGAGCCACCGTGGCTTTTCCAAGAAAGCTTTTCCCCGCAGCCTCGGGGAAGGTGGCTTTCTCTTCTTATCCTCAAGCCCTCTTTTTACAGGAAAATGTTATAATTAAGTCATTCCAACTGATTTTAAGCAACTTTGCATCAGTAGGGGGTTAAGTTCTAACAAGGCCCAAATCACCCAGGGTCAATCAGCCGGGCCAGCATCGAAGGAGGCCCCGGTACCTCCCCAAGGGTTCTGCCGGGCTCTTCCCCCTGCTGGACAGCAGTGGCTCACACTGTGACCCCCAGATAAAGTCACGACTTGGTGACCAAACTGAATGAATCCACACCCAGCCAGGTGCTGGCTCATGCCCACTGACAAGAATGAGCAGCGGCTGAGCTCACTGCATTTGCTTGTGCTAAAGGACGGTGTGAGGAGGTAGCTTGCCCCACACACTAACCCCTCAACTCCTCCATGGACCAGGAGGAGAGGAAACGACGTGGCGCCTGCCCTGGGGGCGGGACACAGGACTGTGCCGCCCCCACCTCTTATCACAGGCTGAGAAAGCACCGCCCCACACACAAGGGGCATCCCACTGACAGCCTCCACCCCTCCCTTCTAACCCTACCATGTGGGGCGATTGGAGCCCCAGATTTCAGAGTTCACCATGAATGTGCAAGATCTCATAGTTTTCATATTGATTATATGTTAAAACAATATTCTGGTCAAATAATTTTTTTTTTTTTGAGATGGAGTTTCGCTCTTTTTGCCCAGGCTGGAGTGCAATGGCACAATCTTGGCTCACTGCAACCTCTGCCTCCTGGGTTCAAGTGATTCTCCTGCCTCAGCCTCCCAAGTAGCTGTGATTACAGGCGCCTGCCACCACGCCTGGCTAATTTTTTGTATTTTTAGTAGAGACGAGGTTTCACCATGTTGGCCAGGATGGTCTCAATCTCTTGACTTCGTGATCCGCCCGCCTCGGCCTCCCAAAGTGCTGGGATTACAGGCATGAGCCACCGTGCCTGGCCCCAAATAAAATATTATTAAAATTAATTTCACCTGTTTCTTTTACTTTTTTTTTTTAATGTGGCTACTAGAAAATTTCAAATTGGCCAGGCACAGTGGCTCAGACTTATAATCCCAGCACTTTGGGTGGCTGAGGTGGGAGGATCATTTGAGCCCAGGAGTTTGAGACCAGCCTGGGCAACATAGTGAGACCCTATCTCTAAAAAAAAAAAAAAAAAAAAAAAAAAAGTTTTTAAATTCGCCAGATGTATTAGTCCATTCTCACACTGTTATGAAGAAATACCTGAGACTGGGTAATTTGCAAAGGAAGGGGGTTTAACTGACTCACAGTTCTGCATGGCTGGGGAGGCCTCAGGGAACTTACAACCATGCAGAAGGTACCTCTTCACAGGGCAGCAGGAGAGAGAGTGAGTGCCAGCAGGGGAAATGCCAGACGCTTATAAAACCATCAGATCTCCTGAGAATTCACTCACTGTCATGAGACGAGCATGGGGGGAACTGCCCCCTTGATTCAATTACGTCCCATCAAGTCCCTCCCACGACATGTGGGGATTATGGGATTACAATTCAAGATGAGATTTGGGTGGGGACACAAAGCCAAACCATATCACTGGGTATGGTGACATGACCCTATGGTCCCAGCTACTTGGGAGGCTAAGATGGAAGAATTCCTTGAGCCCAGGAGGTTTAGGCTGCAGTGAGCCAAGATTGCACCACTGTACACCAGCCCAGGCAACAGAGCGAGACCCTGTCTCAAAAAAAATAAATAAATAAAATAAAAGTGTATACGTGTTGCTTGCACCCAAAGCTCTCACATCCTATTTCTATTGGACAGCACTGGTCTAAGACTTTACTTTTTTTTTTTTTCTGAGACGGAGTCTCGCTCTGTCACCCAGGCTGGAGTGCAGTGGCGCGATCTTGGCTCACTGCAAGCTCCACCTCCCGGGTTCACGCCATTCTCCTGCCTCAGCCTCCCGAGTAGCTGGGATTACAGGCGCCCGCTACCACGCCCAGCTAATTTTTTGTATTTTTAGTACAGACAGGGTTTTGCCGTGTTAGCCAGGATGGTCTCGATCTCCTGACCTTGTGATCCGCCCGCCTCGGCCTCCCAAAGTGCTGGAATTACAGGCGTTGAGCCACTGCGCCCGGCCTAGGGCTTTACTTTTATCTCTATTTTAGGACACACATAATTTCTTAAACAATTATGAGCTAAACTCGCTGACATTTTATCAGTTTCCACCCTTGCAGCTGTTTCTTTTATCCCATCATCTTTCCTCCGAGTTCCCTTTTCTTGCTGATGTACATCTTATAATAGGAAATGTTACAACGAGCATCTGTAAATGGTTAAAAATGTTTGCCTGAAAAATGTCTTCATCTTGCCTTCTGCCCCTTCACTAGCAGTTCATTTGGGTCTAAAATTCGGGGCTGCCAGTCGCCTTCCCGCCGCACTGTGGGCTCATTCTCTATCTTGCGGCACTTGGGGTTGCTGAGAAGAAACCTGCGGGGCTTTTTCCATTTCTCGTAGTTACTCTGTCTTTTCTGTTAATTCTAAAGATTCTCTTCATCTTTGACATTCTGCAGCTTTACCACAATACATCTCAGTGTGGATTTACTCCCAGGTATTTCTGAACGATGTGAATATGTTCTCAGAACGGTGTTGTCAATTGACTTCATTATTGTGCAAACATCAGAGAATGGACTTCCACAAGCCTAGATGACCCCGCCTCCGACAGACCTAGGCTACATGGTAGAGCCTGTTGCTCCTGGGCCACAAACCTGCACAGCACGTTACTGTGCTGAACAGTATACTGTAGACAACTGTAACACAATGGGAAGTATTCGTGTACCTAAACAGAATAGGTACAGTCAAATACGGTTATCCTAACAGGCTGGGCGCGGTGGCTCACGCCTGTAATCCCAGCACTTTGGGAGGCTGAAGCGGGCGGATCATTTGAGGTCAGGAGTTCGAGACCAGCCTGGCCAACATGGTGAAAACCCCATCTCTACTAAAAATGCAAAAATTAACCAGGCACGGTAGTGCACGCCTGCAGTCCCAGCTGCCGGGGAGGCTGAGGCGTAAGAATTGCTTGAACCCGGGAGGCGGAAGTTGCAGGGAACTGAGATCACACTACCACACTCCAACCTGGGTGACGGAGCAAGACCCTGTCTCAAAAAAATAAAAAAATATCGTTATCATAACTTATGGGACCACCATTGTATATGTGGCCTGTCACATGGCCCATGACTGCACATTTCTTTATCCTACTTGGAACTCCTTTTATCTCAGAACTCATGTCTTTCTTCAATACTGGGAAATTCAGCTACCATTTCTTCAAATACAGCTTTTCCATCATTCTTTCCTCTCCACTCTCTCCCTGGGACTCCTATGAGACACTTTTTGGAACTTCTCCACTGAACTTTGATGCTTTTTCCTTCTTTCTTAGGGAAGCTGCCCGACTCCCGGCTGGGGCTGGTCCTCCTGTGGACTGTGAGGCAGCACCCTGTCATTTCCTCTGTACTGCTTTCCTGGATTGAGACTAGGTATTGATCCACCCCTGCTCCATCCACCCACCCAACCACGAATTTTGGAGCCAGCCAAAACGACTACTTGTTTTTGTTTCAGACCCGATACCCAGCCTTTCATTCTCCCAGGGCCTGCCACAGATCTTGATTATTCCCAAAGAAAGAAGAGGCAAACTGAAGCCAAATCAGAATCAAGGTCCACCTGCCCCTTCCCAAACCACCTTAGACTCCCACAAGGGTGGAAGCTGGTGCCAGAGGCTCTGAGCAGAGGGCTCTTCCTCTATGGGGTACATCTGCACCTGGATGTTTCTGGGCTCCAGGCATCCTGGTGAGCCACTGGGAAGGTGTCCAGAACTCCAGGGGCCTGGCTGTCTCATGACAGCAGGGGGTAGACGGGGGCTGGTCACATGGACAGACAGCATCTGAGAGTGGCCAAGCCCCCCAGTCTGCACCATGCTGGCAGCAGAACCCGTGCCAGAGAGCAAGGAGGTGTGGGCATTGGGGGGACCGCTCCAGGGAGAGACAGAGCCCTCAACAATCAAAGAAAGCAATGGGAGGGACTTACAGTTTCCTCATCTACCAAGAAAAGGAAATCTCAGAATCCCATCTTCTGTCAGACCCGGGAGCAGGTGGGCAGTGCAAGGATTCTCGGCCCTCCCAGGCCAGGAGCTGTCCCCCTATGCCAGGACCTCAAATTTAAAGCTCTCTCCTCTTAACAGAATCAGGAAAAACCAAGCTGACAGCTAAAATGTTCGGCTGAAGTTCACAAGAATGTAGAGGCTCAGATTGTCAGCACATTATAATCATTGACATTTAGCAACAAAATTGGCCCATCACTCCTGGACGACAAATCGCCCCCATCTGACTGCCCCTCCTTAATAAATAGGGCAGGACTCCTCCTGTGCAGAGATGGCACGCGCACCTCTGCCAACTCGAATTCACATTGCCACCCCACCTCCCTCCTGTAATTTTATCCTCATGGGATACATTTCTATGCTTCAAAGTCCTTACTGATCATCTATCAAATTTTTCTACAACATATATATCAATATTACATATTTATAAATCTATAAATGGGATTTAAATTTTTAAATTTTCACACTTTTTTTTTTGAGACAGAGTCTTTCTCTGTCACCCAGGCTGGAGTGCAGTCGCACAATCTCAGCTCACTGCGGCTTCCATCTCCCGGGTTCAAGCAATTCTTGTGCCTCAGCCTCCCAAGTATCTGGGATTACAGCCATGAGCCACAGTACCCAGCTAATTTTTGCATTTTTAGTAGAGATGGGGTTTTGCCATGTTGCCCAGGCTGGTCAAATTTTTAAATTTTCTGTGAGGCACTGAGTGTTAGCATTTTCTCTGCACTGAGTCGACAATGTAGACACTGCAATTACTTTTGCAACAACCTAATAGTATTAGTATACAATCGATCAAACAACATAAACATGTGACACATCTTGGTACACCATCATTTCACAGAAAGGTGTCTCATAGAAATGTAGTTCTTGATGGGGTGGATGCATCCGGGGTTTTCTGACTAGCTGTTGTCTCTTTGGGTAACTCACTAGTTGCCAAAGTAGGCTGGCCTCAGCTGCAATGCTGTTCCTGCGTTTTGACTTAGGTAAGTGCCAAGAAACCTGCTCTCATGGCTGAGTTAGCAGGAGCGGGGAGAGCAATAGAGGAACTTCCTGCCACTCCAAGAACAACTGCCGAGTTATCGGCTAAGAATCATTGCTTCATGACCAAAAGTCATTCTTAACGCCCTGTCAGCTGCAACTCAACCAAGTCCTTCTTCAATTTTATTGAAGTCAAAGCAGCAGAAACCACCTGGTTTGAAGGATTTGTCATTGGCATTGTCCGCTCCTTGGTCCTGTGGGCCACCTTTTGATATGTTTTGGCTGTGTCCCCACCCAAATCTCATCTTGAATTATACTCTCGTAATTCCCACGTGTTGTGGGAGGGACCCAGTGGGAGATAATTTGAATCATGGGGGTGATTTCCCCCATACTGTTCTCGTGTGAATAAGTCTCACAAGGACTGATGGTTTTATCAGGGGTTTTCGCTTTTGCATCTTCCTCATTTTTCTCTTGCCACTGCCATGTAAGAAGTGCCTTTTGCCTCCTGCTGTGATTCGGAGGCCTCCCCAGCCATGTGGAACTGTAAGTCCAATTAAACCTCTTTTTCATCCCAGTCTCAGGTATGTCTTTATCAGCAGGGTGAAAATGGACTAATACAGTAAATTGGTACCAGTACAGTGGGGTATTGCTGAAAAGATATCCGAAAATGTGGAAGCAACTTTGGAAGAGAATAACAGGCAGAAGTTGGAACAGTTTGGAGGGCTCAGAAGAAGACAGGAAAATGTGGGAAAATTTGGAACTTCCTAGAGACTTGTTGAATGGCTTTGACCAGATGCCTGATAGCAACATGGACAATAAGGTCCAGGCTGAGGTGGTCTCAGGTGGAGATGAGGAACTTGTTGGGAACTGAAGCAAAAGTGACCCTTGTTATGTTTTAGCGAAGAGACTGGCAGCATTTTGCCCCTGCCCTAGAGATTTGTGGAACTCTGAACTTGAGAGGGATGATTTAGGGTATCTGCGGGAAGAAATTTCTAAGAAGCAAAGCATTCAAGAAGTGACTTGGGTGCTGTTAAAGGCATTCAGTTTTATAAGGGAAGCCAAGCATAAAAATTCGGAAAATTTGCAGCCTGACAGTTTTTGTTGTTGTTGTTGTTTTTGAGACAGAGTCTCGCTGTGACACCCAGGCTGGAGTGCAATGGTGTGACCTTGGCTGACTGCAACCTCTGCTTCCCAGGTTCAAGCAATTCTCCTGACTCAGCCTCCTGAGTAGCTGGGACTACAGGCACGCACCACCATGCCCGGCTAATTTTTGTATTTTTAGTAGAGATGGGGTTCCACCGTATTGGCCAGGCTGGTCTCAAGCTCCTGACCTCAAATGATCTTCCCACCTCAGCCTCCCAAAGTGCTGGGATTATAGGCGTGAGCCACTGCATCCAGCTGTGACAATGTGATAGAAGAGAAAAACCCATTTTCTGAGGAGAAATTCAAGCCAGCTGCAGAAATTTGCTTAAGTAATGAGGAGCTGAACGTTAATCCCCAAGACAACTGGGAAAATGTCTCCAAAGCATGTCAGAGGTCTTCAGGGCAGCCCCTCCTACCACAAGCCCAGAGGCCTAGGGGAAAATGGTTTCATGGGCCAGGCCCAGGGTCCCTGTGCTGTGTGCAGCCTAGGGACTTGGTGCCCTGTGTCCCAGCTGCTCCAGCCATGGCTGAAAGGGGTCAATGCAGAACTCAGGCCATGGCTTCAGAGGGTGCAAGCCCCAAGCCTTGGCAGCTTCCACATGGTGTTGAGCCTGCGAGTGCACAGAAGTCAACAATGAGGGTTTGGGAACCTCCACTAGATTTCAGAGGATGCATGGAAACACCTGGATCCCCAGGCAGAAGTTTGCTGCAGGGGTGGGGCACTCATGGAGAACCTCTGCTAGGGCAGTGTGGAAGGGAAATGTGGGGTTGGAGCCCCCACACAGAGTCCCTACTGGGCACCACCTAGTGGAGCTGTGAGAAGAGGGCCACCGTCCTTCAGACCCCAGAATGGTAGATCCACCAACAGCTTGCACCATTTGCCTGGAAAAGCTGTAGACACTCAATGCCAGCCTGTGAAAGCAGCTGGGAGGGAGGCTGTACCCTGCAAAGTCACAGGGGTGGAGCTGCCCAAGACGATGGGAACCCACCTCTTGCACCAGGGTGACCTGGATGTGAGACCTGGAGTCAAAGGAGATCATTTTGGAGCTTTAAGATTTGACTGTCCCGCTGGATTTCGGACTTGCATGGGCCCTGTAACCCCTTTGTTTTGACTAATTTCTCCCATTTGGAATGGCTATATGTACCCAATACCTGTACCCCCATTGTATCTAGGAAGTAACTAGCTTGCTTTTGATTTTACAGACTCATAGGCAGAAGGGTACTTGCCTTGTCTTAGATGAGACTTTTGACTGTGGACTTTTGGGTTAATGCTGAAATGAGTTAAGATTTTGGGGGACTGTATTAGTCCATTTTTAGGCTGCTGATAAAGACACGCTGGAGACTGGGAAGAAAAAGAGGTTTAATTGGACTTACAGTTCCATATGGCTGGGGAGGCCTCAGAATCACGGCAGGAGGCAAAAGGCACTTCTTACACGGCAGCAGCAGGAGAAAATGAGGAAGAAGCAAAAGCAGAAACCCCTGATAAACCCATGAGATCTCCTGAGACTTATTCACTATCACGAGAAAAGCATGGGAAAGGCCAGCCCCCATGATTCAGTTACCTCCCCCTGGGTCCCTCTCACAACATGTGGGAATTCTGGGAGATATAATTCAAGTTGCGACTTTGGCGGGGAAACAGCCAAGCCATAACAGGGACTGTTGGGAAAGCATGATTGGTTTTGAAATGTGAGGACATGAGATTTGAAGGGGCCAGGGACGGAATTATAAGGTTTGGCTGTGTCTCCACCCAAATCTCATCTTGAATTGTACTCCCATAATTCTCACATGTTGTGGGAGGGACCTGGTGGGAGGTAATTGAATCATAGGGGTGGTTCCCCCATACTGTTCTCATGGTGGTGACTAAGTCTCACGAGATCTGATGGTTTTATCAGGGGTTTTCACTTTTGCATCTTCCTCATTTTTCTCTTGCCACCTCCACGCAGGAAGTGCCTTTTGCCTTCCGCCATGATTCTGAGGTGCCCCCTGCCCCACAGCCACGTGGAACTACAAGTCTAATTAAACCTCTTTTTCTTCCTAGTCTCAGGTATGTCTTTATCAGCAGCGTGAAAACAGACTAATACTCCTTTCCCTTAGTGGCAGCGCACTTATCCCAATGCCCAGGATGACCTGGGGAATCAAATGCTGCTTTCGGTCACCTCCACTGACCCGGTATCTTCTGTTAAAATGCCTTTATCTTTTCATATCACGCTTCAAGTGTCAAAGCCTTGGCACCATCAGTGCAGACTGGAGTGAATGGCAGGCCACACACTGGAAGGAGGAGGTACGCTTCACATTGGTTGGGATTTTCCAGCAGGCCTTCCACAGATCTAGAATATTCTATTCCTAAGAGACCCTGACAGACAAGGCTAAGGGCCTTTCTCTGTGTGTGGTGTCGCTGGCGTGTGTTACAGACACTCGCTCTCCAGGAGCCATCTCCAGGAGCCATTCTTTCACAAGACTGGAGAAAATGAGGTCGTCACACAGGGTCATCACTCACAGTCTCTCTCAATGATGCCCTGATGACCTAAGATGTCCCCATCACCCTGAAGTGTCTCCACTGGGGCTGTTCTGCAAAGAAGGGCCTTGAGGAAGACAGGCAAGAGGGTAGGGCACATGTCCCACACAGGCAGAGTGATTTTTGGACTGGGGTACACAGAGTAGATGCAGTGTTGGGTTCCCACATTCTACCCACAGGGAAGAGGCCCCCGGGACTGTCAGCCAAAGTCAATGCCACAGAGCCCTCTCCTCCCCGGGTACTTCGACAAACGCTGAGGAACCGAGACTGCACTGCTGACAGAAGAAACTTTCTGGAAGGAATTCCCTTTATCTGCGAAGAGGAAACTGGTTTTGTAGGAAAGTGTGAAAGCTTCTGTACCCTACAGATTAAGTTATTCAAGAAGGGTCAGAGGGAAGTGACCACCCGCCAAGGGAGTGAACAAGTGCTCAGGGCTGCCCAGGGTCACTCCAGCTGCCTGGTTTCCCAGGACAGGGCTGTGACTGACCACTGGAGGGGGCACAGGCAGGCCACCAGGACCGTGACAAATGCAGTTTGGGAGCAGGAGTGAGTTTAAGCAAGAACGAGAGGAGGGGAAGGGACCAGGCAGCACCCAAGCAGGAATCTCCTCCTGAGGGAGTGCTGGATGGGGTGGGGGAGCAGAAGCACAGAGGGCCGACCCCTCAGGGCCCGGTGGGAAGGTAGGTGGGGAGGGAAACAGCCTTACCTGCCAGGATCATAGGGGGAGCATGGAAACACACAGCCAAGACTTGTGAACAAATGAATGACTGAATTACTTCAGAAAAATCTTTATTTAATTCAGCATAGGAAAAGAAGACAAAGGCCAGGAGCCACCTCACTCACCTGGAGTGTGAGACACCTGCCCAAGCTTCAGCCCACTCTGCACAAGGAGTCACACAGAACTCTTGCCTTTTCAAGATGTGACGGAGACAGGCTCAGGTCCTAGACTTGGGGGGAGGGGAGTGTAGGGCAATCATCTGTCCTGATTTTAAGGATTATCATAAACACACCAATCCTGTACACCCTCAAGGAGTGCAGCAAAGTGATAAACAGAGTTTGTAAAAGGCCTCACCTTTGAAGCCATGCATAAGCAAACCTAGCTGGCCTGACCTGCCCAGGACTGGCGAGAAGGGGGACCAGACTGGAAGGCCAAGTCACTCAGGGACCCACCTCATCACAACTGCAGAGGCTCTCTGGGAATACACCCGCACTGCTGCCACCCCTTCCCGTCAGTGGCTTCAGGACAGACAGACCTGGGCCATGGAGGAGCACAGTGATGACCCTGGCCTGTATGGTGGCTACTTACGGTAAGGGAGTGGGCCAAGAACAGCAGCAGAAAAAGGTGAGACCCACCTGAAGCAGGCCCCAGCGCTGAGAGAGCACCTGCTGCCCTTACAGCCCCAGCGCTGAGAGAGCACCTGCTGCCCTTACAGCCCCAGCGCTGAGAGAGCACCTGCTGCCCTTACAGAGCTGCTGTCTCCTGACCCCGGCCTGCCAAAGTTGGGATTTGAGACTAGGTCTCTGGACTGTCAGCTGGGACCCTGAGCAACGCCAAGCAGCAAAGCGCCCCTTTGTTTCTGCAGCGGGTCAGACCTACATGGTTGCCTACATGGCCTCCCACAGGCTTCGGACAGCAGAGAGGGCACCCACTGCCTGCATCTGAGCCTTTGCCCTCAGGGCTGACCTCTGACCTCCTACATGGATTCCCTCCAGCCCCATTGGCTTGCCTTCTTCAGGACAGCACGGGGCAGATTTCCCTTCTCACAAAACAAAAAAAACAAAAAACACACCAGGCTTTCACAAGGCGGGACTTGACACCCTCTCACACCCCCACTCCAGTGCTCCCAGCTCCTTGCTTAAGAGCCGCAGACAGGCGCCCTCACAGGGGACCCATCTGGTTCTCCGGGAAGTTAAAATCACAATTTGACTTTGTCAGTGGGTCCTGAGTTCACAAAGCGGAGTCTTTGAGGGTCCCCTACAAGCACTGCACCGGGCTCGCTCTCATCCCAGGGCAGAGCCAGCACAGAATTTAATTTTCCATTTGCAGACTAATCCCAAATGTCTCTTTTCTGTTCCCACCAAAAACCCCACAATTTCTTCCCTTCCCTTCCCTGCTGGTGTTCACTCCCACGGCTGCAGCAGCTGGCTTTCCACTCAGACAGGGCTATGGTTTGAATGTCCCCTCCCAAATGCACATGGAAGTAAATCCCCAAAAGAACAGTATTAAGAGGTGGGGCTGGCTGCACGCAGTGGCTCATGTCTGTAATCCCAGCACTCTGGGAGGCCAAGGCGGGTGGATCACCTGAGGTCAGGAGTTCAACACCAGCCTGGCCAACATGGTGAAACCTCCTCTCTACCAAAAATACAAAATTTAGCTGGGTGTGGTGGCGGGCACCTGTATTCCCAGCTACTCGGGAGGCTGAGGCAGGAGAATGGCGTCAACAAAGGAGGCGGAGGTTGCGGTGAGCTGAGATCTCACCACTGCAATCCAGCCTGGGCAACACAGGGAGACTCCATCTCAAAACAAAAAGAGGTGGGGCCTTTAAGAGGTGACTGACTGTCCTCATAAATGAATCCAGCCGTTTGTGGACTGAGGGTCAATGAGCCATCACAGAACGGGGCTGTCATAAAAGCTACCTTGGCTCTCTCTCCTAAGCCCCCTAGCCACGTGATGCCCTGGGACGCCTGGGGTCTCCAGAGTCCCTCCAGACAAGGAGGCCCTCACCAGACCATCCCTGTGACCTGGGACATCTCAGCCTCCAGGACTGTAAGAAACCCAAATGCCTTTTCTTTATAAATGACCCAGTCTCAGGTATTTCATTAAAGCAACAGAAAACAGACTAAGACAGGCGCTTTCAGCAGTAAAACCCCGCTGCGCGCCTGCTGAGGCCATGCCCGCCCGCCTGAGGTGCCAGCCAAGCTCGCTGCCCTCAGCTCGCCTCCCGGAGCAGCCTCCTAGTCCAGTCTTGTCTGGAAAGAAACCCCGCTGGCCCCCGGCAGTCAGGTAGCACGGGCAGTAGGGCTGAGGCCCCAGAATGGAGATCTCCGGACACAGCCAGGGGGTTGGACGGCTCCGCAGACTGCAGGAGACTCCGGGGCCGGGGCCGGGGCCGGGGCCACTCCCTGGAGGAGGGGGCTGAGCCAGGATGGAGAGCGGTGCCACAGTCCGTTTGCCTGCAGGAGGAGGCTGGCCCACCCCGGAGCTCGCCACCAGCGGCCTAGGGTCCCCCAAGGCTCCTGGCAGTCCACTGGGAACCCGGAAGCACAGTCCAGCCTAGGGCTGCGTGGCTCTCCCCTACCCATCCCCTCAGCCAGGGCCACCTCTGCACCTCAGTCTCATTGGGAAGGGAAACTGAGCTTCACGGCCGGAAGTGACGCAACTCTGCTTGCCCGTCATTGGCCAGAACCCATCACTTGGCCTGCTTGCCCTCCTGCCGGCCGGAAGCAGGAGACCCAAGTCCAGGCGAACGTGACGTCCTTGTCCTCGTGCTGTGCCTGGGGGTAATCTGCCTGTCAGGGATGTGCCGCCCCACTTGGCGAGCAGCTGCGGACACGGGATATGGGGCCAGGAGCAGTGCTGCCTTTCCAGGGAGAGCACAGAGGAGGCCTGGGCAGGGAGCAGGGACCCTCGCCAGAGCTTGGCAGGGCCATCCTCTAAGCACACCCAGATCTCAGGGATGCTTGGGTGGGGAGGTTCTAGAAGGTTCTGGAATACTGGTTGAACAAGCGTCCTGTGCTTCTCCTGCCAAAAGAGCACCTAACAAAAAGAAGGGGGAAGTTACTGTTCTGGGGGAATGGTGGCCATCATGACGGGCTGTGGCATCAGGGATCACCTGGCTCCCTTATCACCTCCAGAAAGAACTACCCGATAAGGAATTGGGAATGTGGGCTTCACAGCAAGGCGATGCCTGGCCAAAGACTGTCGGACAGCAGGACCCCTGAGCCTGGGAAGCCCTGGAGGCCCACAGGAAAAGGGCCCCACATTCATGCTGCCTGAACACAGATCTGCAGCCCTGTGTCTGGAGTCGCCACCCTCGGACACAGCCAAGACAGGTCCTGTGACGGGCGGCTGGCCTCCCATGGTCTGCAGGAACCCACTGAGCAGATAATGAGCTCCCATAATGCAGCACTCATCCAAGGGAGAGGACGCAGCACACACTGCCCCCCAGTCCCCGTGCGAACCTAAGGGTTTATCCCACGGGGCTGCTCTCCTAAATTGTCTTCAAAGCCGGGACACAAATTCAAGACACATAAAAACTGGCAATCACGACCATATTAAACATGGATCCCATCAGGAGAAGCAAATTAAAAGCTCTCACAATGTCAATTTCCCAATTAGCTCCTCAAGGTCACTCCTAATACTGTCAACCCCAGCACAATTACCCCATGGAAGAAAATCCTAGAGGCAAAGGAAAAAGGTCATGGACTATCAACAGCACAACGAGGGCTCCCACATCTGCTTGGAAATACCTTTTTCCACAAGGGCTCACCTTCTCCCATCCCACTGCTGCACAAGAAGGGAAGTACCAGGGCCTTTCTAGAGCATGCCAGGACGGTGTCACTCCAAAGCCCTAAGACCCACCCAGGCAGCCTCTTTCCTGCCCATGTGACGACTTTATTTAGAGAAAGGCTTTCAGAGGAAGGAACATAGGAGAGCTTAGGAGAACATAAGGAGCTTAGGAGAACGAACACGGTGGATGACGGTGGTGCTGCTCTCGATGTTCACTGCATTTACGTGAAGGGCTCAGCTCCACTTCCGAGGGCTGGGTCTAACAGGATCCCTCCCCTACCAAACTGAGAAAGCTGCACAAGACTGAGGCAATGAGGATGGGAGGGACCAGACCACCCAGACCCCTCCCCTGCTGGGCTGGAGAGTCACCCTGGTGGGAAGCAGAGGAGGGAGCTTAACAATTTCAACCCGAAATCTAGGAACACAGCTTACCCTTTTAAAATAAGCACTGATGGCAAAGGAAGAGTCCTGCCCACAGAGAGGGAGTGGCCAAGGCAGCTGAATGCCCCCACTGCCAGTAGCTGTGGCTGGTTTGCATTTCTACCATTCTCCACTGTGGGGGAAGAACCTGGGAGGCTGATGAGTCCCTCCTCTGGGACCCCAGATTCTCTCCTCCACCCATCTGCACTGTCCCAGCTCCCTCAGAACATGGCTCCTGCCCCCTAGATCCACCCCATCCCCCTACAATCCTAATGGCTACAGCCTAACCCCACTCACACCCATGGCCAGTCAGGCCATCCAGCCAGGTCCTGCCCACACAGCCAGGAGGTGTTCCGGCTTCCGTGGATTTGGAGCACCCAGAGCCTACCTGGATCTCACACCAGCTTGACTGGGCTGCAGGGGCCAGCATCTGTGACATGAGAGGCCAGCCTGCCTGAGGCTACCCCCATGCCCCACCCTGCTGACCCTGTGAGCCACAGACACACTGCCCAGCCCTTTCCTGGGCCTCAGTGTCCACCACATGAGGAGGCTCAGCCTGCTAGAGCCCCATGGTCTCCTATGGCCCAACTCAAGGCCAGAAGAAGCTGTAGAGTGCCTCCTGCTACACCCAAGGGACACATGTAAGGCCAGGCGGCTTCTGATAGATTAGGGACAAGCTGCCCAAAATCTCACCTAGAAAAAGGCTTTGCATCCCCCAGGACACAGGGCAATGACAGCCCTGCGTTGGAAGCATCCATTCCCCGATCCGGCTCCTCTGTCTTTCTCAGATGTGCCTGCAGATTCAGACACATCCATTCTGCAGGGAGCCCCAGAATGAGGGTGACAAAGCAGCCCCAAAGCCCCTAAGGAGAGGTGGCCCTGCAGAGGTCCTGGCACCAATTTGGGAAGGGAGTGGCCTGCTGCTAGCTCCCTACCTACTCTCAGCAGGAAAACACACCACGTGCTCACCCCTGCATGCTGACACAGCGTCCCCTCACGGCATCCCCTCCAGCCTCAGAGCTGCCTCCTGCCTGGCTTGGACGCCCAACGCCTCCCTTCCTCCCGCCCACCAGAATGCTATTGTGGGTTGAATGGCGGCCCCCCGAAGATAGGTCTACCTGGAACTTGTGAATGTGACCATATGTGGCAAAAGGGTCCTTGCAGATGTGATTAAGGATCTCGTGATGAGATCCTGAATTATCTGAGAGGGCATGAAATCCAATGACAAGCGTCCTTCATAGAGACAGAAGGAGGTGGCCATGTGAAGATGGAGGTGGAGACTGGAGCAAGGCAGACAGAGCCAGCAAATGCCAAGCTGGCCGGCAGCTACCAGAGGCTGCAGGGGCACAGAGCAGGTCCTCCCTCAGAGGTTCCAAGAGGAACCAGCCCTGCCGACACCTACATCCTGATTGTGGACTTCGGGCCTCAGACTCTGCGGGGGTGAATTTCTGTGGTCAAGCCGCTCTGTTTGTAGTAATTTGTTGGTGACGGCCACAGGAAACGAATACAGGCAGGGCCACCACAGGGAGCCCCGTGTGTCTCACTGGAGAAGCAACTGTGCCTCAGCTGGAAGATGATGGGGAGCCAGGACCCCATGTCGGGGGCTCAGGAATTCAATTTTCCTGAAGCTGACAGAAGCTGGAGAAGCCATCTGGCAGCGAGGTGACCCGGCCAGGTTTGTGTTCCAGAAATGTCCCCAGAATACTCTACTTGTATAAATTATACATAAGCATGGCTATGTAAAGAGAAAGATCTGGAAAAAACAAGCCAAAATATCAACACAGTTTTTCTTCTGAATGGGTTTCCCTTTTGCCTCTCTAGCTGCCTGAAGTTTACGTTTAGTTTATGATAAGCGTGTATTGCATTTTTAGACGTTACTACCACAATCAGAATATAATGAAGTTGTTTTCTTTTTGTAAGAAAACAAGGCCTATGGCTGGCCTGGCAGTGTGGCCAGGGTTCACCCTGCATGCTGCCTTGGTCCTGGGATGCCCCGGTTGAGGAATCCCTGTCTGTTCGGGGTCCTCCTGCTGGATTCTTTCCCACTACTCAGAAATCCTGTCCTCTGGCTGCCAAGCTTCACAGCTGAAAGTCATTTCATAGAAGACAGCAGCTGCTGTGGGGCAGGGAGCAGACACTCAGGCTGTCTGCAAGGCGCCAGAGACCTGCCTGTGGGCACGCAGCCTCCCCCAACCCCAAGCGCCCTCCTAAATGACCGACAAGGGGCCGTGCCCGCCGCAGCCCTCCCTCTGTGTTTCCTGATTTTCCCAGGTGCTCTCTCTCCCCTTCTGCTCCATCCCTGACTTCTGGATTTAGTGCCTTTTTACAATTCCGCATCGTCCCCACGGCCGCTCAGTCACTGTTCCTTCCTCTTTCATGTCCTGGTGGTCACAGCCCACCCTGAGCTCTCCCAACCCGCGCTCATGTGTGGCGGAAGAGCCTCGTTCCCTCCCTCCCGTCCTGGGGCCATTGTTCCCATACGTTTACCTCTACGTACATAACAGATCCCACAATGCAAGGTTACTGTCTTAGGTCAGCTAGCACTTAGGAGGTCAATTATCTTTTTTTTTTTTTTTTTTTTTACTGTGGTAAAATGCAAATAACATAAAATTTGCCATTTTCACCCTTTTTAAGTCTACAGCTCAGTGGCATAAGCACATTCACACTGTTGTACCACCATCCCCACCATCCCTCCCCAGAACTTTCTCACCTTCCCAAACTGAAATGTCCCCACCTAACTCTCCCTCCCCATTCCACCTCCCCCAGACCCTGGCACCCACCACTCTCCTTTCTGTATCTATAAATTTGACAGTTCTACGGCTTCCTGTAAGTCAATTCTCTCTCTCTTTTTTTTTTTTTGTGACTGAGTCTTGCTCTGTTTCCCAGGCTGGAGTGCAGTGGTGTGATCTCAGCTCACTACAACCTCAGCCTCCTGGCTTCAAGCGATTCCCCTGCCTCAGGCTCCCGAGTAGCTGGGATTACAGGTGCCCACCACCACGCCCAGCTAATTTTTGTATTTTTAGTAAAGATGGGGATTCATTAGGCTGGTCAGGAGTTTGAGACCAACCTGGCCAACATGGCAAAACCCCACCACTACAAAAATACAAAAATTAGCCTGGTATGGTGGTGAGCGCCTATAATCCTGACTACTAGGGAGGCTGAGGCAGGAGGATCACTTGAACCCAGCAGGCAGAGGTTGCAGTGAGCCGAGATTGCATCATTGCACTCCATCCTGGGCGACAGAGCAAGACTCCATCCCAAAAAAAAAAAAAGGGTGGGGAGGCATATTTTATGTTACCTGAATTCCACTTAATTACAAAATATGGCCTGGGGGAATAAAGCAGCTCCCTGAGGGAGAAACCATCCCCTCCACAGCCAGCCTGGCTGGATGGCACCATCTCCTCTCCCGCAGACTCTGAGCTTCTCCCTAAACAAGTAGAGCCCAGTGATCACTCTCCAGCCCATCATAATCCAATGCGTAAGTACATCCTTTATCAGAACAAACATGACAACTACAAATGGGACAAAAAGTATTAATAGATGGGACTCTCTAAAAGAAAAGTACAATCATGTTACATTACGTCTTCTTTCATCCACGCTTAGCATGCATGGAATTTGGGAACGAACTCATTTAAAGCCAGTGTCTGCAAGCAGGTCCGGATAGATTCATCCTCTACAGTGAATAAAAATAAATTAAGGGTCGATAATAGGACCATCCCACTGCATCCTAGTGACTCTTAAATCATATTAAATTATTTAAATACAACTAAATTTTGCAGCTTACAATGAATTGTTTATATCCTTTCTTACTGTCACCCAATTCTTCATGTAACTCCAAGGAAAAGTTATCAAAGGAAACATTACGTTCTCTTCATTCTTCTGTCAAACTCCCACCTCCCAGCTCTTCCCATACCCAATATTTAAAGTGGCATCAGTCGAGAGGCTCAGCTTTGGCCCTGTGAGTTTAATGAGAATCGCACTTCACACACCTCAGCTGTAAGGAATTTACAAAAATGCAGAAAAATATGTCCATGTAGAATCGACCCTGGCTGGAATTACAAGAAAAGAAAAAAGCTTTTATCTCTTTCCAGATTCAGGCAAATAAATAGGATCTTTTGCTCCTGTCTTGGAAGGAATTGGATTCACAAAGCTCCCCGTGAAAGGGCCGCAGGCTGCGTCTGCCCCTCCTTTGAGGACGCTGTCATATTGATCATGGCCAGTCAATCCCATCTCATCTGCAGAGCCCCAGAGGAGACCCCCACAGCTCCTCGGCCCGTGGAATGCAGGTTGCTGGTGGCACCTGAAATCTCACCGCATCCGCTGCATAAAAGATCACTCCATTCACCTTTTCCTTTTCTAGACACAGAACACCTGCCTTCCCCTTGTCAAACACAGAGTAATTCCAATACCTGAAACATAATGCCACAGGCAGCACTAATTTAAAACTCCTGGGCTGGGAATTCCTTGGAAGGCAGGCCACACAGGTGTGGAGACAGCTAATTCCCAACTATGCAAAAAAGTTAAAGGGTGTGCTAGTTATTTTTGCTCATGCCATGAGTCCCTGGAAGCTCACCACCTACCATGCAGGTGGGACCTGCCATAACCACCCCTGCCTGCCCCTCGGCCGCTTGCACACCTCCCACAGTCCCTGAGCCTGGCTCTCACGGCCCCTTCCAAAAGCTAGGTGGCAGCCACATGTAGCCCTGAAGTGTATTTTTGGTTGTTTTTGACTCTATAAAAAGGACATCATGCATATGCAATATTTCGAGACTGGCTTTTTTCACTCCACATTAAGCTGCTGAGACTCCCGCCGGCCCCTTGCCGCTGCCCCTCCTCCCGTAACTGGACACCCCCAGTTCACTCGGCCACACCTGCGGATTGGGGGACGGACTTCCGGGCTTTACTGTTGTGAGCAAAGCTGGCTGTGCGTGTCCCCAGGAGGCGTGTGCTAGTTCCTGTGGCTGCTGCAACAAATCACTACAAACTCCACGGCTTAAGATGACAACATTCACATCTTACAGTTCTGGAGGACAGAATTCCAGCCTGGGTCTCTCTGGACTAGAAGCAGGTGTCAGCAGGACCGCGTGCCTTCTGGAGGCTCCAGGGAAGAGTCTGTTTCCTTCCCTTTTCCAGCTTGCACAGCTACTTCCCGACGCACGGCCGCCTCCCGGACCTTCAGAGCCAGCGGCATTGCACGTCTACAGCCTTCTTCCCAGGCCCAGCTCCTCTGACTCTCCTGCCCCCTTCTCCACTACTGAGGACTCCTGTGGTTCCACTGGGGCCACCGACATAATCCAGGAAAATTTCATGATCGGAAGGTCAACTGACGAGCAGGCGTAGTTCCATCTTTAACCTTTACTTCCCCTTTGCCACACACCTCATAGATTCATGGGTTCCAGGGATTCACACATGGACACCTTTGGGGGCCATCATTCTGCCTGCCGCAGGTGGCACAGCTGGGTCACCCACCCCAGCAGCCACGTATGCGATCCCACGGCCACACCTGCTCCAATGCCTGGACCTGGAGGGCTCCTTCACGTTGCCAGCTGACTGGCAAAGGGGCTCTCTCACCATGGACTTGAGTTACAGTTCCTGGACCCCTAGGCTGGCTGCGTTTCTCTTCACGGGGTGGTTGACCGCATGAGAAGGGTCATGAACCACAAGTTATGATGGCTCCAGCTGTGTGCACATAAGGTCCTAAAACATCAACGCCTCCTTTCTAACAAGGCACATGCTTCCAGCTGCTCGGGCTGCTCGGTCACAGGCAGGGGCCTGGGTGTCGTGTCACACAGGTCTGCGATCCGATCCTGTGAACAGGCACCACTCTGCGCAGCTGCATCGATGCCTGACTGCACGTGTGCGTGCTTCCATTACACTGTCGGCGGTCAGAGGCGTCCTCGTCCTTGCAGCAACCCTGGTGCCAGCGGCAGATGCCAGCACCCAGCACAGTGGGTGGCACAGGGCAGGTGCCTCGCAAATTCAAGGGACTATCATTCAATCTCTTCCCTGCAAAGGGTAAGGCCAGCCCTAATGATGCTCTCTCACTTCCCATTAAAAGTCCCACCACATTAAGCCAGGAGAAGCTTCTGTCTTCTTTCCAGGAGATGAAATGAAATGGCACAGGGTGTAGTAAGGTGGCCTACAGTGAAACCCCTTTTCTTCAAGACTGAAAATCGTACCCAATAAGATAACTGGCCATCCTCTCCTCAGTTTGAATTGCCAAGGTCACTGGTGTCCGATCCTGGCAGCTCCCCATCACTGCCACGCCAGTCGTACCCTACTGGGGCCTCCCCCATCTCGGTTCCTTCTGCAGAGCAGACAGTGAGGGCACTGAGCCTCAGGAAGGCACTGAACTCAAGTTCTATGTTTTCTTTACTCGACTAATAAGAGAGGAATTCAGACATGCTACCTAACATTTCATAATCCCTAACATACTTAACTACACTGTTTCTCATCCAAGAGCAGGCGAGCATGCAAGGTGAAGCCTTTGCTTTCGCGCAGACAGCACTGCTCCATCCAATTAGGCCCCTTCATAAGCCCCAGGGGGATCCCAACGCTCTCCCCACACACAGGCACCAGGTCCAGGTCGTGGGAGCTGGAACAGTGTGAGGGGTGGGGACTCCGGCCCCTGCTCAGCACAGCCTGGCTGTCACACTCAGGTGCAATGCACACCAGTCATGAACCAGAGTCCCCAAAGCTCCCTTGGTGACATCCCATAGCACTGGCCTGGAATTTTCAACCTGGGAGCAGGAAACAGGGCTTTCCTGAGATTCCTTCCCCACTCCCAGCTCTTCTCCACCAAGGTCACCAGGAACGCCAGGCCAGAAGAGGTGGCCGGACCCAACACGCCAGGGACAGCCTTTGACCGCGGTGCTACCACCACACCCAGATAACGGTCCAAGATAGCAGGAGGGAGGCTCACAGGAGGCGGCGGGACTCCAGATTAGGGCTGGGCTCTTTCTCACCCAAGGCACTGCTGACACTTGGCGCCAGGGGGTTCCTTGTCAGGGGCTCTCCTGTGCATTGTGGGATGGCTAGCAGCACCCCCCACACTACATGACATTGCCTGTGTCCCCTGGGGGTCCAATTCAGCCCGGGTGAGACCCACTGGGTGAGTCTCTGCTAAATCAGGATTTAAGGGGAGCTGATGGGACAAGCTATCCTGCAGAGGGGACCCAAGGCGGGGGTGTCTGAGCTGATGGGACCAGCCATCCTGCAGAGGGGCCACAAGGCGGGGTGTCTGAGCTGATGGGACCAGCCATCCTGCAGAGGGGACACAAGGTGGGGGTGTCTGAGCTGATGGGACCAGCCATCCTGCAGAGGGGCCACAAGGCGGGGTGTCTGAGCTGATGGGACCAGCCATCCTGCAGAGGGGCCACAAGGCGGGGTGTCTGAGCTGATGGGACCAGCCATCCTGCAGAGGGGACACAAGGTGGGGGTGTCTGAGCTGATGGGACCAGCCATCCTGCAGAGGGGCCATAAGGCGGGGTGTCTGAGCTGATGGGACCAGCCATCCTGCAGAGGGGACACAAGGCGGGGTGTCTGAGCTGATGGGACGGGCCATCCTGCAGAGGGGACACAAGGTGGGGGTGTCTGAGCTGATGGGACCAGCCATCCTGCAGAGGGGCCATAAGGCGGGGTGTCTGAGCTGATGGGACCAGCCATCCTGCAGAGGGGCCACAAGGCGGGGTGTCTGAGCTGATGGGACCAGCCATCCTGCAGAGGGGACACAAGGCGGGGGTGTCTGAGCTGATGGGACCAGCCATCCTGCAGAGGGGCCACAAGGCGGGGTGTCTGAGCTGATGGGACCAGCCATCCTGCAGAGGGGCCACAAGGCGGGGTGTCTGAGCTGATGGGACCAGCCATCCTGCAGAGGGGACCCAAGGCGGGGTGTCTGGGAAGCCGCAAGGAGCCCCGGGTGGCTGAAATGGAGGGCGGACAGCTGGGGGAGGGTACCTGACCCTGAAGGGGCTTAACTCCGACTGACACGGAGTCACTGGGGGGTCCTGAGCAGCGAGTCATGACCCGAATTGAATTGTGTGCTTCAACGATCACTCTGGCTGCTGTGCCGAGAACAGCCGGGTGGGGCAGGACAGGAGCCAGGGCAGAAGGAAGGACTCCGGCTCAGGGGCGACTGCCACGGCCGGGGATCAGGGAGGCATCAGAAGGGGTCACCTCCTGCAAACATTTTTCTATTATTTGTTATGGTAAATTGCAGTGATGTAAACATAACACAAAATCGACCTTTTAACCTTTTATGAGTGTACAACTCAGCGGCATTAAATGTTATTGCTGGGCTGGGCACAGTGGCTCACGCCTATAATCCTAGCACTTTGGGAGGCCAAGGTGGGTGGATCACCTGAGGTCAGGTCAGGAGTTCAAGACCAGCCTGGCCAACATGGTGAAACCCCATCTCTACTAAAAATACAAAAAATTAGCCTTACGTGGCGGCACGTGCCTGTAATCTCAGCTACTCAGGAGGCTGAGGCAGGAGAATCGCTTGAACCCAGGAGGTGGAGCTTGCAGTGAGCTGAGAGTGCACCACTGCACTCCAGCCTGGGGGCCAGACTCGGTCTCAAAAAAAAAAAAAAAAAAAAAATTTATTCACATTGCTGTGCAACCATCACCACCATCCCTTCTCCACAACTTTCTCACCTTCCCAAACTCTGTCCCCATTAAACACTCACGCCCGCTCCCCTCCCCTGGCCCCCACCAGACTACTTTCCATATCTATGAACATCATGCCTCTAGGGACCTCACGTCGGTGGAATCAGACAATATTAGTCCTTTTGTGATTTAGTCTTTTTCAGCAGAGTGTCCTCACGGGTCATCCATGCCGTAGTATGTGTCGGAATGTCCTTCCTTTTTAAGGCTGAATAATATTCCACCGCATGAACACACCACATCTTGTTTATTTATTCACCCACTGATGGACATGTGGCTATTCGGAATGACATTGCTGCAAACACACATGTGCTCCTGGAGACACTTTGGAGGCCACGCCTACAGGATGTGCGGAAGGATGTGCAGTGAGAAACTAGGAGGAGAGCTGAGGCGGGTTTCCAGGTGTGAGGCCCAGGCACCCATAGAAACAGAGATGGAGGAGAATGGAGGGGGCGGGGTGGGGGCAGGTGAGATGGGAGGGGGGGTCCTGGCAGACGTCCACATGGAGACAATAAGGAGGCAGCTGTCCCAACAAGTGCAGCGTCAGGGCAGAGGTCCCGGCTGGAGATACAAGTGTGAGGCACCAAGGGCAAGGGACCTAGAGCTGGTGCCAGTGGATGGCCTGGCTCCACAGGAGGCCGCATGGGTGGGGAAGGCCAGTGCCCGTGCCAGGGTGCAGGGCACCGACACGGGAGGCCATTGGTGACCCGATGGGTGGTCATGGTGGGCTGCTTGGGGGAGCGACCAGAACACAAAGCAGTGGGCTTGCATGAGGGCACCCAGACAGCTTCTTCAAGGACTTCTGCTGAAAAGAGGGCCAGGAGCTACGGAGTGGCAGCTCGAGAGATGGCAGCCAAGCGGGGCTGCTACATGGTTGCTGCTTTAGAGACAGGAGAGGTCATGGCAGGTTTTCACCTATATGGGAGTCACAGACTGGGAGAGACCAGTACAAGAGAGGAGCACTGCAGGAAGCTCTTGAGAAGGAAAATAGGTGAGATCCAGCACAAGGTGTGGCGAGATCCAGGGCACAAGGTGGAGACCGAGATCCAGGGCACAAGAGTGGGGCAAGATCCAGCACACAAGGCGGGGGCGAGATCGAGGGTACGAGGAGGAGCGAGATCCAGGGCACAATGGGGGGTCGAGATCCAGGGCACAAGCGGGGGCAAGATCGAGGGCACAAGGGGGGTATGAGATCCAGTGCACAAGGTCAGTGGCAGGGGCAAGATCCAGGGCACAAGTGTGGAGCTGAGATCCAGGGCACAAGCGGGGGCAAGATCGAGGGCACAAGGGGGGTATGAGATCCAGTGCACAAGGTCAGTGGCAGGGGCAAGATCCAGGGCACAAGTGTGGAGCTGAGATCCAGGGCACAAGCGGGGGCAAGATCGAGGGCACAAGGGGGGTGTGAGATCCAGTGCACAAGGTCAGTGGCGAGATTGAGGGCACAAGGAGGGGCGAGATCTAGGGCACAAGGTGGGGTGAGATCCAGGGCACAAGCGTGGAGGTGAGATCCAGGGCACAAGCGTGAAGGTGAGATCCAGGGCACAAGCTGGGGCAAGATGGAGGGCACAAGCTGGGTGGTGAGATCCAGGGCACAAGGTGGGGTGAGATCGAGGGCACAAGGGTGGAGGTGAGATCCAGTGCACAGAGTGGGGTGATAACCAGTGCACAATGTGGGGGGTTGAGATCCAGCCCTGCATTGGGGGGTGCAGCAGGGGTGTGGCTAACTACAAAGCTGCACCAACAGCCTGTCCGTCTGTCCAGTCCTGTGTGTTCACGCCTCTCCTCCTGTCCAAAGGTGAAATCTCTGCCCCTCTTTGCGGAGCTGGGCTGGCCCGTGACTTGCCTAGACTGTGAGAATGCCAGCATTCCCCTACCACGCCCCTGACCGTGCTGCCCCCAACCATGTCCCCAAGCCAGCTATACCCTCGCAAGAAAGCACCCAGGAAGGCCGGGGCCTCTGACATCTGGTTTTCTGCCAAGTCCCAAGCTCAAAGCCTGGCACATCATACATACCCAGTTCATGTTTGTTGAATGAATACGTGACTGTTTTAACTCCGTGCCCGTTTTGAGAGGGTCAGGGAGGGGATCACTGCCTCCTTCCGTTGCACCAGGTGGCCTACAGAGAAGCCGCCTGCCTCCCACCCAGCAAGTGGCGATACTCGGATCCCAAGTGCAGAGCAGAGCGGAAGAAACAGTGCAGGCCCCTGACTTGGAGCAGAGCTCGGAGCAGGGCCCGGGACACCATCTGGACCCAAACGCTGCCGGACGTGAGCCGTACCAGTCACGTGGGCCACATGGGGTTGCATGCCCTGTCACCCACGTCAAAGCTTCCTCAGCACAAGGTGGAGGAACAGGGCAGGGCGCCCACCGTGGCCACTAAGAGGCACCACCACGTCCCTCCTCCTCAGACAGGGGAGCCCGAGGAAGTGCCGGCACCACGCAGCACGCACAGGGCGGGGACAGCCCCACGGCCGCTTCAGATGCTGCCTCTCCACATGGAGGGTCCTTCCCCGGAGCTCCTCAGGGCGGGCACAGAACCCTGACCCTCCACAGAGCTCCAGTGGCATCGAGAGCCTGCAATCTGCCTCGGGGAGCCACAGGTCAGGAGGAACACATTTTTTTACTTGACCGCACTTAATTCATCTACATGAAAGGTCTTGGGGTTACCCACTTTTATACATAGCTGGTCTGGTCCGTCGCAGAATGTGTGGAAGTACTAAGTGCCATCAATGACGCCCATCAAGTTACTGTGTCATGACACGCACACACATTTCATCAAGTGACGCCCTTAAGTTAACTCTGTGACAGCACACGCACAACACTGACCTCCTCACACATTACCAGTCTCGGCCCCTAAAATACAGGCATCTGTCCCACCGCAATTCGACAGTAGCCCAGGTCCCGAGCCACCCCAGGAGTGAGTGTCATGAGGCCCCCAGACATCCCGGTTTGCCTGGGTATATTAGTCAGGGCTCTCTAGAGGGAGAACTAATAGGATACATATATATAAAGGGGAGTTCATTAAGTATTAACTCACACAATCACAAGGTCCCACAATAAGCTGTCTGCAAGCTGAGAAGCAAGGAGAGCCGAGTCCCAAACAGAAGAACCTGGAGGCCGATGTTCCAGGGCAGGAAGCATCCAGCACAGGAGAAAGCTGTAGGCTGGGAGGCTAGGCCGGTCTCGCCCTTTCACGTTCTTCTGCCTGCTTTACATTCCAGCCGTGCTGGCAGCTGATTAGTTTATGCCCACCAGATTAAGGGTGGGCCTGCCTTTCCCAGCCCACTAACTCAAATGTTAACATCCTTTGGCAGCACGCACACAGACACACCCAGGATCAATACTTTGTATCCTCCAATCCAATCAGGTTGGCAGTATTAACCATCACACAGGGTGAAAAATTCTAGACCAACAGGATTCAGCTATTGACTGTGGTTGACTTATACTCTCTTTGTCCACAAGGACTGGAGGTGGCAGACGTCACACACACCCTGAGAATGTCCCCAGGTGAGCACAGTGGGGGATGGAAACTGGTACCTAGGGAGGAAGGCTGGGCAGGTGGGCCGTCACGAGCCTCTCCCCAGTTCCCAGGGGAAACATTTGCTCCATGGAACTAAGGGGGGCCCCGAAGGGGATGGCCAGTGGAGGCACTGACACTGCAGGGCCCTGCCACCTTGCAGTGGTCACAGCTCACACGCAACGACACATGGCCCAAGGGGGAGGTGCCGATTCATCCTGTGCAGAGCCACCCCAGGGGTGCCCCAGTTACAGGGGCAGGGAAGCACTGCCACCTCCATCTCACACAGGCGGCTGGGGCTAGGGCAGGAGTCCCGGTGCCCACATCCCACCCTCACAGCCTGTGCAGTAGGTGGCCCAGGGCCCGGGTCGCAGGGACACACCCTCCCGGCCGGGCAGCACTCAGAAGCTGTCCTAACCACAGGGTGCTTTCACTCTGACACCAGACGGTGCTACCTGCCCCACCCCAGGCCCTCCCCCTCCTCCTTCTGGCTCTGTGAGTTCTGAGCCAAGGAAGAGAGTGTCTACAGAGAGGTTTTTCAGAGGATAAAACTGCCTTTTCCATGGGCCTGCCTTTTTGGTCAGAGTTGCCAGGAGCCAAAAGGAGTGCCTCCTTGCGGTCCCCTCGCCGCCCCGCACCGCAGTCCACCCCAAGAACCTCTATGACCCCCGGGGCTCAGGTGCAGAGCAGAGGCCACAGTTCCACAGGAGCCTCTTCATCCATCAGCAGCAAAACCCTCGGGGGTCCCAGTGGTAGCGGGGGTCCCGGCCCAAGACCTGGGCTGCGTCCTCTCCTCGAGCCTCTCATGAGAAAGACCTTTCAAACAAAACCAGTTCACTTGGCCCTCCCAGCGCTCCCTGAAGCCCCGTGTGCGTGGTGGTGGCCAGCCTGAGGGATTTGGGTCGGGCAGCTCACGACGACCCTGAGGCTTTGTCATGCTGCAGTCTCTGCTGTCAAGAGACACAGAGGAAGAAATCCCGGTCCTGCCGGCTGTGGAGGGACAGTGGTAGCAGCTTTTAAAATCCTCTCCCTGGCGCTGGAGGAGGGACTTGCTCAGCTGGGTCCCCAGTGAGCATGGAGCTCTGCTGCCACCGCTCCCCTCATGGCACCAGGCACCGCACAGACAGCGCTGCAGCTGGGAGCTCGTTTCAACCTGGAGACAGCCCTGCTGGGTGGGCGGGGCCCCTCCTCCCCAACTCCTCCCAAGGTCAGCTGCTCCAGGGCTTGGATCAGTAAGTCGGCCAGGCAAGCCGGCACCGCCCCCGCCATCAGACACCATCTCCCGCCCCGCCCGCTGCAGGAGCAGAAGGTGCTGGAAGGCCATGTCCTGCAGCCTCTGCTTGGCTATGGTCCCCAGAAGTCCTGATGGGTCAGCAAGAGCTGTATTAAGCAGAGCAGGCAACAGCGGCAAAAACTAGCAGAACATCCTCAAGCCAGGACTGCATGTGAGGAAGACAGCGCCAGCATCACTGTTTCATAGTCGGATCCACAAAGCCCGGGGAAGTGGCCGGCAGAAGACAACACGGAAGCCACACAGCAGAGAGCGGGCAGGGAACGCGGTAGACAGTCGCACAACAACACTCACACAGATGCCAAGAAAAAGGCTTAGAAGGGAATATTAAAAACCGTAGCAGCTGTACCAGACTAATAAGCTTAGGTGCGTTTGTGCTCTATTTACCCACCCACATCTAATGATACACCAGTGCTGGAATTTAAGCTCACTCTGCTCTCAGTCAGCCTCTCACTGCATGAAAACCAGGGCAGCACTGACCCATCCCTGCAGGGCCAAGCCTGCCCCCTCCACCAAGGCCCCTCCTCCTAGCTCAGGACCCGGTCAGCTAACACCAGCATGGTCTTCACAGGACGTGCCTACCACCCATCCAGCACCCTCAGAAACAGGATCCCCATTTGGGAGTCTCCATGAGGCTGGCGTGCCATTATCCGTGTTTGAGGAAAGTCAAAGTGCAATGCTGACCTCTCTGACAATGCAGGGCACACAGAACAATACAGGTCCTTTCCCCGTGGCCGCCTGATGACCCCTCTGGGCTGTGGCCCAAGCCTGTGTGGCCCCAGCTGCCTTCTCCTCAGCTACCAGGGCTGCCCTGAGCCCCAGCTCCTCACAGATGCCCCCACACTTCCAGGGCTACAGCCCAGGAGGGGAAAAAGCCTGTACCCCAGCGTCGGGTCTGCAGAGGGATCTGAGATGGGCAAAGGACTAGTGGGACCTTGTCACTGCCACTCAAGTGGGGGCGTGGGAAGCAGTGCGTGGAACCTTCCATTGAGAGAAAGATGCAGTCACACACACGAGTGTCAACACGCAATATGAGCCTTCCAGAATTCTCGGAGCACGGCCCTGGCCATCCCTGGATCGTGGCGGGAGGACATAGCGCACTTCTGAAGACCTCCCCAGGCCTGTGGTTTCGAGGGGTTTGACTTGATTTACAAGCACAGGAGAAGTGGGAGTCCTATCAGGGCACTCCGCTCACCAGGGCTGGGGCAGCTCAAAGCCATAGCACACAGCAGGGCCATAGATGCCCTCTCAGGCCCCTCTCAGCACTCACCGACCCCGCCTCCGATGACCCACTCTCTGTCAAGAACCACAGTGGAAGCCAGCTGCAGTGGCTCACGCCTGTAATCCCAGCACTTTGGGACGCCAAGGCAGGTGAATCACCTGAGGTCAGGAATTCGACACCAGCCTGGCCAACATGGTGAAACCCCGTCTCTACTAAAAATACAAAAAAAAATTAGCTGGGTGTGGTGGTGCACATCTGTGGTCCCAGCTACTCAGGAGGCTAAGGCAGGAGAATAGCTTGAAACCGAGAGGCAGAGGTTGCAGCGAGCAGATATTGCGCCATTGCACTCCAGCCTGGGTGACAAGAGCGAAACTCCATTTCGGAAAAAAAAAAAAAAAAAAAAGAATCACAATGGGGAAAGCAGTTGGCAGTTCCTCAAAGCTGAAGATGGGCCGGGCATGGTGGCTCACACCTGTAATCCCAGCACATTGGGAGGCTGAGACGGGCGGATCACGAGGTCAGGAGATCGAGACCATCCTGGCTAACACGGTGAAACCCTGTCTCTAATAAAAATACAAAAAAAATTATCCAGGCATGGTGGTGGGTGCCTGTAGTCCCAGCTACTCAGGAGGCTGAGGCAGGAGAATGGCATGAACCCGGGAGGCGGAGCCTGCAGTGAGCCAAGATCGCGCCACTGCAGGACGGAGCGAGACTCCGCCTCAAAAAAAAAAAAAAAAAAACGCTGAAGATGGAGCTACACAGTAATTCCACCCAAGCACCTCCCCAAGAGAATCAAATTACAAAGACTCGAACACACACGCTCATGCCAGTGTCATTCATGACAGCCAAAAATGGAGACTACCCAAATGTCCATCAGCAGGTGAATGGAAAACAAAAAGTGGTCTGTCCACTAATGGAATATTATTCAGCCATAAAAATGAAATGCTAACACATGCTACAACATGGATGAAACTGGAAGAAGCCAGACACAAAAGGCCCCACAGCATATGACTCCTTTTATACGAAACGTCCAGAACAGGCAAATCCGCAGAGATGGAAAGCCAACTGGAGGTTCCAGGGGCCAGAGGCAGGGTGAGTGAAGAGTGACTACATAATAGAAACAGGGTGTTTATATGGGATGATGGAAAAGCTTTGAAATCAGAGAGAGCCAATGGCTGCACCACATTGCGAATACAGGAAATATCACTGATGGTTTGCTTTCAATGGTTACCTATATATTCACTGCATTTCACCCTCTCAGTCTCGCTCTTTTTTTTTTTTTTTTTTTTGAGAGAGGGTCTTGCTCTGTCACCCTTGCCCAGGCTGGAGTGCAGTGGCACAGTCGTAGTTCACTGCAGCTTCAAACTCCTGGGCTCAAGCAATCCGTCCCCCTTGGCCACCCAAAGTAGCTGGGATTATAGGCGTAGGCCACCATGCCCAGCCACACTTCAATCTCTTAAAAGATTAAAATATATATATAACAACAAAAATGAACCATAACTAACCTCATCCACAAGCCGAATTTGTCCCCAAAGGCATATCCTTGGATAGTTCCAAAGTGAGCCCCAGATACCCCCAGAGAGTGGCCCGGACAAAGCGGTGCTGGGCCTGGGGCCTTCAGGAGAGAAGCCATGTGTCTTCCCCATACTCCAAGCGGCACCGCGAAGGGAAGATGGGGTGCACCGCCACCTGCTTTTCCATTCTCTCCCCACAGTGAGCTTTGAGGCAGGCCTTACCACCCACAGTCCTTGGCCTTTTCAGAAGTGTCTGGAGCACACCAATTGGACCAAATTTGAGAAGACCAATGGGACTTCCTTGGATTTCAGACGCTGTGGGAGGCTGCAGATCGACTGTGCTGATGGTCGACTGATGGGTGCGCTGAGCAGACTTACAGTTTCCCATCATTCCCTGCAGTGCCCCGCTCCCACTGCAGGCAGCCACATGGCCGAGCTGTAACCTTGAGCAGGCCCAGGCTCTGAGATCTGCAGGCCAGGAAGCCTTCCCTAGGTCAGAGGGAAGGGGCCGGGGCACAGGAGAGTGGCCCCCGTGCCCATTGTCTCTGAGACCTCACGTCCCTTGGAGTGGTCAGGAAGGAGCCAGGTGAGGCCGACAGCCAGCACTCCTGTCACTGTCCCTCGGGTTCTCTTGGTTCTTTCAACAGTTTCAAAATGCCCACTGGCTGGGCGCAGTGGCTCACGCCTATAATCCCAGCACTTTGGGAGGCCAAGGCAGGGGGATCATCTGAGGTCAGGAGTTCGAGACCACCCTGGCCAACATGGTGAAACCCCCATCTCTACTAAAAATATAAAAATTAGCTGGGCATGGTGGCAGGCGCCTGTAATCCCAGCTACTCGGGAGGCTGAGGCAGGAGGATCACTTGAATTTGGGAGGCGGAGGTTGCAGTGAGCCAAGATTGCGCTGCTATACTCCAGCCTGGGCCACAGAATGGATTCTGTCTCAAAAAAAAAAAAAAAAAAGAAAGAAAGAAAGGAAAGAAAATTAGCCGGGCATGGTGGCACATGCCTGTAATCCCAGCACTTTGGGAGGCCGAGGCAGGTGAATCACTTGAGGTCAGGAATTCAAGACCAGCCTGGCCAACATGATGAAACCCCATCTCTGTCAAAAATACAAAAATTAGCTGGGTGTGGTGGTGCACACCTGTAATCCCAGCTACTCGAGAGGCTGAGGCAGGAGAATCACTTGAACCCAGGAGGCAGAGGTAGCAGTGAGCCAAGATCGTGCCACTATACTCCAGCCTGGGCCACAGAACAAGACTCTGTCTCAAAAAAAAACAAAACAAAACACTGAGAAGGGGCTGCCCGAGAGCTCCTGTGACTGAGACCAGGATTAAAGAGGTGGGGCAGCCAGGCCTGGGAGCCGATGGTGTGCAGCAGGAAGCCATCCCCTCCCTGTGGGGAAACATGCTGTCACTCTGCTTTGAGCGCCGTGCTTACCTGATACAGGGAGAAAGAACCTCACCTCCTTGCTTTTGGTAAACGCCTGGTTCACCTTTTCTGCCCCTTTCTTTTCAGCCTTTCTGCGGAAGCTGTCTCGTGGACATCTCTCGTCAACAGCACAAGGTTGGATTGTTCAACGCACAGGTGCACTCTCAGTCTCTGTCTGGGAGGTGGATTTGCTCCACTCCCTGTGATGCCTGACTTACGTGCAATTATTTCTACAGCTTTAGTTTTTGCTTTTTGTTTGTTGTGCTTTTGCTTTGCTGCCCTCTTCTCATCCTTTCCTGCTTTGATTGGATTATTTCCTTTATTCTCTTTCTCCCTCCCCTGGTTTAGGAGTTATCCCTTCTTCTGGGACTGTTATCCTAGTGCCTACCCTGTGGTAATTCACACACTTAGCTCATGGTCTCAAATCCAGCCTTATTGCAAACCATCAAAGACCTCAGTGCCAGCTCTGATTGCTGTCCAGGCATTGCTGTCCAGAATTTCCACTCCCCCTTGCCAGGAGCACGGATGCTCACGCTCCCCAAGGTGACTGCTGCTCCCATCTACCCACTCCCTCCCCGACTCCTGGGCCCCACCATTGCACCTTGCCTCCCACTCCTTCCTTCTGACTTTGATTTTCCTCTTGGAGTACATTTTCCAGTACTTCTTCAGCAATGATTTGGGGGCGGTTACTTTTTTGTCTTCGTCTAAAACTGTCTTCCATTTTGCTCTCCTCCACGAACGACAGCTTAGCTAAGCCCAGAACTCTACTCTGACTTTGCTCCCTGTGGCCCTAGAAAGATTTCGCTCCACAGTCCTCCAGGCCTCCAGTATTCAGCCAGTCCAGCAGAGGCCCCTGTGAGGTTGCAGCCTGTCCCCTTAGGCCCCTCAGATGCTGCGTTCTGAGCATCTGAGGGGCCTGCTGTGCCACTGATTCCCATCTGGGGTGTGGGCTTATGAACCTGATGATTCAACTCGGGAAGATTCTCAGCCGTGAGCAGAAAACAGCCTCCTCTCTCCCCCTGTTTTCGCTCCTGAAGTCCCAGGAGTTACATCTGGAACCTTCTCATCCCTCTGTGCCTCAGAAGCTCCCACAATTGCACAGGCTGGAGTGTAGTGGCACGATCTCGGCTCACTGCAACCTCTGCCTCCCAGATTCAAGTGATTCTCCTGCCTCAGCCTCCCGAGTAGCTGGGATTACAGACGCACCACCACGCCCAGCTAATTTTGTATTTTTAGTAGAAACAGGGTTTCACCATGTTGGCCAGGCTGGTCTTGACCTCCTGACCTCGTGATCCACCTGCCTCGGCTTCGCAAAGTGCTGGGATTACAGGCGTGAGCCACTGTGCCTGGCCTGCCTTGTGGTTTCTATCCTCAGTCTCTTGGCTTGGTTTGACCTTACGCATGCCAGGGAGTGTGCTCACGGAGAACCCCTTTCTCCTCTGTCTTGTAACTTTCTACTATGAACTCCACTTCAGAGGTGTGGCAGGAGGGCTCCTCCAGAACACCATGTACCTCACTCGGCCAGGCTGCCCAGGTGACCCTGTGCTGAAGTGGCCTATGGGGCTTTCCTGGCCCCCTGGCCTCCAGGCCTCAAGGCCACAGATTCCTGTCTGACCCTTGCTCCAACCTGCCCTCACTGGACAGCAATGCTTCACCCAGTCCTGGACCAACACATCTCCCCTAACCCCACCATGCCCTGGGCCTCCCTGTGAGTGCTCCCAAGAACATCCTACCAAGCCAGCATTTCCCTGCATCCCCACACCTGCCCTTTGAGATGTGACTCTGCTACTCCCCGCACCGAGAAGTGGAGGTGACAGCCCCCCCCATTTAATGGGGGCTGGCCCTATGGACACTGTGGAGGTGATGCCATGTGACTTCCAGGCTGGGCCTCAGGATCACCTTGCCACTCTGCTCCACTGCCCTGAGACTCAGCATCGGGGAGAAAGCCTGGAGGGGGCCTGCCTGACAGCTGCACCAGCCGGGGTGGACCAAAGGCCGCAGATGGTTCAGCTGGCTGACCCTTCCCAACTGAAGCTCCGCCCAGTTGGGCCCCGCCCAGGTAAGCCCCATCTAGATGAAGCCCCACCCAGGTAAGCCCACCTAGATGATGGCGCCCCATCCAGATAGAGTCCCGCCCAGATGAGTACCACCCAGGTAAGCCTGCCTAGATGATGAAGCCCCGCCCAGATGCCACCCCGCCCAGATGCAGCCCTATCCAGATGGCCCCACACTGTGAGTCCTGCCCATATAAGCCCCACCTAGATGAAGCCACGCCCAGGTGAGCCCCGCCCCACGGGCTGATCCACCCAATCCTGACGTGGGGCAGCAGTGATGGTTTGAAGCTCTCAGTTCCCGGCGGTTTCTAAGTGGACCTTCCCATGCACTCAGCTTTAGGTTTTAGTTTCCTCTTATTTCTGGCACTAGGGGTTACACCTTCTCTCTTGCCAGCTCAGTACTTTTAAAAATGTTTTTGTGATTTTATCCAACATGCCTGGGCATCTCGCAGTGGGGAGGTCTGCCTTTACGCGGTCTGTGACACAGCCCTGAACGCCCCTGGCCCCCCACCCTCACATTCCCCGTGGAGTTGCATGGCCATCAAACACACTGTCCAAACCCCTACTTCTGCACCCCCATCTCCACCCTCCACCTCGCAGCTCCTCTCCTGAGCTCCCCATCCCCAAACAGCACCTCTCCCCCAGCCAGGTCCCACCCCCACCAGGCCCAGATCCATCTACTTTCTCCATCCAGAGTCGCCTGCTGCCATCCTCTCGCTGGAATCCCCGCCACCCACCAGTCCCAGCTTCCAATCTCGTCTCTCCCACAGCAGGCCTGGAAGGACCCCGCAAACAGCAGTGCTGACCCCATCATGCCCCCACCTTCCTTGCCTGTGACCCATCCCCAGGCGACCTCCCAACCCCATCTGCAGCGACCCCACCTTGTCCCCTGTGCTCCAAGTGCACCCAGCCTTTCAGGCTCCGCGACCCACACCCCCTTGCCACTCACATCTCAGCAGCCCCCTCGCCCCCACTCCGCTGGCTGCTCGCTGTCCCTCCGATCCCTGGCTCAGGCAAGGCCCACATGGCCTGACAGCCTTGGAGATTCCCACTGAGCAGCCCATGCCGGCGCTGTGAGAAGGCTGAGTCCAGTACACCCACGGTGGGGTGGGGGGGCTGACCCCTGCGGGCAGCTCTGTGGGAGGAGGTCGGTTTGAGAAATTTGTCAGAACTACCCAACCACGATCAATCCCAGACACAGAACTCCTTCACGCTGTCTTCTGGAAGCCCCAGGACAAGGGCCCTGCCAGCAGCACAGGGTGGGAGGAGAGGCTGGGCTGGGACTTGAGGATCCATCTTCAGAGACCAGGAAGATGCCCCCGCCAGGTGGCCACAGTCAGCGGGCCAGGCTGGCAGGGTGCTTTCCAAAGCCCCCAAGTCAGCTGCCTACGCAGAAAGCCAAACTCAGGAACCATGGCTCTGGGCCTATTTTCCTATTTTTTTTTATTCAGGGGCAAAACACCTTTTCCCTTGATTATCTGTTAACCTCAAAAAGTGGTACAATTCCTTTTTTTAAATTGAGGTGAAATCCACACAACATACAATCAACCATCTTAGAGGGTACAATACAATGGCATTTACTGCGTTCACAATGCTGCCCAACCACCACCTCTTGCTGCGTCAAAACCTTTTCATCACCCCAAAAGGAAACCCCATGCCCTTTAAATCATCACTCCCCATTTCCACTTCCACTCTCCAACCCCTGGCAACCGCCGATCTGCTTTCTGTCTCAATGGATTTGCCTCTTCTGGACATTTCATAGAAATGGAATCATACAAGACGCAGCCCTTTGTGACTGGCTTCTTTTGATTATCATCCTGTATTCCAGGCTCATGGCGATGGCTTGTATCAGAACATCCTCCCTTTCTTTTTTTTTTTTTTTTTTCATTTTTTTAACTTTATTTATTTATTTATTTTTATTTTTTTGAGATAGAGTCTCGCTCTGTTGCCCAGGCTGGAGTGCAGTGGCACCATCTCGGCTCACTGCAAGCTCCGCCTCCCAGGTTCACGCCATTCTCCTGCCTCAGCCTCCTGAGTAGCTGGGACTACAGGCGCCCGCCACCACACCCGGCTAATTTTCTGTATTTTTAGTAGAGACGGGGTTTCACCGTGTTAGCCAGGATGGTCTCAATCTCCTGACCTCGTGATCCGCCTGCCTCGACCTCCCAAAGTGCTGGGATTACAGGTGTGAGCCACCACGCCCTTTCTAATGCTAATGTCATGCCATGGTGTGGAGGGACCACATGTATCTGTTCTTCCTTCCATGGACGTTTGGGTTGTTTCCCCCTTTTGGCTGTTATGTATAAAGCTGCTATGAACATGAGTGTACAATTCTTAAATGTATCTGACATTTAAGTAGTTGATTCTGCTTTTAGGTGTTTTTTGTAATCATGATATCCCTAAAAATAATTGGAAACATTCTCAAAAACTGAAATCCAAAGAAAAAAACATTGCCCTAAGGACACTATCCTAAATTGGGTGTGCTAGCCCAGTCTCCCCAGGAAGCCGGTGTAAAATACCACCTTTCTGGTGGGGGAGAGCCAAGCGCAGCACAGCTGGAGCAAAACCCACCCGTGGCAGAGACTTAGAGAGCCAGCCATGCAGTTTGGACCCATGTTCCTTGTCCATGGAGGGGCCCCCCCACTTGATGTGTCCCCTACACCCCCTGCCTCCCTCCAGCAGGAAAACAATGAGAAATGGAAGAGCTTCAAAATGCTTACTGTAAGAAGGAAAAAATCATTCCATTCATCCTATCCAACTATTCTACATTAATTACCATAACATAAAATGTTCTATTCTACTTGTGCTTAATCTATTCAGATCAGTCAAAAAATATCCATTCACTTTTGTCTTCCTCCTTCAAACACTTGACTTGCCCATCAATATCTAAGTTTTTTTTGCAATCCAACTGAAAAAAGACAAAAGTAATCGTTTCACCAAATGGGACTCATGTAAAATCCGATGACAGTCCAGTGCCTTCCTGCAGGAAAGGAGACTTTGCCTGACGCATACGGGTGCCAGCTCTGGGGTCCCGCGGACAGGAGTGTAAATCCCAGCCCTGCTTCCTCCTGGCTGTAGAGGTTCGAGCAAGGTGACTTGTCTTGAGACCCCATTTGTAAAACAGGGTGCATCAGCATAGTTTAAACGTTCACAAATGACCCTCACACCTCAGTGCCTTAACGGATAGAAGCTCATCCCCTCACATCACAGTGCAGCACAAGTGCACCCCAGCCCCTTCCCCGCTGCCACCCGAGCCCTGGAGTCCTCTCCTAGGTCCTGGGCATCCAGACAACAAATGGGGGGCACAGGCCATGGGAGGACAGCATGAGAGGTTTGGGGGCCAGTCCGACATGGTGAACCCCATTGCTGCCCACACCGGCTGCAGTCAGCCCTGGTCCTGACAACCATAGAGGAGGCAGGTGCTCACGTGGTGAGTGAGCACATGGCAGCATCTCCCCCCTGGGGCGCAGGCAGGGGCAGGGCGCATCCTTCATCCTCAGGGGGACCTGTAACCAGATCCACGGGGATGCCTGAGGCGTACTAAGTCAGGGTCTGTTCCCAGCAACCAAGTACCCGCCACCTACCAGAAAAAGGCACAGGGGTGGCAGGCCCCCACTGAGACGCTTTCACTCTCAGAATGGCCTGGCTGGAGGAACTGGAAGCTGTGATGGCCTCTGAGACTCCAAGAAACACTGACATGAAACCCTAAGGTAGCTAAACGTTGGTTCTGTGGAAGTCCCCGCCTGCTTACACCACCCACTGGTTCTGCCATTATTGACTGGGGTCATTGGTTGAGCTGTTACTGTGAGTCTTGGACAGAGATGATCTCCTCACATGCTCCCAACAATTCCAGAAGGCAGGTCTCAGCATCCCCACCTGACACTAGGGAAACTGAGGCACAGGTGTGGGAGGGACGAGAATTCCCAGCCAGGCCCTGGAGCTCCAATGCTATTTAGACACATGACCGGCAACCACTGAAGACAAGAAAACACTGGGGAAGCACTGAAACCCACAGCCTTCTCAGCATTTATTTTTCTTCAAATTGGAATCAGCTCACCATTATTCACCTTTGCACCCGGCACACCCTGTAGCTGCACAAGGCTGTCAACTCAAACAAAACCACACCCTGGCTGTCACTTACCAGCTCTCAGATGTGCACCTTCACACATTTAGAGCAAGCACATCCGGTATTCTGGGAATTCTTGGTGGCTGAAAATGGCCACTGAAGCCGCCTTAAATTAGCCATCTCTCCTCTTAAGGTCGAACAAAATGACCTAAAGACACTCAGCCTGTGGGGCAGGACACTGAGGCCCTGCTTCCCTCCCCCGTCTGCCCTGCCTGCTGAGTCCAAATATCAATTACGTGAAGCTCTCGACTCTCTGCCTCTGACTCGCCCATTTAACAGAAACCATACCAGACGTTTCCAGTAAGCGCCCAGCCCTGCCCTGCCAGGGAAGGAGAGCCCTGAGTGATGACAGAGTCGGCGCAGGGAGTGATGCTCGCCCTCTGTCTGCAGCCCAGGCTCTTAATTGCCCTGCAAATGCCGCTGGCACAAGGCAAGGCATGTGAGGTCCCACACTCCCCCAACCACAAACAGAAACCTCAGCAAAGCGCAGGAAATGAGACGTGAGCTGCCCGCTGAGAGTCACTTCCTAAGAGGCCAGGGAGTAGGTTCTACAAAGCCACCTCAAGAGCACATGGGCTCTCAGGCGTCCGCACTGCACTCCCGCTGACCACAGCCTGAGTGCTGATGTGGAAAAAGGAAGGCTTTCTGGGAGGGGTGGCATGACCTGGATGCAGAGCCGCCGGGGGAGCCCCAGAGCCTTCTGAATTCAGAGAACCACACACAGCTGAGAGAGACCGGTGCGCAGGGCCAGCCACGCCTGCTCTGACTCAGCACTGCCAAGCGTCCTCCCAGGACTTCCTGAGCCCCCTCCGTGCCAGGCGCCCGCCAGGAGAGGGAGCACCGCCGGGCTCAGCCTGTGCAGCATCCGGAACACTGGCTTTCCAGCAGCTCACCTCAGAGAGAAACGTGCCAGGCCAAGGACAACCCCCTGCCACAGCTGGGCACTTGGAGTTTATCAGCTGAAAACGAATTCATCAGTAGCCTGGCTAGAAGTTATCACTCAAATCCCAAGTCCCTGGAACAGGGTCTGTGCTTGGCATGGGGCATGGACGCAGTGCTGTAGGGACAGCCATTCGTTTCCCAGGTGACGCAAAGCAGGGAAGTCAAGGCACATGCCAGTGACTGCCCTCTCATAGGCCCCACTCGTGCCAGGCCCCAGTGTCCACCAAGACCCCTCCCACAGCCTTCCAAGCCCCAGCTGTATACTTCTGGGGGATCTCTGTCATCGCCCCTCACCCTCAGCCACCAGTGGGGAGCCCCAAAAGGAGGACTGGGCTGCGCCTCATCTCTGCACTTCGGGACCAAACAGATATATCCAGACCTTGCCCCACCCCCCACTCTGGGGCCCGCCCCCATCTGCCACTTCGTTTCCAGGGTGCCGCCCCTCTCAACCAGGTGGCCAAGGTACAGAGTGCTGGCCACCAATGGGCAGCTCTCTTCAAGGGCCCATGACCAAGTGGGCTGGAACCCCGAAAACCCTCAGGTGACTGAGGCTGGGTTAACAAGAGCCGAAGGGCAGGAAGTCCCATACTCAGTACTGCTCAGTCCTGGCAGGTTCCCACAAAACATGCCAGTGGGGTTGGCACCCAGGCAGACTTTACCAAACCCAAAGGGGTCTTCTTTCATAAAGCACACACACCCAGCAAGTCACTCAGGCTTCTCTTGGCAAAGGCCATGTCATCGCTAATCTGGGCCTGGAATGTTTACAGGAAGTTGCCAAATACACATCACTCAGTAAGGCAGATTTATAAGGAATGTTCTCCTACAAAGCGGGGGGACAAGAAAGGTTAATAGCCCCCACTCTGAAAACGGTCTGGGGGTGCAGACAAGCGAGCTCTTCTCGGAGTGCAAGGTTGAGCATGGTAACCAGCCACATGGGAACTACCCCATCCACCCAGCCAGCATAACCCACTGAGGGTCAATTCCTCCTCAAAGATGGAAAACACAAATTCATCCTGAGTGATATTAATATGCTCTTTGGTGATGGCCAGGAAATCTCTCCCAGGTCCAGGTAAGTGTCCAGGTCCCTCTCCCCCATGCCGGGAATTCTCACCTCCTAGTGACCAGGAACTTCCAGCCAGGTCAATCAATAGAAAGTCATAACCAAGCAAGAAACACAGCACTGAGACTTTTGTTTCAGATGAAGACACCAACCATGCCAAAATGGTTTGCCTTTCTAAAGCATAAACTCTCTTGAAAAGACTTTAAAGAAAGGCAAGAAAGTATTTCACCAACATCAATAAAGCAGGACAAGCTGACAGGTTTTCCTGCACCGTCTCTTCCTGGGAGTGTTCAAAGTCAGGATAATACTTACAAGATCTGAACACTTTATACCAAGAAAAATCATATTGGTGTTTAAAAGACTGATTAAGAAAGTGAATAGAAATATAATTTGCAAATGTCATTTTAATGTTAAACTTTTGTATTATTCATCAGGCATTCTTTTACTCAACTTAGGTAGCTAACGTAGTAGCTAATTTTTATTCAGATATCAAAATGTATGTCACACAGGAATATTTTTCAGCATTTCCAATTGCTTTTTATAACTATAAGAACAGTGAATAATATTTTCATTTCAGAATATTTTCCACCATATTGTGATGAACAAGAAGCTCAGTGCTGGCCAAGCACAGTGGCTCACACCTGTAATCCCAGTGCTTCGGGAGGCTGAGGCAGGAGGATTGCTTGAGGCCAGGAATTTGAGTCCAGCCGGGGCAACATAGTGAGACCCTGTCTCTACACACACACACACACACACACACACACTTAAAAATTTATAAAAAGAAGCTCGCTGTGCAGTTTTAAACCAAAGCAGGAATTCAATTAAAAATTCAGTTTGAATTGTACATCTATCTAAATACAAAGTGGGAAAAAAATTCCTGACTGCAGGCAACAGTCTCCCCCAGACACATCCTCCCACAGCTAATGTTTAACACTTCAACTCTTCCAGGCCCAGAATCTTCCCAGGACTGACTTTGTGCTTATTTGTGCCAAAATGTGTTAAATTAGACAGGAAGGGGAAGCATAAAATTCAATTCATAATCCAAGGCAAGAATCTGAGCTTTGGTTTGAAAAATGAAAAGCTATGGAGTGACATAACATACTCCGACCCTTCAAACAATCAAGATATTTAACTCCAAAGACATTTCTCAAATAAGAGACAGCCCAAGTTCAGACTGCCCACAGGGCACCAGCTCCCAGAAAAATGCTATGGCCAGAGACAGATCTGAAATGGAGATACGTCTCAAGTCCAGAGCTCTGGAGCTACTACCAGACAGCATGCCAGGAGAAGACAACGAGAAAAAGGAGAGATCCACATCAATCCTGTTCCATCCCTTCTCCGGAGGCACACAGCTCTGGGCTGATCCCTGGGATCAGCTGATTCACTGGCTGTGCCCTCTTGGTGCCCGCCGCCTGCCTGGAAAGGCAGCTGCCTGCTGAAGAGGAAAAGTTGGGAACGCAATTCCTAATTCTCAGGACAACGTCTAGTACCATGTTCTACCTTTAACCTGTCTTCCCTAAACGGAAACAGACAAGGCCATCCTGAAATTACTCAGCTACTCATGAAACAGAGTCTACAATTATTTTTCCTTCCTTTTCAACACGATTAGAAGGGTGATCCCCCAAATGCGGCCTCTTCCACAGCCACGTCCGGAGGGGCATCCCCTAGTGTCCCAGCAAGTGCCTTCAGCGACACCAGAATGTTAGTTAAGACCTAAGACACATTTCTCCAGCTGCCTCCCGCCATTTGTCACAGAAAATAATGCTGCTGCACGCCCCCAAAACGCCGTTTTACAAGCAGACTTGGTTTTCAGTAACTGGTGAGGAAAAGTCACTGGAACCAAACACCATTCATACAGCTATCCAGAGCGGAGGCCACCGCCCTACCCCGGCAGAGGCACATGGGGGCAGCAGGCAGGACCGAGAGGGGCTCGAAGGCGCCGCAGGAGGAGAGGCTGGGCGCAGACGGCTCGGCCCCAAACCACACCCAGCGCCAGGAAACGCAAGGCTCGGGACGAACCCTTAAGAAGTCGCTGCTAGGGACAGGGAGGTTGGGAGCAGGGAGTGACGCCACAGGAACCCTGAATCCCCCCGAGTCCCCTCCCAATCAAGCCAAGGCCGAGCAAGGGGCGCCCCATGTACCGTAAGCCCTCAACCCAACACTCCGGCAACGACAAACAGAATTCCCCGACCTCAAAGGCCGTGAAGCACGCGCCCTTCGGGGCCCTGAGTGAGCCCTCAAACCTCCGTGCCGATCTTCCAAACCCACCTCCCGCCTTCCTGGAATGGGCGCACGCGAGGCACGGATTTCAGGAAACCTCTGCCGTGACAGCTCACCCACGGTGGAGGCGGAGGCCTGGGACGCTGGACGGAGAAAGGCGGCCAGTGGAGGGAGGAGGGGTAGGTCGGCAACGCGGTGGCCTCGGACGTCCGAGCTGCCCGGACGAAGCGCTGGCCCCACTCCCGCCCTTGGTCGCCGCGGTGACCCCACCCGAGCCGTGACCTCCCCCAAGATCTCAGGGCCCGGGCCTCCCCGCTGCGCCGGCCCCAGGGTGCCACCCTCGGACGCCCAGATGCGCCCTGGACCCTGCGCCGGGATCCTGAACACCGCCGCGCCTTCATCCCGCGCCGAGCGCGCCCGGCCCTGCTCCGGCTGCAGCGGGCACGAGCCCCAGGCGGGCGGCGGGGACGCAGCGCCCGCAGTGCGACTGGCGCAGCCGCTGAGGCACGGGGCGCGCCGCCCGGACCCCGACCCCGCGGCGCTAGGAGAGGCGCGGGCGCCGGCTGGAGAGCCGCACCTCCCGCCCCGCCGAGGCTGCTGGCCACGGGCGCGCTCGCCCCAAGGGCCGGGCGGAGGACCTGTCCCGGATTCCAGAGGACGTGGGTGGGGAAGGGACAAGGATAGGGACAAGGGAGGGGACGCGAACTGGGCCGAGGTGTGGGTCAGTCCTGGTTCGGGAAGGGAGGCCGTTGGCAGGGCCATCAGGATCCTCTCTGGACATGGAAGGACGGGTCTGCCCTGGACCCAGGGATTGGGAAATGTGGGTTCTCTCAGAACCTGGGGAAGTGGGGAGAGGGTCTGTTCTGGAGTGCGGAGGGAGATCTATTCCGGGCCCAGGACAATGGGGGTGGGGGCAGGACGGGAATGAGGGGGCATTCCTGGTGCAGGGAGGGGAGACGGAGAAGTAGTAGGGGGTCTGCTCCGGGCCCGCGGGCTGGGGACCACGAAGTGTAGGAGGGCACCGTCCAGGACCGGGATGAGGAGGGAGAGGGGCCCGTTGTGGCCCTGGATAGAGGGGGAGGGAAAGTGCGCCCCGGCCCGAGAGGAGGAGCAGGAGGGTCAGTCCTGGACCCGGGCTTAGGAAGCCGGGAGGGAGGTTCGGATCCGCCTCAGAGACAGGGCGATGAAGATCTGTCCAAGTCTTGGAGTGGAGGGAAGGATGTCGGCGGTGGGGGAAGAGGCCGGCCACGGACAGGGAAAGGGAGTCCGTCTTGTAGGGCGGACGGGCGGTCCTGGGGAAGGGAGAGGCCGCGACGCGGGGGGCGTCCGGCCCGAGCGGGGCCGCTCACCTTGGGTTTGTAGAGCCACTTTCGGAACCTGTTCATCATCGCCGCGCCGGCCCTGGCCGGACTCCGGGCGGCCCTCGCCCTCCGCAGCGCTGCGCCCGGGCCCGGCTGAGGCGCGGGGCGGACGCGGAGGCACGGCCGGAGCCCCCGCGCTGTCGCAGGGAGGCTGGCTAGCGAAGCCCGGAGCGCCGAGCGGGCGGCGGGCAGGTGCGCGGGGCAGGTGCGCGGCCCTGAGTATGCTCTGCAAGCGGCGCGCCGGGCAGACCTCAGACCCGGGAGTGGGCGCTCGGGCGCACGGACAGACGCGGGCACGGGGGCGCGCGGCTCCTCGCTGCTCACTGACACCCAGCGCTCCGCTGGTCACGGCCGCCCCGCGCCGCACATGCGCCTAGGGCGCCGCGAGCCCCGGGCCCACCGCGCGCTGCGGGCGGGGCGGGCGGGGCGGAGGCGGCCCAATCCCTGCGCGGGCGCCGCACCCCGCCCGAGGCGCGCTCCCTGCCGGCGGGGCGACCCGCCGCGCCCGGGTATCCAAGAAACTACAAGTCCCGAAAGGCATGGCGGGGAGGTGGCGCCCAGGGCTTGGCGTCCCGGGCCGCGCCGCGGCGCTGTGTATTGTGGGAGTTGTAGTCCACCCGATGGCGGCGGAGCGTGCCGCCGGTTGCTAGGTGACGACGCCAAACAGCCGCGGCGTCCTGCCTACCGGGAGCTGACGGACGACGACTGCCAACACCTTAGCCCCAGCTGGCCCAGGAAACTGCTGCGGTGGCAGGTGGCGGCGGCAGGAGGGCTCGGCTGCCCCGAGCGCCCGCCAGGTACGGGGGCGGGACAGGTGCGGGGCGACGCGCCGCCGATTTTCATGACCTGCCGGCCGGTTCCCTCTCGCTCGCTGCTCATCTTGCTTCTCCCAAACACCTCTTCTGTCTTCTTCCCAGCTCCCCGATGAAAGTGAACGGTGCCTCTTTTTTTTTTTTTAAATCACCACTATCAGCGGTGCGTTCTAAAAAGATACTCTTCCGCCCTCGCTACTCCCCCCAGTGGTGCCCTAATTTGTACCTTAAAACGCTCACCTCAATCTGAGTACCTGCTATGTGTCAAGCAGAGAGCTAAAAACCCACACGTGGCCTCACTTAAACTTCCCATTGACAGCCAGAGAAGCAGGCACAACGAGGCCGGCGTGCCCTGGCTGTGGGGGTTGCATCCAGATCACGGCGGATCTGGGTCGGCCTGACCCCACAGCGCTGCACTTTTCCCTGCCGCACCACCACCACGTCTCTGGCTTGTTGTGAAACGTGCAGATGTAAGACACAGGAGATGGAAGTCATGCCCCCCTCGGTTCAGAATTGAGAAGTCTGACCTGTTCCTGCTTGTCCTCACTGGCCAGTGCCAGGTGCTCAGAAAGGTCCGTGGGCTCCATGACCACTTTATTCCAACAGACGCGATGTGAGCCTAGGCGCGCTGGCATCTAAGATTTCTCTTAGTTGGGGGTAGGGTCCATGTTTATTTTTGAGTAACTGATTGATTTTCCCTACTCTCCTCTTCCTACCACCCAGTCGACCCTCTGAAGGGCAAAACCCCTCTGGAGTTTCCCCTTATCTCCAATTCCTTCCCACTTGTTCTTTCTGGAAACTACTCCCATCAGATTTTCACCCAACCACTCCTCTGAAGCTCTTTATCAAAGTCATCCTTGACCTTGATGTTGCAAAATCCGATGATCGGGGTCAGCGCTCATCTCTTCCTTGAACTGTCACTACCACGTGACCCAGCCGACTGTGCCCTCTCCGTGACACAGCATCCTCACTTGGCTGAAACAGATCCCACTGTCCACTTCTCCTCCTCGCTCCTGGCCACTCCTGCTTGATCTCCTTGGCTGGATGCCTCCCCTGCTCACCGACCTCTCAACACTGGAGACCCTGGACTCAGTCCTTGGAACCTACTCTATCCACTCCCTCCCTGGGGGATTTCCTACAGTTACATGGTTTTATAAACAACCATTTTCTCCCAAACTTCTCAAAACCTATATCTCTAGCCTCAACCCTGAAACTCCAGACCTGTTTACCTGTTCTTCACCATTTGGACGCCTAACAGATCCTCTCAAATTTAACGTGTCCCAAACCACACTCTCAGTCTTCCCCCATAAAACCTGCTGCTCCCAAAGCCATCATTTCTTCAGCACAGGATCTTGGGGTAGACACTTGATGGGCTTGTCCACTGAGTGAATGGCTGTTCTCTGTGGGTCTATCCTTGGCCAACTCCAAGGCCTGGAGCAGTTGTATCTGCTCAGAGGCTCCCTTCCTGTGTTTTATAGTTTGAAATTGTGCATGGGATGAAGGCTGAACTTGGGGAAGTGGGGTATCAGTTAGGTTTAGCTGCATGTATTGAAAAATCCCAACATCACAGTGGCCTAAACAAGAATATTACTCATATTTTTATAAAAGAGGTCCATGGAGAGGCAATCGTGGTTGGTATGGCAGCCCTAAAGTCCTCAAGGATCAGCTTTTCTATCTGCCATTCACGTTTCTTCATGATCCAGGATGGCTGCCCACATTCCTGCCATCACCTCCTCGGCCCAGGAACCAGCTGCAAAAGAGAAGATGGATATGCCTCTCTCGTTCAGGGAGACTTTCCAGAAGTCTCACACCTTTCCACTTCTTGAAGGTGGTGGGAGAACTTAGCCACACAACCATGCCCCAGCTGCCAGGGAGGCTGGGAAATGCCATCTTTCAATTGGGCAGCAGTAGACCCAGCTAAAAATCAGAGTTTTCTTATTTGGGAGGAAAGGGGTAGTGGAGATTGAAAAGCAACTAGCAAAAGCTGCCACGTGGGGTTGTGCTTTAAGCACAAGCCATAGGGGCATGACTTGGTAGCAACCCTTAGGAGACTGGCTTTAATCGGGAGAAAAGACTATATTTTAATTAACATACATTTGAGATCTTAGGTAAATGAGTTATCTCCTAGTGGTTGAGAGTGTTGAGCTGTTTTGTGTCTGATGGAATTTAAACCTCCTCATATAATCTCATTTGTGTCTATAAAATATTTCCTAAGGAAAGAGAAGCTTTAGTCTGCCCACCCTTTTTTTTTTTTTTTTTTTTTTGAGATGGCGTCTCGCTCTGTCGCCCAGGCTGGAGTGCAGAGGCACGATCTCAGCTCACTGCGACCTCTGCCTCCCGGGTTCAAGCAATTCTCTGCCTCAGCCTCCCAAGTAGCTGGTATTACAGGCACCTGCCACCACGCCTGGCTAATTTTTGTATTTTTAGTAGAGATGGGTTTTCACCATGTTGACTGGTCTGGAACTCCTGATCTCAAGTGATCTGCCCGCCTTGGCTTCCCAAAGTGCTGGGATTACAGGCATGAGCCACCGCGCCCAGCCTAGTCCAGCCCACCTTTAAAGTTGCCTTAAATATAAGATAGTCAAGTCCTGATCAATGGAGTTAAAATCAATATGAGAAAAAAATCTTTAAACTTGAGAATTAAATCCCACTTCCCACATAGATGGTACTTCACTATTAAAGCTGAACTTTGGAATGCTCAGGTGGGAGGATCGCTTCAGGCCAGGAGTTCAAGACCAGCCTGGGCAACATAGTAAGACCCCTGTCTCTACAAAAAAAAAAAAAAAATTAAGCACAAAATTAGTCGGGCGTGGTAGTACATGCCTAGAGTCCCAGCTACCCCGGAGGCTGAGGCAGGAGGATCACTTGAGCTGCAGTGAGTTATCATCGAGCCACTGCACTCCAGCCTGGGTGACAGAGTGAGACCCTAAATCAGGAAAAAAATAAAATCAGGCTGAGAATTTGAGAATGCATGAATGTAGCTGAGATGCTGAAAGCAGGCGTCACAGTTGGATGAATTTTAGTACCTATTTCCTCCCCAAAGAGGTGATTGTTTTGATGAAGTTCCTAGGCTAATTTCAGTGGGATTCAGAATTCAAGCATCTCTTTTCCTTACATTCACCTTCACATACACCTGCTCTGCGCCAGATTCAGGGGTGCAGAGGCCCCGCCCCAGGGACCTTCAGGCCGGACAGTGAACCAGGGTTCCAGGGGCAGGGCAGGACAATTTGAGTCAGGCTGGACTCCAAAGGAGCTCTTCACCCCCGTCCCCATCTTCAACTTGGTTTGTCCATTTATTCCTTCCAGTTCATTCCTACCAGGTCCGCCCTGGATTGGGGGGCGGGCTTGGCATGGCCCTCTTCCTCCTCCTCGATTTGCATCACCAAAGGGTACCTAGGATCATCCTTTCTCCAGAATGCTCCAGCTCCAGGACAGGGGGAGACGGCAGGGAAACTGTTCCACCTTGGCAGCAGCTCCCACCACACACATGCAGACCATCCACTCTCACCGCCCCCACCAGGCGCAAGAAGGGGCCCTTTTCCTGGGTGTATACCCTGTTCCTCCAGGCAGAGCTGTATCCAGAGCAGATTCAAAAAGGCTGGGGCAAGGGGACCCCATCCCAGGGCAGCCTGACCCACAACGTGACGTGGAGGCAGGGCAAGAAAACTCACTCTTTAACATTGTTTCTCTAGAAGTAGACCTTTACATTTATTTATTAGACAGGATCTCAATGTGTCACCCAGCCTAGAGTGTGGTAGCACAGACATAGCCCAAAGCACCTTCAACCTCCTGGGCTCAAGGGATCCTCCCACCTCAGCCCCCCAAGGAGCTAGGACTACAGGCGTGCCACCACACCTGAGTCATTCTTTAATTTTTTTGTAGAGAAGTCCCCAGTTACGCTGTGGAGTTTTAAAAAACGTCTCAGTGTGGCTGACCCTGGCGAAGATGGGGAGTGGGATTTGTGAGCTGTGAGCTCACTGCCTACAGGGAGCCCCCACTGCTCTCAGCAATGCCTGGAGTGAAAGCCACAAGTCCCCCCTCCCCAAAGAGCAATGCCCCAGAAAAGTGCTTCCTGCTGCCAGCAGCCTATTGCCCCCTGGCTGTGTTATGGCTGCCTGGATCCACCTACCCACCAGGGTTGGCCACCACGCCCACACTGCACCACACCGCACCGCACCCCTGCCATACTGGTGGCCTGGCCTGCTGGGACCCTCCCGAGGAGAGGGGCTGAATTCAGAGAGAGCAGGGACTTAGGGTGAGCCTGTCACAAGCTTAAGGCCCTGCCCTGAGTATTCCTGCCTTGGCAGGCTCAGGGGAGGGTGCTCAGTGGGCCTCCTGGGCCTTTCTGCTCACAGCTGTTGAAATCCCCACGCCAGAGACTCAGCTAGAGGGGATCAGAGGAGAGTGAAAGGACCCTGAGGCTGGGGTGGGGTGTGGGTGGTCTCTCTTCCATGGCCCAGCCTTCCAAGAAGCAAAGGTTTCCCGCAGGATGGGCTGAGGCAGCTTAGGTGGCAGGTCCCCAGGGGCAGGCCATGAAGGGGGTGGGAACCCTCAGAGGGTCTGGGCAGCCTCACCCACAAACCTCTCTCATCTTGCCCAGGCAAGCCTGGCTGCAGCATCTAGATTTCAGCATCTGTGGATTTGCGGGTTTAATGGCTTCTGATCTGGTGTTCTCCAAGCCAGCAGCATCACTGTCTCTTCCCTTGCCCCGAATCATCAGGACCGCACTGGCGCAGGAACGCACCTCCAGGCAGCCTTGCTGGTCTCCAGACATGGGGTGGGGGGAGGGGGACCCAGCCGGGGCCCAGGGCAGGCTCCCGGGCAGTGACGGTCCTGGCTGTGCCAGAGGCTCATGCTCGCTTTGTTCTGGGAGGCCTGGTCTCCAGGGCCTGTTTTCAGCACCAGGGCTTCAAGCCAGATTTCCAAATTCCAAGCGGCCTTTCTTCTGGCCTCCTTAGAGAGAGGCTCCTGCTGGCCTCTGTGTCCATGCACAGCCAGGCTGGTCCCTAAAGCAGCCCCTAAAAGGACAGCCTGGCGTGGTGGCTCACGCCTGTAATCCCAGCACTTTGGGAGGCTGAGGCAGGCAGATCACCTGAGGTCAGGAGTTTGAGACCAGCCTGGCCAACATGGCGAAATCCTGTCTCTCCTAAAAAAATACAAAAATTAGCCACATGGTGGCTATACAAAAATACAAAAAATAGCCACATGGTGGTGGGTGCCTGTAATCCCAGCTACTCAGGAGGCTAAGGCAGGAGAGTCGCTTGAATCTGGGAGATGGAGGTTGCAGTGAGCCAAGAGCACGCCATTGCACTCCAGCCTGGGCAACAAGAGCAAAACTCCATCTCAAAAAAAGAAAAAAAAAGAACAGCCCATGTCAGGCCTCAGGTGGTGCAGCCAGCAGGGAGGTGGGGACACAGGCCCTGGGCTGATGCCATCCCTAGCCAGGTCCAGCGTCACAGCCTCTTTCCCTAACTGTGCAGCTAAACCCACTCACAGAACATGCCAGGTGCTCCTCCTGGAGACACCCCCGGGAGCCCCTGCCCTCCTGCTCTGTCCTTGTCCTGCCAGCCAGTGTCACCTTGGGGCTACCTGCATCGCAGCCTGGAAATTCCCCACAACGACAGTCACTTGGGTTCAGCCCCTGCTTCCCAGGGCACCCCCAGCCGAGACTCCTCTGCATCCCTGACTCTTCCTGCACTGAACGTGTTCGGGGCGTCCCTGGCTCTGAAATATCATGACTCATTCCCTGTGCTAAGCTGCCAGTGGGCCTTGTCCGTCCAGAAGACCGCATCCTTCAGTTCTAGGGCGTTTTCTTGTTATTTCTCTCTCTTGTCTCTCTGGAACTCCTGTTAATTGGGGTTTGGACCTTCAGGAATCGTTCCCTGATTTTCTTAGCGTTTTCCCCTACTTTCTATAGCTTCATCTTTTTCTACTCAGGGAGATTTCCTCAACTTTACCTTCCGTCTCCTGTTTATGTTTTTAGTTCTGTCATCGTATTTTGGTTTTCACGAGCCCTCTCTTTTTCTCCAGCCATTGCTTGTTCCTTGGACGCTGTATCTCCTCTTCTCTTGCATGGCAGTGCCTGGTTTCTAGGCTTTTTCCTGCCTTGTGCATCGTTTTCTCCTGGTTCTTTTCTTATGGTTTCTATGTTTCATGTCAGAGATTTCTCTAAAGTGTCTGGTGACACCTGGCCTCCCCTTCTCTCTGAGTCTTGGCCAGGGAGAGAGTCAGGGGGCAGGTCAACATGGACCCTTCAGCACGGCCAGGATCGGTGTCTCACCAAGGACCCTCCAGTGTCAGTGGTGGTTGGTGGGGGTCGCTTGCATGTTTTTAGTCAGTCCCCAGCCTGGAGGGTCCAGGTCTGGGGACTGCTACCTGGGGCTGTTCTAGCTTGTTGCAGGGTAGAGGAGAGGTGCTCCCACTGTCCCCAACTTTGGTGGCCCTTCAAGCCCAGCCTGGCCCAGAGCAGTGGGTCAGTCATGGAGCAAGAGGAGGGTGAGAAGGGCCCCCCTCTGCCCAGCGCTGCCCTACTGTCCTGCGTAGTCCAGCTGGAGCCCAGGCCTGCACCACACCCAAGGATGACGGCCTTTGCTGACAGGCCCCGCCTCCTCTGAGGATAGTTTGGGGGCCACATGTTGTCCTTAGAGCTGGTTCCCAGGGTCCCAGCCTCCCCCTAGGCAGCTTCTCCAAGGTCCCCTGGGAGGGGCTCTGGGCAAGCCTGTCCCCTGGAACTGCTGCACCTCTGGAGTGTTCAGTGCCCCCGCAAGCCCTCCCCAGGGCCCTGTTCCCCCATCGTCAGGATGGCGGCGTTGACCCCAGGGACCCCAGGCTCCTTCTTGCCCCAACCATGTGTGATGAGGTCACCCTCACCCAGGACCTTCTGCTCCCCAGCAGGGCCTGATGAAGAAACCGTCACCTTCCCGGGCAAAGCTGAGGGACGCTCAGAGGCTGTTTCGAGAGGTGCCTGTGCTCTCTGCCGTGGGCCCCTTGCAGGGGTCACCCCATCCAGGAGGCATGGCTGTGGGGCCTGAGGGGCACTCGGCCAGCTTCGGTCTGTGGTGATGGGGGTGACCTGATGGTGAACTCACCCAGGCCAGCCTGGGCCCCTGAGCCGCAGAGGCCTGCAGGAGACAGTGCAGGACATGCACCTTGGGGTACCTGCCAGGGCCCTCACTCACATCCGGCCCTCCCCACTGCTGTAGGCCCGGCACCCTAGCCAGGGCCCCCAGTCACATCCGGTCTTCCTGCTGCTACAGGCCCAACACCCTGGCAGACTCCTGTCGCTGCTGGGGAGGGTCCTGCGGCTACATCCCAGGTGTGGAGGGCGTGACCTGCACGGTTTGTTCTTAGGCTTCTGCCCTAAGAAGATGGCCTACTATGGAAAATGCATTGAAACTGTGATCGAGCAACTCGACAAATTTACACCCAAGAGGGACAACCCTGAGCAGTTCCTGGAGGCTGCGGCCACCTCCCTGCAGGTAGGATCTGCTGGGGGCTGCTGGGAGGCCACGCCAATGGCACCTGTTGTGCAGCTGTTCTGGTTAACAGCATCAAATGCCTTCCTAACGACTGCCTTCCTTCCACATGGGGAGAAGCTGACCGTGTTTTCCACAGAGACCTGCTCTTCGTATGGGGAGGTGCTCCTGGCACCCAGAATGTGTGTCAGGCCAGGCTCTGGTGAAAGAAGCCTTGGCCGGGACCCGGGATATGACATCCACACTGCGGTTCCATCCTCAGTCAACACAGATGAGAAGGGTCAGCCCTGGAGCGCCCCCATGCCCCACCCCCACTTTGGGGGGCATCTTATCTCGGGAAATGGGTCCTCCATCCCCCAGGCGCCCCAGGGCTGTGGCAGTGAGGGTGCGCAAGGCCACAACTTGTGCTGTATTTGTGGTAACCGAGACTTGGGAATCACTGACTGGGTCTCCGACAGAGGCAGGGGCTGGCCTGGGCAGTGAGGCTCCCGGGGAGCCGAGGGCTGCAGGCTTCTGTACACACCTCCTTCATCTTCCTACCCACACCTGGAAGAAGTCACAGGCCCACCTGGAGGCTGCCCAACTCCTCAGCTCCTGTCCTCCCATCCCTGGGTTTTCCTCACAGCTCCATCCTGGTCCTGGCACCCCCTGCAACCTCGGCAGCCCTGCCCCACTCAGGGGCCTCCCTGTCACCTGGTCTCAGCTCCCACCACGAGGTGCTGATCTCACATCCACCACCTGTCAGTGGCATGTGCCTGGGGAACAGGAGCTTGGATTGCAGGGCCCCTGCCTCTAGGAATGTGGGACTTGGTCTCCATTGGATGGGGCCTCCAGAGGAAGCTGAGCCCACCAGGGGAAATCCTGGGGGGCTGTCACATGGGCCATCACCAACCCATCATTGCCCAGGAGCAGGGAGCGGGCACTCGCCCCCTGGAAAGAGGGCGCTCATAGCAAGTGTGCTAATTCAGGCTGCCTGCCTGTCCTTGCAGGCCACAGCCCTCTGTGCCGCTGTGCTCTGGATGAACTTGGCCTATGTGCGCTGCTTTTCTGCACGGCCCCTGGGGGCTGCCCTGGCCATGCTCCAGCTCCCGCTCTCACTACCTGCTCAGGTGCACCTGTGCTGTTCCCCCAGGCCACAGTCTGAGCCCACCTTCCCTTGGGGTAGAATGAGGGGTTCATCCTTCATTAGCTACCTCTGGGGCAGCCTCAAGAAAGCCCAGAGGGGAGGTGGTGTGAGTGGGTTACAAAGGCTACAGGGGTTGGGGCCAAGGCCTCTGCCGTAAGAGAAGGCCTGGGGCCCCCACCCATCCCTGCTCCCAGCTTCTGGAAGAGGCGCCTCCTCCGGCTGGGGCCTGGCAGCCAGCAGGGGCTGGAGAGGGGAGCAGGGCCTGTGTGCAGAGCTGCAGGCCTCCGTGGGCACCTCTCCCTCCACTTCAGCACCCTCTGGCCCCCAGCTCTTTCCCTGAGCCCCTGAGCACTGTGGGGAAGTGATGCAAACAGCTCGGGCCCAGGTTCATCCACACTCCTCTTCCCAGCTAAGGCCTCAGCACGACGGGCACACCTCTCATCCCGCCGGCCTGCCCTCGCCTTGCACGTCCAAAACAGACAATAGCGAAGGCCCAGGTCCCCTTGGCCAGAAGCCCGTCCTGGGAGCTGGCGTCACCCACCCCACTGCCTGGGCCCACCTGTAGCCCGGCCCCTCTGGCCAGCCCAAGAGCAGCTCCAGCAGCTCCTCCTATCCGTCCCCCTCATTTCCCTCAGGATCTTTCCCGTCAGCCACCCGTGCTGCTACGTCTCTCACCCTAAAAACATTTTTTTTAAGTCCTCTGTACTCCCCTGAGGCTCCCGCGGTCCTTCCCTTCTATCTAACAGATTCCTCGAAGTCCCTGCCACCAGCGGCAGCTCTTCCTCCATCCTCCCTCACACCCCTCCCTGCGGACTTCCCCCACCCCTCCACCCACAGCGCCAGTCTGGGTCACCCCGCACCCCCTTGTTGCCAAATCCAGTGGGGCAGCCTCAGCTCCTCTGACCCAGCTGACCCCGCCCCCAGCTCCGGGGCCTTCCGATCAGCTTCCTGGGTACCCCCTGCGCCAGGCCTGCATCTCACCTGGCAGCCACTCCTTCTCAGGCTCGGGCCTCCCCTGTCGGGTGTGCGGGGTGCACGGGCTCAGCGGCTGCTCTCTGCTCTCTTTGCTATACACACTCCTGGTCCCCTCGCCTGCTGACAGCTCCTGCTCCTCCCTCCATCCTTGACCTCTCCCGAGCCTGGACTCACATCTCCTTGGGTGTCCAGTGGGCACCTCCCGTGTGACACGTCAGTAGATGAATGAATCCATGTGACCTCCCCCAGAGCTGCTGATCCGGGCATCCCCAGTTCAGCCGGCAGCCGCTCCGTCTCCCCTTGCTCCAGTGGGAACCCTGGCGCCTCCTGGGCACCCCCATTCCTCTAGACCACATCTGTTCATCATCAGCTCTGCCTTCGACTCTGCCATGTGTGCACTCTGCTCCAGCTGCACTGGTCTCCTAGTGTTTCTGGAACATTCCACGCGCTCCCCACTGCACTAGCTGTTGCCTCCACCTGGGAAACTTTCCCCCTGATGCTGTCTTGGCCTGCGCAGCCACATAGCACCTTGGCAGGGAAAGGGGTGTGTGTTTACCCCTTCCTCAAGCAAAAAGTGGTAAAGTTCATGTCTTTATTTCTTGATAATAACCATTACAAAAAAAATGAGTTTGTTACAACAAATAGTTTGGGTTGGGTTTGTTTTCTATAACCCACAGATTATTAGTGGTAGATGAGACTAATATGTTACCTGGTGAGTCACAATGTGACTATCACAGGTGTGCATTTCCACGGGGAGCCTGGCACACCGATCCTACCGGCAAACTGGCAGCGGCAGACACAACGGATATCCAGGGGGCTGCCCAGCATGGATCTGCACAGATGCCCCCATTGGTGGCAAGCAGGCTTGTTCCTCAGAGGCACTGGTTTTTCAGATCTTTTCTTTCTTTCTTTTTTTTTTTTTTTTGAGACAGAGTCTCACTCTGTCACCCAGGCTGGAGTGCAGTGGCGCCATCTCTGCTCACTGCAAGCTCCGCCTCCTGGGTTCACGCCATTCTCCTGCCTCAGCCTCCCGAGTAGCTGGGACTACAGGCGCCCGCCACCACGCCCAGCTAATTTTTTGTATTTTTAGTAGAGACGGGGTTTCACTGTGTTAGCCAGAATGGTCTTGATCTCCTGACCTTGTGATCCGCCCGCCTCGGCCTCCCAAGGTGCTGGGATTACAGGCATGAGCCACTGCACCCAGCCTTTTCAGATGCTTTCAAAAGCCCCTCACAAGTCCGAGAGGAATGGTGCATTGGATCCTGATCCAGTTTGGACAACTCGCTTTCCTCTCCAGCTATCAAGAAATTGTTGCAATTCACTGATTTTGCTAGGCCAAGGCTCAAGAGTGCCACTTGCCAGAAAATTACGCAATACATAAACCAAACGGCAGACTGCGGACAGCAGACTGCGGTGAAATGCCAGAAAATTACGCAATACATAAACCAAACGGCAGACTCCGGACAGCGGACTGCGGTGAAATGCCAGAAAATTACGCAATACATAAACCAAACGGCAGACTCCGGACAGCGGACTGCGGTGAAATGCCAGAAAATTACGCAATACGTAAACCAAACGGCAGACTGCGGACAGCAGACTGCGGTGAAATGCCAGAAAATTACGCAATACGTAAACCAAACGGCAGACTCCGGACAGCGGACTGCGGTGAAATGCCAGAAAATTACGCAATACGTAAACCAAACGGCAGACTCCGGACAGCGGACTGCGGTGAAATGCCAGAAAATTATGCAATACGTAAACCAAACGGCAGACTCCGGACAGCGGACTGCGGTGAAATGCCAGAAAATTACGCAATACGTAAACCAAACGGCAGACTCCGGACAGCGGACTGCGGTGAAATGCCAGAAAATTACGCAATACGTAAACCAAATGGCAGACTCCGGACAGCAGACTGCGGTGAAAGGCAGTGTTTTGGGTTAAATTGTGCCCCTCCCCCAAAAAAAAGTACTAAGCCAGGCATGGTGGCACGTACCTAGTCCCAGTTACTAGGACATCTGGGGAAGGAAGATCCACTTGAACCTAGGAGTTCGTGTCCAGCTTGGGCAACATAGCAAGATCCCATTTCTCTCTAAAAGAAAAAAAATGAGCCAGGCATGGTGGCTCATGCCTGTAATCTCAGCACGTTGGGAGGCTGAGGTAGGAGGATTGCTTGAGGCCAGGAGTTTGAGACCAGCCTAGGCCACACAGTGAGACCTTTTCTCTATAAAAAATGTAAAAATTAGCCAAACACAGTGGCACGTGCTTGTAGTCCCAGCTACTCGGGGGCTAAGGAAGGAGGATTGCTTGAGTCCAGGAGTTGAAGGCTATGATGAGCTATGATTGCACCACTGCACTGCAGCCTGGGCAACAGAGTAAGATCCTGGCTCTTAAAAAAAAATGTTGGCCGGGCGCGGTGGCTCATGCCTGTAATCCCAGCACTTTGAGAGGCCGGGGCAGGTGGATCACGAGGTCAGGAGATCGAGACCATCCTGGCTAACATGGTGAAACCCCGTTTCTACTAAAAATACAAAAAAATTAGCCAGGCATGGTGGCGGGTGCCTGTGGTCCCAGCTACTCGGGAGGCTGAGGTAGGAGAATGGCGTGAACCTGGGAGGCGGAGGTTGCAGTGAGTCGAGATCGCACCACGGCACTCAAGCCTGGGCGACAGAGCAAGACTCTGTCTCAAAAAAAAAAAAGTTGAAATTCTAACCCCTGGTTACTTATGAATATGACTTTAGAAATATGGTCTGTGCAGATGTAATTAAGTTAAGGATCTAGAGGTGAGATATGTTACAAACCACTGTGGGACTGACTGACCACCTGTCCCTTTGCATCTTGGGTGCACCCAAGGTCAAGTCCAAGAAGACACATGTTCTTGCTATGAGAGTAATTGGCTCTCGTGCTTTCAATGTGGATTGCCAGTTGGCTTTCCATGGAGATCCACTGCTGCTCTCCTGGGCAGGTAGGGAGCACTTGTTCCCGTACACCCTCCCCAACCTCATGTGCGGGCAAAAATTATTATCTTTGCCCGTCAAATAGGTGGGAAAAGTCACTTTATTATTTTTTTTTTTTGAGACACTCCCTCACCTAGGTTGCAGTACAGCTCATGGCCACTTCCACCTCCCAGGTTCAAGCAATTCTCGTGCATGAGCCTCCCAAGTAGCTGGAATTACAGGCACGAGCCACCACACCTGGCCAGCTTTGTGTATTTATAATCATCGTTTCTCTTGTTATATTTTCCTAAGTTTTGAAGCAAGATGTATTTCACTTTGAACCATCTGTTCGGACCGGTGTCTGTTAGGAAACTGTGTTTGGATACAACAAAATCCATAAAAGCAGTAGCTTTAATCAATTAAAGGTATCTTTGCTCATATGAGAAGCAGTCTGCAGACAGGCAGTCTAGAGTGGGTTCAGCAGCTCCATGATGCCATGAAGAACTCATTCAGTTCCTCTCCATGCAGCCATCCTTAACATGTACTGTTGCCTCATAGTCACTAAATGGCTGCCCTACCTCCAGCATTGCATCTATATCCCAGGTGAGGAGAGGAGAAAGGCAAACAGTATAAGGCATGTGCCAGCTGAATCTACCTTCCTTTCAAGGTGCTTTCTTGGAGGCCACACCTAGCAATTTGTCATTACATTTTGCTGATTAAAACTGTCACATGGCTCTATCATCAAGGAGAGTTGCAAAATATGGTTTTAGCTGGACATATTACCATGCCCAACAGGACGGCATTCTTTCTGTTAAGTGAGAAGTGCGGCCCTGCAGCCTCCGTTTCCTTTGCCTACTTTTCTAACTGACTTCAGGCTTTGCATTACTGATGAGCAGGTATTGGTGACATGAATCACAAATCCTGTTGTTAATTAGCCTCCTGGCCCCACACCCCTCCCCCAACCTGCCCCGGCCTGGACCTGGTCTAGCTCTTCCCCAACCCTGTGAGTCCAGCAGACAAGTGCACTTCTGGAGGTGCTGAGAAACCCCTGCAGCAGTCTCTAGCGATTGTGAATGCTGGACCCTTTGCTATTGAGTGCCTGCTGCTCTCCCTGGTTGGGGACTGAGGAGCCCTGAGCTTGACCAAGGCCCAAGATTTTATCACAAACTCAGAGACCCTTGGGCAGCCACAGGCCGGTCTCAGTGACTGAGGCTGGTTCCCCATTAGGAGCCCACTCCTGTAGCAAGGGCCTCTCCTGCCTCCTCTGGGAGAGAGAACCCACCCGGCCTAGGCCCATCTCTGCTGGCCTGGTCAGAAGGACCTGGTCCAGCACCCCTGAGGCATGTGTCACCCCTTGCCCCCACCCCCAGGCCCCAGGCCCCTCTCTGTGAATAGGCTGGACACCACGTGTCCTGGCAGCCGCCAGCCCAGCATCAGTGGCAAGGACCTGGCCGTGGGCCCGGCCCAGCCTGGCGTGGACTGGGATGTCATTTACTGGCTCCTCACTCAGCTCTGCAGCTTCCAGGACCCTCCGGCCCAGAGTGGCCCTGCCCAACCCGCCTTGCCTGGGGCTGATGGCATAGGGCTCAAGGCTCCGACCTTATGAAAAATGCATGCTCACACTTCCCAAACACAGACGTCATTGATGAGAAGCGGAGTCGCCGGTGCCTGAGCCGGGGAGGCCAGAGGAGGTTGTCAGCATAGTCCCGCAAAGTCATCACCCTCAGCGGCCACGCTGACTCACTGCTCTCGGAAGGGTCTGTCCTGGCTCCTGGGCTCCTCTGACAAGATGTTGTCAGTTACACGGGGCGGGGGGGGGACCAGTGCCCTCGGTGTGGGTACAGCCTGGCAACTGCAGGAAGCTGAGAGGGAAACTGAGGTGCCAGCCTGGCTGTTGAGATCAGAGCCAGCCCCCCGCAGGATCCCCTCCCAGCAGCTCAGTGGGGGAGCCCTCACCCACCGAGCCCCCTCTCCATGCCCAGCCTCACTCACAGGATGTCACTGGGTCCCCGCGATCTATGTGGAGGCAGGGCATTCCCTTTCCTCTCTGGCGAGCGCCCAGGTGGCCATCTAGCCAAGAAAGGGACAGTAAACAAGCCATGCCGCGACTGGGACAGGCCATGTCCTGCAAGGGCTGGTCAGAAGCACAGTCCTCACAGCCGTGGGGCGAGTATGCCGGGAGGAGTTCTCAGGCAGAGGGAAAAGCCAGTTCCCTGATGAGGAAACAGGAGGCCAGTGTGACTGGAACAGCCAGGGCGGGCTGGGGACTCCGAGGGAGCTGGGCACTTCCATGCAGGGCCTCACTGGCCACGGTGAGGAAGGACGCCTGACCCGACATCCATCTGAGAAGCCTCGCCCTGACTGCTGGGTCAAAAAGAGACTTGAAGGGGAGCAAGAGGAGAGGCAGGGAGAGCAGCTGGGGTCCCCCAGCCGAAGGGCCAGGAAGACAGACCGAGAGACACGCTGGGAGTAAGGAACCACGTTTACTGCGCCGCAAGGTTGGCAGGGGCAGGCTTGGGCCAAGCCCAGGAGGCTGGTTTCAGATGCATTCATGTGATGTCCGCCCCAGTATCCGGGAAAGGCCCAGCGGCAGCAGGATCGAGGTTTCTGAGTTCAGGGATTGAGTTCAGGGAGCGGGGCCAGCTGGGGTATCCGTTTGGCAATCAGAATGCTGTCAGCCTCGAAGCTGGCTGAGATCACTCAGAAAGTGGATAATGAACAAACGTCACCATAGGGGAACTGCACCCTGAGCCCCTCCAATATGTGGAGGTTGAGAAGATAAAGAGGCACCCACAACGGAGCCCTAGAACGAAGGACTGTCCCCGGGAGAATGTTGCTACCAGCTGGCATTCCAGCAGGAGCCCAAAAGCCAGTCCTGGCGCTCCCAAGAGAAAGGGATTTAAATTTAACACGGGGAACCTTGTGCTTAAAGCCGTTGCAAGGGCTGGAGGAACTCATGCTGGGTCAGTCCCGGCTCCCAGCTGGTCAGAGCACTGCAGGGAGCAGCTCCCCACCACATCGGGTGGGACAGGCAGGGGCGAGCAGAAGGCTCTGGGAAGCCCAGCATCTACCACCCCTGGGGAGCTGAAGAAAAGGCGCATCCCCCAATCTTGCCCCTACCAGTTCTCCCATAAGTGTATATCTTGTTAGCAGAGCCCAGGCTGCACCCACATCCACAGAGGCAGAGCTGCTGAAGCCTGTAGTTCTCAGGCCTCCAGCCCCTGCACTGCAGGGACGATGCTAGAAGGGCGTGGGAATGGCCCTATTTGCAGAGCAGTACCCAGATTGTTCTCATTCACATGTGTGGAAACTGAGGCCCCACAAGGTCATGTGGCTTGTGCAGAATGCTTCAGGTTAGCTGGTTACCCTGTTATCTTAGTATAAAAGCAACTGAAGGGCTGGGTGGGGTGGCTCACACCTGTAATCCCAGCACTTTGGGAGGTCGAGGCAGGCAGATCACCTGAGGTCAGGAATTCTAGACCAGCCTGGCCAACATGGTGAAACCCCATCTCTACTAAATATACGAAAAATTAGCCAGGCGTGGGTGGCTGGAGCCTGTAGTCCCAGCTGTTCGGGAGGCTGAGGCAGGAAATTGCTTGAACCCAGGAGGCGGAGGTTGCAGTGAGCTGAAATTGTACCACTGCACTCCAGCCTGGGCGACAGAGCAAGACTCCATCTCAGAAAAAAAAAAAAAAAAAGCAACTGAAAAAATCACAAAGGAAAAGACAGATTTGATCTAAAATAAAAGTAAAATTCCTACATGCTCTATATGCCCAAAAATATTTTATACAAAGTTAAAAGGCAAATTAAAAACTTACAACAAATAACTATCATATTTATGGCTATGTTAATAGCCTTAACATAGAGACCTTATAAAAATGACTAAGAAAAATGTTATCCCAATAAAAAAAGTTTAGCCAATTATATTTAATCATTTACAGTATCGTAGAACACATTGTAAGTGAAATTAATTATTAAATAATGATAATTCACAGAAAAATACAAGTGTTCAGAAAACATATGAGGCTGGACACAATGGCTCACGCTTGTAATCCCAACACTTTGGGAGGCCAAGGCAGGAGGATTGCTTGAGCCTAGGAGTTAGAGGCCAGCCTGAGGAACATGGTGAGATCCAGTCTTTACAAAAAATTAAAAAATGAGCCAGGCATGGTGGTGTGCATCTGTAGTCCCAGCTACTCAGGAGGCCGAGGTGGGAAGCAGCTACTCAGGAGGCCGAGGTGGGAAGCAGCTACTCAGGAGGCCGAGGTGGGGAGCAGCTACTCAGGAGGCCGAGGTGGGGAGCAGCTACTCAGGAGGCCGAGGTGGGGAGCAGCTACTCAGGAGGCCGAGGTGGGGAGCAGCTACTCAGGAGGCCGAGGTGGGAAGGCAGCCTGAGAGTGAGCAGTGATTCTGCCACTGCACTCCAGCCTGGACGACAGAGTGAGACCCTGTCTCAAAAACTTCAAAAAAAAAAAAAATCTATATATATGTATATATAGATATATATAGATATATGAAATTTTCACTGCTAATTTAAAAATCCAGACTAAAACAATGAGATTCCTTCTGCTTTGTGAGACAGGGTCCCACTCCATTGCCCCACCTCGAACTCCAGGCATGCACCACCATACCCGGCTAAGTTTACACTTGACACGCCCTTGCAGAGATGTTCCTTGCTCATGCATCATTCATTTTGGTTATTTTTTAATTCATTCATTTGAAAACCTTTATGGGTTCATTTGAAAATATTATTGTGGTAAAATACATGACATAAAATGTACCACTGTAGCCATTTTTCAGCGTAGAGTTCCGTGGGGTTAGGCACATTCCCGCTGTTGTGCATCCATCACTGCCCTCTATCTGCAGAAGCTTTTCATCCGAGCGAACTGAAGCTCTGTCTGCATTAGGCGACTCTCATGCCCGCTGGCCCCTGGCACTCTCTGCTCTGCCTGGATGCGGCAGCCTGTTCTCATTAGCTGGAACCGCACAGTACTTGTCCCTTGTGTCATTCCTTGCACTGCCTCATCATCTTCGTTTATTTCTGTCTTTGCCCTGACCTCACTTGGCAAACCCAGGAGAATCTGGGGACCAGTTCCTGAGTGGGGAGGCACTGCCAGCTGCCTTGGGGGCCCCACTAACAGGCCCTTTGCAGCCCCGGGGCCGCTCCACCCCTGCCTTTGCCCAAGTGTCCCACCCCCACCGCCGCCCTTTCCTCCCGGCCCAGCCAGGGCCCCCCACCGGCTGTCTCTCTTCCAGGCTCTGAGCCCCCAGAAGCAGAGCTTTGTTTTGGAGGTTCTGTCTGGGTGCCTCGAGTACCGGAAGCTGCTGACCGTCGTGGTGGATGCCTTCTACGTGGAGGATGGCCGACTCTGCCTGCGGGTTGACCACAGCCGCTTCGAGGGTAGGTGCCTGGCTGGTCCCCAGGGCCAGGCCGTAGAGACGGTTCACTCAGGCTCTCTGCGGAAAGGCCTGGCAGGCAGGCAGCGGGCAGGCGGGGCCAGCTCCTCCTTCCTGCCCTTGCACTGGAGGCTTCCCGGCTCCTCACCTCACTTGGTCCTTACCAGGCGGACCAGGACCTTGCAGATGGGAAACTGATGCCCCAGGGCAGACAGACCTGGCTCTGCCACCCCAGTTTAGGGCATCCAGCTCCCAAAGGCAGCCCGGACAACACGAGAGCCTTCCGTAGGCTGACCCCTAGCCACCACTGACCCCGAGGCCTTTGGACAAGATGGACCCTGTGGCTGCCGTCTGGACAGTCCTGTGGGGGATTAGATACAAGAGACTCGCTGCCTGGGCTTCCTGCAGCCTCTGACAGCCGTCTGCTTTCATGGGGCAGGGCGACCATTGCAAGCCAGGTGGCCAGTGCTGCTGGGGGGAGATCAGGGCAGCCCTGAGACCCTGCACAGGGTCTTGCTGCCCCCGTCCAGGAAGGGAGAGGAGTGGGGCGAGCGCTGTAGGGTACTGGGAGACTGAGCTGAGCAGCTGATGCCAGTCCTGAGCTAGGCTCCTGTCCCGACCCCTTGCCACCCAGCTGGAGCCTTATGATGCGCAGCGCGTCCAGGCCACAGGCTAGGGGCCCGTTACAGTTCCTGCCTTGGCGGAAACTCGGGCCCAGGTTTATTCACATTCTAGCCGGCTTGAGGTGACGATTCAGCTGCTCAGAAATTGACAAACAAGTCCAAAATGATTTCACTTTTACCTGGGGAGCCTTTGCAAATTCTGAGAACTTATCAGATGGGATTATTTGTCAAAGTGCTTTGAAACCACAAATGCATTGCACTCTAAGACAATGTTGTTTGTGTTCGCTTATCATTTTCAGGTGGGCACCAATAGGGTGGGGGTTTTCCTGTGGCTGCGTGCCCTGACACGGTGGAGGCCTTCGGCTCCGGTCCCGCCGTGTGCCTGGTGCCCCGTGACGTCCCTTAGCCTCTGACAGACCCCCTGTTTTCTAGTGATCTGCTACCTAGCCACATTCCTGCTGGAGGAACTCGGCTTCCAGCTATTCTGTAACATCATCAAGTCCCAGCCCGTGGATAAGATGTGCAAGGTGAGCCACCCCTACCTGCCCACCAGGCCACGAGGCCCACGGGTGAGGTCCGTCTGATCCTCGCCCACCTTTCGTCATTCTGGTTGGGTTGTTTTGTTTGTTTGTTTGTTTGTTTTGAGACGGAGTCTCACTCTGTCGCCCAGGCTGGAGGGCAGTGGCGCGATCTCAGCTCACTGCAAACTCTGCCTCCCGGGTTCATACCATTCTCCTGCCTCAGCCTCCCGAGTAGCTGGGACTACAGGCGCCCGCCACCACACCCGGCTATTTTTTTGTATTTTTAGTAGAGACGGGGTTTCACCATGTTACCCAGGATGGTCTCAATCTCCTGACCTCGTGATCCGCCCGCCTCGGCCTCCCAAAGTGCTGGGGTTACAGGCGTGAGCCACCACGCCCGGCCTCTGGTTGGTTTTAATGAAAGAAACTCTGGTGGTTTTCTTCTGTATTTCAAAGAAGTAGCAAGCTGGGCATGGTGGCTCCCGTCTGTAGTCCCACCTGCTTGGGAGGCTGAAGCGGGAGGATCACTTGAGTCCAGGAGTTTGAGGCTGCAGTGAGCAGTGATTGAACCACTGCACTTGGGCCTGGGTGACACAGCAAGACCCCGTCTCTAAAAAACAAAGAAACAACAACAACAACAAAAAACCCAATGCACACCAACTAGTGTGGGTGAATGTGCTGCTTTTGTCCTGGGGAAATCCGATTCCGCTCCTGGGGGCCTCTTCTGACTCATAATCAAATCCGAGGCCCAGAACAGCCTCTCCTCCCTGTGCAGCTTCAGGGGTCCAAGGGAATTGGTTCAGGGCCAGTGATGAGGATTGGCACCCCGAGGGGGAGCCTGCAGGAGCCCACGCCCCTGACTGCCTGGGGCCACTTGCGTGGGAAGCTGGCACACACAGGCCTCTGGACCGAAATGTTTGGGCCTGGGCCTGTTGCTGGCTGCTGCCTGCTCACACTGACTGCCAGGTTTTCCCGGACACTCATGGTGCTTGTTCTTGCTCCATTCTTACAACGACCCAGTGAGGTTGCTCCTACATGGTACTCATCCCAGGGTTGCGGAAACTGGGGCACAGAGAGGATAAGTAATCTGCCCAATGTCACACAGCAAGAGGGTAGCGCAGCCAATTCCCAGACAAGACTTTTAGCCACTGGCTTGCTCCTCCTTACTCTGCATGGAGGGGACAGTTTCCAGCCAAGGAGAGCCACTCCCTGGAGAAGTGAGTGGGAAAGCCCCTGGGCCCAGATCTTCGAGGTCTCTCTTGAAGGAAGCAGCTAGCTCTTCAGGGGGTGTTCCAAGCCTGGAGAAGTGGGAGACCTGGAGTGGCAGAGCCCACCAGGATTGCAGCCCCATAGACCTGGGACCGGCGGCTCACACAGCACCTCAGCCACCTAACAGGTGAAGGGAGGGAGAGTGCAGCCCCGAGCCAGCACTGTACACATCAATGACACATTTTCCATCTTCACAGAAACGTAAGTGATTCATGAGGCATACACATTTGTATAGTTACCTTAAGCAAGGCCTTCATTTTAATGAAAAAGCAGCAAAACTGATGGCATTTTCTGGCAGATACCTGGAGACTGAGTTGGGGCCAGCTTCCCTGGAAACCAGAAACCAAACCCCAGAAACCAGAAACCAAACCCTGGAAACAAGAAGTCACTGGTGTCTGCTCTTCTATTACTATCTTGACATTTTTTTTTTTTTTAAGACGGGGTCTCGCTCTGTCGCCCAGGCTGGAGTGCAGTGGTGCAATCTCGGCTCACTGCAACCTCTGCCTCCTGGGTTCAAGTGATTCTCCTGCCTCAGCCTCCCAAGTAGCTGGGATTACGGCATGTGCCATCACGCCTGGCTAATTTTTGTATTTTAGTAGAGACAGGGTTTCACCATGTTGGCCAGGCTGGTCTCGAACTCCTGACCTCAGGTGATCCGCCTGCCTCGGCCTCCCAAAGTGTTGGGATTACAGGCGTGAGCCACTGCGCCCAGCTTGACATTCTTTTTTTTTTTTTTTGAGACGGAGTCTCGCTCTGTCGCCCAGGCTGGAGTGCAGTGGCAGGATCTCGGCTCACTGCAAGCTCCGCCTCCCGGGTTCACGCCATTCTCCTGCCTCAGCCTCCCAAGTAGCTGGGACTACAGGCGCCCGCCACTACGCCCGGCTAATTTTTTGTATTTTTAGTAGAGACGGGGTTTCACCGTTTTAGCCGGGATGGTCTCGATCTCCTGACCTCGTGATCCGCCCGCCTCGGCCTCCCAAAGTGCTGGGATTACAGGCGTGAGCCACCGCGCCCGGCCGACATTCTTAATAATTGCTGAACAGGCGGGGCATGGTGCCTCACGCCTGTAATCCCAAAACTTTGGGAGGCCAAAGCTGGAAGTTTGCTTGAGCCCAGGAGATCAAGACCAGCCTGGGCGACAGAGCAAAACCCCATCTCTACAAAAAAATATTTTTTTTCTTTTGAGGTGGAGTCTCACTCTGTCCCCCAGGCTGGAGTGCAGTGGCGTGATCTCCGCTCACTGCAAGCTCTGCCTCCCAGGTTCATGCCATTCTCCTGCCTCAGCCTCCCGAGTAGCTGGGACTACAGGCGCCCGCCACCACACCTGGCTAATTTTTTTTGTATTTTTAGTAGAGACAGGGTTTCACCATGTTAGCCAGGATGGTCTCGATCTCCTGACCTTGTGATCCACCCGTCTCAGACTCCCAAAGTGCTGGGATTACAGGCGTCAGCCACCGCGCCCGGCCAAAATTTTTTTTAAATTAGCCTGGCATGGTGGTGCTTACCTGTAATTCCAGCCACTCACGAAGTTGAAGCAGGAGGATCACTTGAGCCCAGGAGTTTGAGGCTGCAGTGAGCCATGATTGTGCCACTGCACTCCAGCCTGGGTGACAGAGCAAGACCCCTTCCTAAATGATAATAATAATAATAATATAATAATAATAATAATTGTTGAGGCCGGGCACAATAATCCAGCAGTTTGGGAGGCCGAAGTGGGTGTATCCCTTGAGGTCAGGAGTTTGAGACCAGCCTGACCAACACGGTGAAACCCCGTCTCTATTAAAAATAGAAAAAAATTAGCCGGTCATGGTGGCACGCGCCTATAATCCCAGCTACTCAGGAGGCTGAGGCAGGAGAATCACTTGAACCTGGGAGGCGGAGGTTGCAGTGAGCTGAGATGGCGCCATTGCACTCCAGCCTGGGCGACAGAGCGAGACTCCATCTCAAAAAAAAAAAAAAAAAAATTGTTGAACAAAGATCCATGTTTTGTCTTGCCCTGGGTCCCACAGTGGTGGAGGTGGCCCTGGATCAATCTCGGCCTGCAGAGCCCCAAAGCGCCAGCCCAGGACAGAGTGCTCAGGGGCTGCTGCAGGGACTCCCTAGGAATTTGGGGCGCTGGCCACACAGCACCGTTGGGGACAGGGTGGTGCCCCCAACACTGGTGCCTGCACACTTACCAACTCAGAGAGCCTCTGGAGGCAGATCCATGTGAATTGCCCACGTAAATCCCCAAGGGAACTGCCCAGGAGACTGCCTCCCTCCATCCCACACCCCATGCCCCGCTGGGCCATGCCTATCCCATTGGGGTCCTTCTTCCTGCCTCGGGGCTCCAGGAAGAGGCCAGCCTGGGCCTTGAAGAAGGGGAGCAAGCTACTGGGACGCCACCTTGTGGCCTCTCCAGGGAAGCCCCTGGGCCACACCTTGGGTGCTGGTACCACCATGGTCAGGAGTGGTGGGCGGTGACATGGTGTGGCTCCCAGGAGGTGGCGCTCCTCACTCTGCAGGGAGTGGCCCTGAGACACCTGTAGGGGGCTGATGGCCCCACAGCTCCAGGGAATCTGCCCGCTGGCAGAGGGGGAGTCAGACCCACCGCAAAGCCCCACCCCAACTCCAGCAGGTTCCGGGTAGGGCTGTCCCACCACACCCCAGTGAGGATGGGGGCCTCAATACAGGGCTGTGTCCTGGTGGGAGCACCCCAGCTGAGACGCTGAGTGTGGGGATGGGGTTTGGAGATGGAGGGATTGGGTGGGGGCAGGGACCAGTGCTGAGTCTGTCCCAGGGGACTCAGGAAAGCACAAAAGGTCTGCTCCCAAATGGGGGTGGCCAGAAGGAAGGTAAGTAGAGACCCCAGCCTCGGGGCAGGGAAAATGGCCCCCTTGAGGGAGGAAGCAGTAACAGCGTGCAGCTGAAATGGGAAGGGGTGGGAAAGGGGGTGGAAGCAGCTGCGGAAGGCTCTAGAGGGATCCCTGGTTTCCTCTGCATGGAGAAGAGAAGGGCGTGGAGGCCCGAGGGGAGGCTGCTGGGGAGGGTGGCCACCCTGGGGAGGCACAGCAGTGACTGCAGGCCCTGCCTGGCCGGCACACAGAAGCCGCCATCCTGCCCACCATTACCCCCGCTCAGCCCGTGCCTCCTCGGCCACCTCCCAAGTCAACTCCCTGCCCCCAAGACCACCATTCAGGATGTGCTTCTGGGGCCGTCACCATGGAGCCCCGGACCCTCGGCTCCCCATCCAACTGGCTTTCGGGAAGTTGACTGGACAAGGCCCTCCAAGCTGAGGATGTGCCGCCAGCTTCTCAGGCACCCCCTCCCCACGGCAGCCCACCCAGGGACCCCGGGGGCTGCTCCTCCCAGCTGGAAGGGGAGCCAAGGTCCAGGCCTCCAGCACCAGCATCAGAGTTCCGTGGTGACAGTCCCAGAAGCACACCCTGCGCGGTGGCCTTGGGGGCAGGGAGCTCACTGGGGGTGCTGGGGGCCTTGGGGGCAGGGAGCTCACTGGGGTGCTGGGGGCCTTGGGGGGAGCCACTGGGGGTGCTGGGGGCCTTGGGGGCAGGGAGCTCACTGGGGTGCTGGGGGCCTTGGGGGGAGCCACTGGGGGTGCTGGGGGCCTTGGGGGCAGGGAGCTCACTGGGGGTGCTGGGGACTTTGCCCGGTGAGGGGTTGGGCCCAGGGCTCCGGCCCCCTGACAGCCCCCGTCCACCCCAGTTCCTCAGGTTCTTCTTCAACCCCCTGCACCTGTGCTCATGGATCAAGGATGAGTGGAGCCTCATCTACGAGCCAGCCCACGTGAAGGAGAACTGGATCGACCCCCTGATGAGGTAGGCTGGATGGGGGGCTCTGGGGGCCCTGAATGGCATCTGCACCCCATTCCAGGTGCCTCCACGGGCACGGGAGCTCCACGTTCCCCTTCCTGCTCCCAGAAGCTCTATGAGTGTCAGTAATCACTCCGTGTTCGGATGAGATCTTCGGAGAAGCCCCAAGTCCCAGGCTGGCCCCACAGCCTCGCGGGGAGGAAAAGACGTGGTCCAACTGCCCAAGCCCCAGCCTGGGCTCCCTCCATGCCAGTCAGCTGACACGTGGCGGGTGGCTGAAGGCCATTTCAGGACTGGCTGAGTGAATGGGGCAGAGCCGGCCCTTCTGTGCTGGAGCCTACATGCTGGCTGGGGCTGCGTCAGTGGTTCTAGTCCTGTGGGGACTCTGCAGGGCCTTTGGCCTCTCTGCAGATCCCAAGAGTGCGGAGTAGGGGTGAGGGTGGAGGGAGCTGAGGAAGCCACAGATCAGTTCCTGGTGGATTCTGGGGTCTAGATATCTCTCGGGGTCCCCAAGCCTGCTGCCCTCATGCTGCCCTTGCTGCCTTCTCCTGCCTCCCCAGCAGGCCTGGGGCAAACTCCGGGGCAGGCCAGAACCCCCAGGCAGAGGGGTCAGCACAGTTGCTAGGGCCCTGCCTTGTGCTCCATGGAGAGGCCTGCTGGGGCCTGAGTGCAGCTGAGGGGCCCCCCAGTTTTTTCCCTTCTGATAGGACTTGAAGGGATCCACTTTTTCTTCCTAAGGACAGACAGACAGGCTGTTTTGGCCCAAGCAGACCACTTAGGTGCCAGCTGTGTGCAGAAGACCTGGAGGCCCAGGGGAGATGGAAGCCGTTCCTGTGGGGAGAGGAGGCCCTGGAGATGTTCCTTTACCAAGGGGAAGTCCCCAGTCCCACCCAGTCCACTCCTGGCAATCAAGATAAACCTCCAAAGGAAGGAGTAGGAGTGGCCCTGCTGGTGCCCCTACCTTGTGCCCCAGGCTAGACTCACTGCCCACTCAGGGGCCCCCATGGCCTGGGCCTGCAGGGTTGCCTCTGGGAAGCTACTCAGCTCAGTTCCCGTGAGCCCCTCTTCCTGCGCCACCACCCCCATTCAGGCTTCCTCTGCCTACTCTAGGACCAGCCCCTCTCCCCAACCTGCCTCAAGTTGGGAGCACTGGGGCCTGGCCCTGGCGAGACCCCAAGACTCCACTTGCTATGGGCCCTGGACCATGGCTCTTAAGGTGAGGGAGGAGCTATTTGAAGCCATGCCCTCTGCCCCCTGGGAGCCCACACAAGAGGATACTTGATAGGCTGATGATGGTGGGCTGTGCCCATGCTGGGTGTGGGACATGGAAGGGGGAGCCCCACACTCGGGCGGCCTGGCAAGGCCCTTCCCAAACCCCTGCTCGACAGCACCCCCACCCAGAGGCTGTACCAAGGACAACTGGGCTCCTGCCCCACCTGACTCCACAGCTCCATTTCCAGGAGTCACCAACAGTATAGTTCCAGAATGTTCCTTTCCAAAAAGCTCCTTTCTCCACTGCTGGCTTCCATCTGCTCCAGCCCAGATTGGCTTCCTGCATCCTGGCTACTGCTTGTCCTCAGAGCCCCTGGATTCCTGCAGCAGGGCTGTCCCTGTCCTCCCAGCTCCCCACTCACCAGCATGGCCCAATGCCTCTGGGCCTATTTCCTGTATCTGTACAAGGGGACTGCGTCTGTATATGTTTCAGGGGTTTAGTTGACAGCGTGTATGCCTACAAGTAGAAGCCACTTCGTGAAGTGAGGCCGTCCATCCCACTATCACCTCCACCCCAAGGTGGACCCAATCGCTGCGGGAGCCCTCTGGATCCTAAAGGCCATCGCCTTATTGAACAGCTTAGGGAGTGACCATAAGAGGTGTTTCCACTTTTGCCTTCAAGATGGCAGCCAGAGGTCCAGGAGCTGATCAACCACCTGGAGGGCGTGTCTGCCAGTCAATCCTCTCCTTTAAAGACCAAGGCCAAGGTCACAGAGCCCAAGGAATTCAACCTGACTGCCCCCAGGCCCCGCACCATTCCAGCGCCCGAACCAGTCCCGGTCGTGGCCAAGCCGAGACCCGTGAGTGTGGGCATTCTCAGCAGGCACTGGCTTGCAGGCATCAGGGTAGCCAAGCTGGGAGAGTGGACTGTGTGGGCCTGTGGGGGACTGGGCTCCCCCCAGGGCTGAGGGTGCACTGGACCAGACCAGGAACACTAAATGACCCCACCCCACCCCCACTCCCCACAGAGAGGGAAACCCAGCTGACCCGGAGCCCACCCAGTGGGTTCCCACACTCTACCCACTGTGGTCCTATAAGTAGGTGTTGAGTGGAGCTGTCAGGCCATGGGGCTCCGACCTGTCGGGAGTTGGAGCTTGGAGCCCACTTTTAACTCTGGCGTAATGCAACACCCCCTCCCCGTTAAGTATGATGTGTAGATGACAGCATACTCTTTGGGCAGGCCTAGAGACTCTTCCTCTCTTTCTTTCTCTTCCCACTGCTGACTTATCAGTCAGGATGCTTTGTATTGCAAATAACAGAAAAATGCAGTTCAAACTGGCTTAGAAAATAGAGCACAGGCTGACCCTCATGAGTGAAGTAGGATAGGCTTCAGGCATACGTGACCAGGGTTCCAGCTCTGCTTCTCGTATAGGTGCATGAGAGGACACCTGGGGCCAAGTATTCTTTGGAAAAGTCTGACTGGACCAGCTTAGGTCTCATGCCTGCCTTGAATTGATCACTGTGATCAGGAATATAATGTCCTGACTGGTTACGGGTTCTATCCCAAGCACCAGCAATGGACTGAGCTTCCCAGAACCAACGTGGTTCTGCAACAGGACTAAGGGCTATATGGGAGGGGAAGGGGATGGTGCTGGGAGGCCCCAGAATCCTGCCCCACTCCCACCATCCTTCAGGTCTCATTAAAATCCCTCTTCCCAGAGAGGCTTTTCATGAACCCCTCAAATATGTCAGGTCCTTCACTTAGTTTACTTCTCACTGATCCTGGCTCCTTTTCTTCACCGAATTGGAGTTTAGAGTTGTTTAGTAATTTGTGGGCCTGCCTATTGTCTGCCTATTCCAGCAGACATCATCCATCTTATTTGTCCCATATTCTCTTTTTATTTCATTTTATTATTGTTGTTATTATTATTATTATTATTATTATTATTATTATTATTATTTGAGACAGAGTCTCGCTCTGTCACCCAGGCTGGAGTGCAGTGGCACGATCTTGGCTCACTGCAACCTCTGCCTCCTAGGTTTAAGTGATTCTCCTGCCTCAGCCCCCCGAGTAGCTGGGATTACAGGTACCGGCCACCACACCCGGCTAATTTTTATATTTTTAGTAGAGGTAGGGTTTTGTCATGTTGGCCGGGCTGGTCCCTAACTGACCTCAGGTGATCTGCCCACCTAGGCCTCCCAAAGTGCTGGGATTACAGGCGTAAGCCACCACACCTGGCCATTATTGGTCCCATATTCTCAATGCCTAGCCTAGTCATGGCTCAAAGCAGAACCTCAGTAAATACCAGTTGGATGGATGGATGGGTGGATGGATTATCAGATGGATGGTAGATGGATGGGTGGATGAATGGATGGATGGATGGATGGATGATTGGATTGGTGAATGGATAGATGGATGATTGGATGGAGGAATGAATGGGTGGATGAATGATCAAATGAATGGATGGGTATGTGGGTAAGTGGGTGGATGGATGTCAAATGGATGAAGAGATGATCAGGTGGATGGATGAATGAGTAGATGGATGGGTGGGCGAATGAATGGATGGATGGGTAGATGGATGGATGGTTGGACTCATGGAAGGATAAGTTGATGGATAGATGGATAGTCGGAAGGATGGGTGGGTGGATGGATGGATGGATGATAGATGGTGAATGGATGGATGGATAGATGATCAGATGGGTAGATGGATGAGCAGATGGGTGAGTAGATGGATGGGTGAGTGAATGAATGAATGAGTTGGTAGATAGATGGAGGCATGGAAGGATAAGTGGATGGATAGATGGATGACTGGATGGATGGATGGATGGATGGACACATGGAAGGATAAGTGAATGAATGGATGGATGGATACATGCATGGAAGGATAAGTGGATGGGTGGATGGGTGGATGGATGGATGATTGGATGATTGGATAGATGATCAAATGGTAGGATGGTGGGTGGGTGAGTGAATGGGTGATCAGTTGGATGGATAGATGATCAAATGGATGAATGGATGAGTAGAGGGATGGGTAAGTGAATGAATGGATGGGTGGGTAGATGGATGGATTAATGGATAGATGGATAGATGGATGAACAGATGGGTGGATGGATGATGAGATGAGTTTATGGATGGATGAATGGATGAACACATGGGTGAGTAGATGAATGAGTGGGTGAATGAATGGATGGGTGGGTGGATGGATGGATGGATGGATGGACGGATTGGATGATTGGATGGATGATTAAATTGTTGGATGGGTGGGTGGGTGAGTGAATGGATGATCAGATGGATGGATAGATGATCAAATGGATGAATGGGTGATTAGATGGATGAAAAGATGAGTGGGTAGGTGAATTAATGGATGGATGGGTGGGTGGGTGGATGGATGGATGGATGGATGGATGATTAGATTATGGATAGATAGATGGATGATGACATGGGTGAGTAGATGAATGAGTGGGTGAATGAATGGATGGGTGGATGGATGGATGGATGGATGGATGGATGGATGGATGGATGGATGGATGGCTTCATGGAAGGATAAGTAGATGGATGGATAAGTGGATGAATGGATGGATGGATGGATGGATGATCAGAGGGATGGATAGATGGATAGACAAATGGATGGATGGGTGGGTGAGTGGGTGGATGATCAGATGGATGGATGATTAGATGGAGGTGGCTGATGGATGGATGATCAGAGACCTTGTTGCTGAGCAACCCCACAGTTGCCCCATCTGTATAATCTTCAGCATTTCTGACCCCATCTCCTCAGGGCTCAGTGTGTTTGTCTCAGGTCATGCTGCCAACTTCATCTCTCTCTCTGTCTCTGCCAAGCACAGCCCCTGCCTGGGCCCTCACCATGTCCTCCCATGCTCTATAGCTGTGTGCCTCTCAGTACAATCTGTGAGATGTTTGTGGACATGTACCTTCTCTGCATCCACAGGGTGGCTGTGCTGAAACTATCCTCTACCCTCCCTGCCCTGCCCCATGCCTAAGACATCCTTCTGCTTCAGGGTTGAGGGCCCACTGTAATTCACTCATTCATTATCTCAGACAAAGGAGATAAGACGTGTTGGAGCGGTTGTGATTCTGGATTGTGTGGCCTAGAAAGGCCTCCCGAGAAATGCCATGGAGTAAAAAACCAGAAGTGAGCAAGTCGGCCATGGGGTGTCTCAGAGAACAGCATCCTGGGCAGGAGCAAGGTGCAGGCAAAGGCCCTGGGGCAGTGCCCACCCTCCCTCAAGTGTTTGAGGGTGGCCAGGAGGGGCTGGAGTGGAGTGAGGCAGGGAAGAGGGAAGGCGGGGTACCGGTCTGGTCACACATCCACTGGAGGGAGCAGAGACAGGACACATTGAGGCAGGCTGGCGCCAACACAGGGTCCCTCCAGCTGCCGTGGCCAAGGAGGGCAGTGAGAGGCAGTTCCTGGAGATGGCTTGAAGCAGGTGGGCAGGAGATGGATGTGGGTGTGAGAGACAGAGGTGACAAGGAGGACTCTGAGGCATGGGTGAGGAATGGACAGCGGTCGTGGTCAGTGAGGCTGAGGGAGGGCTCGTTTGAGGAAGATGAGGGTTTGAGGTTTGGACGAGTTGATTTTCCATGACTGTTAGATGTGCAGGGGAGAAGGCATGGAGTTAGGAGGGTAATACAGCAGTCTGGAGCTCAGGGATATCTAGGCCGGCCCCCTCCTGCTCCTTCATGGACACAGCTCCGGCCATATTATCGGAGCCTCCTGTGACTGGACTCGGGGATATGGTGCAGCCGCCCTGGCCTCTGCAGTGTCCCCTCCCGACAGCTTACTTTGCAGGGGTCCGTGATATTCTCCCAGCCTCTCCTGCCCAGGCAGCCATCTTCCGCCTGTCTCCCAGTGTCAAGGGAGCTGGCTGCCTCCCCCTCTTGCTCCTACCCACCCTGGCCATCCCATGCTGGCCGATGGTACGCCCTCAGTACTGCCGGCTCATGTCTTACCCCACCCACCCCATCCCAGGCCAAGCTCCAGACCCCACGCCAATGACCAGCCTGACCTCCTTCCCTTTACTGCCAACGCTGACCCACCAGCACCCGGTGGTGTTAGCTCCAGCCCTGTTTCTCCTCCAATGCAGGCCGCCACCACCCTCCCCTTCACCCACATCCACCAAGCTGTCAGCCCTGGCATTTCTAGGCCCCCTCCCACTCGCAGCTGCTGACCATAGGCTCTTCCTCCCACCACTTCAGCAGGTCCCCCAGAGCACCTACCAGCCACCCAAGGAGCAGCAGCAGCTGGAGACAGTCAAGAGGTACAACCGCCGAAAGGCCGAGGTGAGCTGTGTGCGACCCCTGCCTTCCTAGAGACCCCATATGAGGGATGTGTGAAGGGAAGGTGGGGTGGGGAGAGGGAAGAGGAGGCAAGAGGGGGAGGCTGGGTGGAAGTTCGTCCTCCCATGGCCTGGAGGACACTGGGCAGAGGCTGGTGGGACTGGAGCCGCTGTGTCACTGTGGCAGGAGCTGCTGCTGAGGGCAAACATCGAGGAACTGCGCTGCGCCATGCCCAGGTCCTGCAGGGAGCGAGTGCAGGTACCGCCCAGCTCTCTCAAGACCCATCATCGAGGTGCCATCTTCTCAAGCCATCAGAAAGTTCCTCCCAACGCCATCGCAGTGACCACTTATGTAGCCTTTTCCCACTGAGGGCCGGGGAGGGGCGGATTCCCAGTAGCACTGGGAAAGTGTGCCTTGAGCCCACTGCGATGTGGCCCCTAAGCAGGCGGGTGTAGACGCGCACCCACATCCCCCAGGAGGAAGCTCACGGGAAAGCACCTGCAGGTGCTGCCTCTGGGTATCTCCAGATGTTCCGTGACAAGCATTTCATGTCTCTGTAAGGAAAAAACAAACCCAGGTATGTTTGCCAATAAAGAAAAAGCAAGGTAATGACGACAGGAGAGACTGTGCCTGGCGGGGCTCACTCAGGAGCACGGCCCCGCTGGGTGGCAAGGGTCCCACCATGAGGGCAGGCCCGGGCTGGGCAGCCCATATGGTGCATGCCGCGGGGCTGCAATGACCGAGTGCTCAGAGGGGTGGCCTTTGCAGCCACTCCCCTCACTGCAGCTTGCGGTGCCCACCCTGGGATGTGTTGGCAAAGCAGCTGGCGGCTGGGCCGGGAGCAGACAGGCTCGGGGAGAGGCCATGGGGGCCAGCCAGACCCCAGCTCTGGGGGTGGCTGAGGAGAGGGCCACTGAGCCCTGAGGCCAAGTTGTCCTGACTGGGAAGCACTGTTCCCAGGCCCACAGGCCCTGCACCCTCCCTGTTCCAGCCTGGGTGGAACCACAGCAAGGCTTGGGGGGCATTGGAAGATAGAGACCCTGACCTGGCGTGGTGGTAGGGATGGGCAGCTGGGGGGAGGATGAAGAGGGGTGAGCCAGGCCTCCCCAGGGTGCTGGGCCAGCATCCACCTGGTATGTGTTTGGGGGCACCCAGCAGGCACAGGTGCCAGGCGGCCAGCTCTGCCCTGACTCCTGCAGGGCTCCAAGCAGCAGCTGCGGCTTCAGTTCCCACCCCGAATCCGAAAGACTCCGAAGCTGACCTTCTATAGGGTGAGGGGTGCTCCTGGATGGTCAGGCTGCTCTCCCTGGGCACCCACCCCTCCAGACCTTTTCTGCCCGTAGAGGCTCAGATGACCTGAGCTGGGGGACCTAGAGTCCCAAGGACGGCCCCACCCTGGGGGATAGGGAAGCACCTGGGCAGGGGGCAGGTGTGACGGGCATGAGGGCAGGATGGGCATTTGCTGCTCCCAAGGGTCTCCTCAAGCCCCCACCACAGCCAGTCCCCAATCCCGCAGCCTGACAACATCCTGGTCAAGCTGAACACCACAGCCATCCTGCGAGAAGGGGCCTTGTACCAGCGGCAGGTGGAGCAGGAGCTGCAGAGGTGAAGGGCGGCAGGCCCCCCCACCTGCCTTCCACGGCATCACCCTTGAGAGGAAAGGCTCAGAGGAGGGGCCTGGGGGCTGGGCAGCTCAGTGGAGAGGGACTCGGGGGTCACAACAGGCTGTGGTCCTGCAGCAACAGGGGCGACAAGCAGGACTGTGTCAGGGTCCCAGGTGCATCTTACAAAGATCATGCCGGCTCAGTGAGGGGCATGAATGGGGCTGGAGGGACTTAGCAAAGGCCCAACCCACACCAAACCTCCCTTGGGGTTACCTCCTCCCTGGACCCCTTCCTGATGCCCCCATCTCCTAGACCACCAGGGCTGCAAACCCCTGTGCTTACCCCATGCGGTGTGGTCGTGTCTTTCCTTGTCTGCAAGTCAGGCTGTGGGGGGAGCATGGGTGTCTGACCAGATGGTGGAGTGGACGCACAGATGGTGCACAGGGGCAAGGGTGGCCAGGCTAGCAGAGGACAGAAGGTTGATGGATGGACAGATGATGGACACAGGGTTGGTGGATGGACAGACAGTTGGACAGAGTGAGGGTAGACAAACAAGTGGATGAAGGGAGGGGTGGGTGGATGGGGCTGATGGGTGGACGCACAGAAAGGGGGACCAGGGGATGGGTGGACAGTGGGTCGGGGATAGGAGGAAGGGCAGGCCACGCAGCTGGGTGTCAGGAGTAGCAGCCCACGCCTGCGCAGCCACTGTCCCTCAGGAAAACCTGTGACCACCCAGCAGCCTCTGTCACGGGAGAAACCCCAAGCTGTGCTTCTGTCCCTCTTTGCCCAGGGTTGATAAGCTCGTGGATGGGGCTGGGGACTTCTCTGAGTTCTTCGAGTGGCAGAAGAAGATGCAGGCGAAGGACCGGGAGGAGCAGCTGGCTGCAAGCGAGTGCCGGCGGTTGCAAGGGAAGCTTAGCCATGAGGAGGCCGTCCTAGCCCGGCAGAGCCTCATGCAGGAGAACAAGCAGAGGGTGGAGCAGCAGAAGGAGCAGGTGGGTGCCATGCAGGGCAGCTGGGCATGGGGCAGCCAGCTGAACTGTGTGCCCACCGGGAGCTGCAGGGCCAGGGCTGGCAGTGGAGCTGAGTGTCCACAGCGCCCCCGTAGAAGCTACTGATGTGTTGGTCCTGGCTCCTCTTCCTCCTCGAAGGACACACTGCCTAGGTGGGCACGCTCAGCCTGTGTTCCCCGAGAGTGCCTGCTCCTTCCAGTGGGCCTCACAGTGGCCTGGACCAGCGGGGAGCCTCAGCCCCAGGAGGCCGGCCTGTATACTCTCTCCTGGGACGTATCCCTTTGCAGGCCTGCGGTCAGGGACTTGATCAAAGGTCACTCAGATTGCTTCTTTTGATAGTTTCATCTGTGTCTGTATTCAATTTTAAGGTTTGCCTTTTCTTTCCTTTTTACTTTTTTAAAAAAATATGAAGGCCAGGCCAGGCATGGTGGCTCACACCTATAATCCCAGCACTTTAGGAGGCCAAGGCCAGAAGATCACTTGAGCCTAGGAGTTCAAGATCAGCCTGAGCAACATAGCAAAATCCCGTCTCTGTAAAAAATACAAAAATTAGCCGGGCATGGTGGTGCGTGCCCGTAGTGCCACCTACTCGGGAGGCTGAGGTAGGAGGATCACGTGAGCCTGGAAGGTCAAGGTTGCAGTGAGCCGTGATCATGCCACTGCACTCCATCCTGGGCGACAGAGCGTAACTGTCTCAAAAACAAAACAAACAAACAAAAATGAAGTCTAAACAATATGAAAAGGTAGACTCAGAGAAGTCTCACCTCTTGTAAGTCTATAACTTACAACCCATTTCCACCTTCCTTTGTTGGTCCTTCCTTTCATTAATTTCTGGATTACCTTTCCCGTCTTTCGAAGCAAATAACACACTTGTATATACATAGTTTGTCCTTCCCTTTTTTGTTACATAAAAGGTCACACCTTGCTTTATCTGCAAAGAATAATGTGCAAGACTTTCACCTTTGCAGAGCTGGATTTTCAGGGTAAACTTCTAGAGGAAGTTATATTTCCAGATGTCACACCAAAGAGTAACTGGATACGCAGGAGTCCTTGCCGTTTGGGACGCGTGGTTTTACTAAATATGGCCAATCGTCTCCCTGGTACTTTTACCATCTTCACTCCACCAAAGTGTGAGAGGGGTCTGATCCGCATGCCCCGCCACAGAGTGTACCAGGCTGAATTCGTGAATTTGTGCCAATTTCATGGGTCAGAAATAGTATCTTGGTATAGTTCTGATTTGCATCTCATTTATTTATCAGTGAATTTGAGCAAATGTCCACATATACATATATAAATGATTTGTGTCTATTTCTGTGAACCGTCTGTCCATGTCTTTTGTCCATTTTCTATTGCACTTTTGACCTTCATTTCCCTGACTTTTTTTTTTTTTTTGGTTCTTTATTTATTTAACTTGACAAATGCAATTGAATATATTTGTGATATATAACATGATTTTTTTTTTTTTTTAAGATGGAAGCTTGCTCTGTCGCCCAGGCTGGAGTGCGGTGGTGTGATCTCAGCTCACTGCAACTTCCGCCTCCCGGGTTCAAGTGATTCTCCTGCCTCAGTCTCCTGAGTAGCTGGGACTACAGGCGAGCACCACCATGCATGGCTAATTTTTGTTTTTTGGTTTTTGGTTTTTTTTTCTTTTTGAGACAGAGTCTTGCTCTGTCGCCCGGGCTGGAGTGCAGTGGCATGATCATGGCTCACTGCAACCTCCACCTCCTGGGTTTAAGAAATTCTCTGCCTCAGCCTCCTGAATAGCTGGTATTATAGGCGCATGCCACAATGCCCAGCTATTTCTTTTTTTGTATTTGTAGTAGAGATGAGGTTTCACCATCTTGGTCAAGCTGGTCTTGAACTCCTGGCCTCGTGATCCACCCACCTCGGCCTCCCAAATTGCTGGGATTACAGGCATGAGCCACCGTGCCCGGCCTACTTTTTGTATTTTTAGTAGAGATGGGTTTTCACTGTGTTGGCCAGGCTGGTCTCAAACTCCTGACCTCAAGTGATCCACCTGTCTCAGCCTCCCAAAGTGCTGGGATTACAGGTGGAAGCCACCACGCCCGGCCTAACATGATCTTTTGGAATACAAATACATTGTGGAATGGCTAAATCAAGCTAATTAACATATGCATTATCTCACATACTTATTCCTGGTAAGAACACTTACAATCTACTCTCTTAGCAATTTTTCTTTTTTTGTTGTTTTTTTTCTTTTTTTTTTTTGTTTTTTTTTTTTTTTGGTTTTTGTTTTGTTTTTGTTTTTGTTTTTGAGACAGAGTCTCACTCTGTCACCCAGGCTGGAGTGCAGTGGGTTGATCTCAGCTCAGTGCAACCTCTGCCTCCCAGGGTCAGGCGGTTATCCTGCCTCAGCCTCCTGCGTAGCCGGGACCACAGATGCACACCACCATGTCTGGATAATTTTTGTATTTTTAGTAGAGACAAGGTTTCACCATGTTGGCCAGGCTGGTCTCAAACTCCTGACCTCAAGTGATCTGCCCACTTCAGCCTCCCAAAGTGCTGGGATTACAGGTGTGAGCCACCATGCCCGGCCACAGTTTTTCTTTTTTGAGACAGGGTCTCACTCTGTCGCCCAGGCTGGAGCGCAGTGGCATGATCTTGGCTCACTGCAACCTCTGCCTCTCAGGCTCAAACCATCCTCCCATCTCAGCCTCCCAAGCAGGTGAAACTGCAGGCGTGCACCACCTTTTTAGGAGAGACACAGTTTCGCCATGTTGCCCAGGCTGGTCTCTAACTCCGGGGCTCAAGTGATTCACCTGCCTCAGTCTCCCAAAATACTGGGATTACGGAAATGCGCCTCTGCGCCCAGCCTAATGTTCTTTATATGTTAGGAAAAATAATCCTTTATAATAGATTGTTGCAGATTGCTTTTTTTCCAGTTTGTCATTTGACTTTGTATATGAGGTTTATGATGGGTGTTTGCCATGCAAATATTCTTTTTATGTCTTCAAATTTAACAGTCTTTTCTTGTGTTGTGTTTGGAGTTAGAAAATGCCACTCTTGGCTGGGTGTGGTGGCTCACGCCTGTAATCTCAGCACTTTGGGAGGCCAAAGCAGGGCGATCACCTGAGGTCAGGCATTCAAGACCAGCCTGGCCAACATGGTGAAACCCCATGTCTACTAAAAAAACAAACAAACAAACAAACAAAAATTAGCTGGGTGTGGTGGCACACCCACGTAATCCCACCAACTCAGGAGGCTGAGGCATGAGAATCGCTTGAACCCAGGAGGTGGAGGTTGCAGTGAGCCAACATCATGCTATTGCATTCCAGCTTGGGTGACAGAGTGAGACCGTCTCAAATAAAAAAAAGAAAATGCCGCTCTCCTCACACCAGGTTACACAGGGATTCTCAGTCTTCTCTACTGGTCTAAGGATGTCTAGCTACATGCATTCATGTGACTAATATTTTTTCTTACTAAATTAACTAGATTAGGTGGCACTAAATATTTGAAGTAAAAAGAATTTTAGTTTTTCTTATGCAGTTCATATTGGAGTGATTGCTTTTACAGCCTCAATGTGTTTTAATGAACTATAACTTTTGTTTCTGCTTGAGGTCCTAGTACCACAACCCGACGCATGGGCACCCTTTCATCTCCTCCTCTGAACTTTGGGCACTGCTCAAGAGCCTTTGGAAGCATCTTTTCCATTGAGAGGAGAGATGTTTGGGGTCTACCTGAATGTTCTCTGCTTAAGACACAGACTCAGTTATTCTCCAAGGAACCTCTGTGCCTCATAGAAGCCAGTATTGAGTTCCCTATCTGGGTGCTTTTCTGTTTTTTTCAACAGTTACCAGGTTTTTTTTGTTTTGTTTTATTTTATTTTTTTGGGAGATGCGGTTTTGCCATGTTGGCCAGGCTGGTCTCAAACTCCCAGCCTTATGTGATCCACCTGCCTCGACCTCCCAAAGTGCTGGAATTATAGGCATAAGCCACCATGCCTGGCCTACAGTCACCAGTTTTAAAGTACTCTAGCAATGGGGCTGGAAAGGATATATTTTAAAATTATGGCTGGATGCGGTGGCTCACACCTGTAGTCACGGCACTTTGGGAGGCCAAGGCAGCTAGATCACTTGAACCCAGGAGTTCGAGACCAGCTTGAACAACATAGTGAGACCCCGCGTCTACAAAAAAAATGTTTGTTTGTTTTTGAGACGGAGTTTCACTCTTGTTGCCTAGGCTGGAGTGCAATGGTGCGATCTCGGCTCACCACAACCTCTGCCTCCTGGGGTCAAGCTATTCTACTGCCTCAGCCTCCTGAGTAGCTGGGATTACAGGCATGCACCATCATGCCTGGCTAATTTTGTGTTTTTAGTAGAGATGGAGTTTCTCCATGTTGGTCAGGCTGGTCTCGAACTCCCGATCTCAGGTGATCTGCCTGCCTCGGCCTCCCAAAGTGCTGGGATTACAGGCATGAGCCACCGCGCCCGGCCAATAACTTGTTTTTTAATCTGTTATCACTGTGAAATTAACCCAGAATAGCTGTACTAGTGTCAACACTCAACTCCTGGGTGAGGAATGACATTTCATGTTTTGGATGTCATGGGTAATCATTCTTTGAATACTTTTTTTTTTTTTTTTTTTTGAGATCGGGTCTTGCTCTGTCTCCCAGGCTGGAATGCAGTGGCACAATCATGGCTCCCTGCAACCTCAAACTCCTGGACTCAAATGATCCTCCCACCTCAGCCTCCTGAGTAGCTGGGACCACAGGCAGGAGCCACCGGGCCTGGCTAGTTTTGTATTTTCTGTAGAGACGGGGTCTCACTATGTTGGTCTCAAACTCCTGAGCTCAAGCAATCCTCCCCCCTCAGCTTCCCCACGCGCTGGGATTACAAGCGTGAGCCGCTGCAGCTGGCCCTGAGTACATTTTACCAAAGTCTTCAGGCAGATTGTTTCATCAAGCAGCACTTGCATCTTTTTTCCACTTGATTCTGGCCACAGAAATGCTGTTCCATGTGTTCTACCTTCATTTTAATTTTGAAGGTGCCAGTGCAGGTAACTGAAAGTTCGGACTTGGTGCGAGCTCAGCGAGCAGCCAGTGCGAGCCATGCTCTGTGGCAGGAAGGAGGAGGGGATGTGTGGGAAACCTGGTGGGATGTCCACAGCAGGGCCCAAGGATGCATGTGGCTGCCCCTGGCCCCTGAGTGACGGCAGGCAGGACCGTGGGTCCAAGGTTGATGTCTGAGTGGAGCCAGCCAGGCATGTGACCCTGGACTCAGGCCCTCAGGCTGATCTCTCTGCTGCTTACTGCCTGGAAACCCTCTCCTTACTGTGAGCCTGGCCAGGTGACCACACACTCATCGCTTGCCAAACACCTATCCCTGTCCACTGCTCCCGGCCTGTGGCCCTCTTTTCCTTCTTCCCCTGCTCATTCCTCTGTGCCGACTCCCTATTCCGTGCCGAGGCTGGTGCTGTGGCTGATGGGGACACTCTTTCCTGAGCCCTTGCTAGGTGTTGGCCCTGCACCCAGTGCACCTGAGGAGGTGGGCGTGGCCATCTTCATTTCCCCACAAAGAAACTGAAACCCAGAGAGGCCCGAGACTTGTCCGCTGCCAGGGAGCTGCCAGGGTGGCAGAGGCAGAACTTAGCATCCTGTGTGTCTTACTCCCAAGCGGGAGCCTTTTCTGTGGACTGCTGCTGCCTCCCTGATTCCACGTTCCCAAAGAGCCAGGAGGCACCGCCGCCCTCTTCTGCACTCCCGGCCTGAGGCGCCCAGCCGTCTCCCTGTGCCATGGTCTGACGCTGTGGCTGCGCGGGGAGGGCCGGTGTGGACGCCTCTTTTCTCTCTTTGCTCATTGTCTGGTTGACTGAGACGGGAATCTTGGTATTTTTTGGTGCCCACTTTCTTCACCTCATATTTCTACACAACGTATTACCAAGTTTTTAAAGAAACTTTTAAAGTAATTTTTTAATTTCAGAACAATTTTTAAATTTACAGAAAAGCCGTAAATATAGAACAGGGTATTCCACGTCCCCCCTACCCCGGGCCCCCTACCCTGGTTCCCTCCACTGTGAACAGCCTACGTTGCTACTGGGTGCACTGGGTCTCTAGGGCTACTACAGCAAAGTACCACAAACTGGGTGGCTTCAGATGCAGGAAGGTTCCCCCCAAGACCACACTGGGAGGAAGGGAGAGGACATGAGGTGGAAGTTCCCCGCAGGCCCAACTTCCAGAGCACCGCCAGGAGTGAATGGGCTTAGACCTGGGTTCTGGGGTGATTCAAGGGCAGGGACTGGGTCCACCTTCAGACCTCATGCTGCGCCCTGGGCTGGGGCGGGACCAGGCAGGGAAGCCGGAGCAGCCCCACTCACCGTGGCAGGTCCGCTGTCTGGGCAGATGGCCAAGCTGATGCTGCAGCGTGCAGAGAGACGGCTCCGGGAGGACAGGTCCAGGAAGGAGCTGGTGGAGCAGGTGATAGAGGGGCAGAAGAACGCCAAGGCGGCCCAGACGAAGCTCGCGAAGGGCCGACAGCAGACAGGTAGTCAGGAGCCAGATGTCACTGGCCCTACCCCGCTCTTCCCCACTCGGGTGCTGGGCTGCCACCCTTTCCTGAGTGAGCCACTATGGCTGTCCAGGGTCAGGGACCCCTTGAGGGAGGCACTCCCAGGTGGCCGCACTGAGGCCAGAGTCCTGGCTGGGGAACCCTGGGGGAGGTGCCTTCCTGTCCAGCCCCTGCCCTGCCACCCACCAGCCACCTCAGCTCCTGGCTTGGCCCCCAAGTTCAGGAGGCGATCGAGGAGAGCAGGGGGCTGCTGCAGCGCAGGGCGCAGGCAGCCCAGGAGGAGCAGCGGCGCCGTTGTGAACTCATCTCCCAGCTGCGCGCACTCGAGACACAGCCCACGCGCAAGGGCAAGCTCGTGGACCTGACCCAGGTGAGGATGCAGTCCTGGACGGGCCCATGCCTCAGGGGCCTCCACGCTGGCACTGCCATGAGAGGCAGTTTCCAGGGTTCCCACCAGAGCCACAGGTGGGTCTTGCACCACCTGAAACCTGGCCCGCCACCCTCCGTGACTCAACACCCATGTGCCGCGGGCCTGGGTCTGGCCCTAAGAGTTCACAAGCCTGCGGGCAAGGCACACACTTAGCCAGTCCTCTATAACTCCTGGGGGTGGCCAAGGTGGGCTTCACAGAGGAGGCCACTTAGGAGCTGCCTGTTGAGGGAGGGCCAGGGTGGAAAGGGCAGTGTAGGGAGAGCGCAGGTGTTTTCAAAGGCTGGATGGAGGCTGCATGGAGCAGGAGGTTGAGGAGGGCCTGCCGGAAGCCCGTGTGAGAAGGCATGATGAGGGGCCAGGCCTCAGAGGAGTGCGGGGAGCCAGCTGCAGGGCCTGGCCCAGCCCCGAGGCCATGGGGAGTGCAAACGGCTGTCTGCCCCAGGCCCCGAAGCCTGGCTGGGGAGATAGTCATGAGCTCCATTTGGGACTTGCCACAGTGGAGGGGCCTCAGTCCAGCTGAGATGTGCAGACCCACACAAGGTGTAGTGTTGCAGAGCGGAGCCCAGGCTGGAGAGGCTGGGGGCATGTTTCATAAGCAGTGTTGAAGCAGAGGGAAGGTGGGCAAGGGGTGGGCCTATGGAACAGGGGAGGGATCCTGGTGGGAAGCATCGGGGCCCAGCACAGCTCCCAGCTTGGGGCCTCCCCTACCACCCCACAGATCCCCGGCTACGGCCTGGAAGGAGAGATGTCCATAGTGGAGCTGCGAGAGCGGCTGGCCCTGCTCAAAGAGAATCAGCGGCGCAAGGAGGAAGAAAAGCGGGATCAAATCATTCAGGGCAAGCACACCAAGAGCCAGGAACTGCAGAACATGGTGGAGCAGATCTCGCTGTGCCGTGCAGCCATGGGGAGATCCGCAGCCTTGAGGTTGGTACTGGGCTCGGGGAGGGTGCCTCTGGGTGGACAGGGAGCATGCTGTAAGCCTGCCTTGCACCCTCCTGGGTGGGTCTCCTAGAAACAACCACCACCCTCCTGCCCAGGAAGTTCCCTTGCCGTAACTCCCCTGACCCCTATTATTGTAGTAGGTGACTTCCAGGCACATGGGAATGGTGCAAAATTCTGCATCCATGGCTCAGAAGCCATGACCCAGATGCAGTCATTTTTGCACCCAGCTCATGGGTCCAACCTTTCACCATATGTGCTTCACGTAGCCAGCTAGCTATTTATGTCTGCAGAAGCATTAGGAAGTAGTTGCAGGAATCAGACACTTTAAACACTTCAGCATACATCTTCTAAAAAAATAGATCGTCCTACATAAACCACAGCACCCTGACACCAATAGAAAATGGAACAAAAATTCCCAACATCACCTAAATATCTCATCTTTTTTCACATTTCCCCAGGTGTCCAAAGACTGTTGGCCAACTGTTTTTTGTTTTTGTTTTTGTTTTTTGAGACAGAGTCTTGCTCTGTCACCAGGCTGGAGTGCAGTGGCGCAATCTCAGCTCACTGCAACCTCTGCCTCCCAGGTTCAAGCCTCAGCCTCCCAAGTAGCTGGGACTACAGGCACACACCACCACGCCCGGCTAACTTTTTGTATTTTAGCAGAGACAGGGTTTCACCATGTTGGCCAAGATGGTCTCGAACTCCTGACCTCGTGATCTGCCCGCCTTGGCCTCCCAAAATGCTGGGATTACAGGTGTGAGCCCAGCCTGGCTAACATTTTTAAAAGACTGTTGCTGTAACTTTTTTTTTCTTTTTAAACCAGGATCTAGTTGAGGGTTGCAGATAGCTCGTTTGCATGCACACACATACAGATGCCTTTTTACTTGTTTGGGGGACAGTCTGGTGATGTTTTTTAGCCCCTTGTGGCTGGCCCCTGGCAGCCAGGTCAGACATGGGCAGGCATGTCCCCTGGTCCTGGGGTCAGGCTGGCCTCTGGGCCCTGGCCTAGTTCCCAGGGAGGCCCAGCTGTTGTAGTAGAGCCTCGTTCAGAGCCTGGCATACAGGGCTCCGGAGACGGTTTCTGAGTGGGACTAGGTGTGGTGGATGGCGGGGCGGACAGAAGGAAGGACTAATCATTGCTGATGGAAGAGAGCCCTTCACTGTTGGTCCTTGGAGGGGCCGCTGCTCTGGTTGCAATTCAGAGGAGGCACAGGGCAACCGCTGCTGGTGCTGTACAGGGCGGGCTGGCTGCCCACCAGCTCCCCAAGGTGGCACACACCTGGACAGCTCATCACTTCCAGCTGCTGGCCACGGCCTGGCAGAGCTCAGACGCAGCCTGGTTGGTGTTAGGGTGCCTCCAAAGGTCTACCTCCTGCTAAAAAAGTTAGAGCGGGCTCAGGCATGCACTTAGGCCCCAGGCCACAAATTCACCAGGGTCGACCTGGACAGTCAGACAAGAGTGGTGGAGACAGGGAACAGCACATGCAAATATCCTAAGGCTGTGAGGTCCACTGACGCCAAAGCCAGCAGGGAACAACACATACAATCAGAAGGATCAAGGGCCATGTCTGCAGGTACCTGTGGAGATGCAGGCCACAGCACCACAGCGTTAGCAGGGGGTACCTCCAGGCAAGAGACAGAAGAGTGCGAGGTCAAAGGAGGCTTTCACATTTGTACCCCAGTTATGCATATAGTTAGTACACCTGTAATACTTTTTTAAAAAAATGTTAAGTTTAAAAAAAAAAAAGCTGCTAGGCGCCGTGGCTCACGCCTGTAATCCCAGCATTTTGGGAGGCTGAGGTAGGAGAATTGCTTGAGCCTGGGAGGTCAAGGCTGCAGTGAGCCATGATCGCGCCACTGCACTCCAGCCTGGGCGACAGAGTGAGACCCTGCCTCAAACAAACAAACAAACAACAACAACAAAAATTAAAGAAAAGAAAAAAAGAGCAAAAGGGTAGATAGAAGTGCTGGAGACTCCCCCAACCCCTCCAGCCCCTGAGCGGTGGTACTGTCTAGGAGCGCGCCGCGGCCCCTGGGCCTCGCTGTCTGTCCTAAATCATTCCGGTGAACCTCTCCGGCTGCGTAGCTCCTTGCCCCCGCGTCGCTTGGACACGGGTGGCATCCTGGGTCTGGCCTGGGCCTCCCGCCGGCCTGCTCCTGAGCCCGCCGCGTCGCCCGCCAGGTGGGAGGAAAAGAAGGCCCTTGCGGCGGCCCCGGCGGCGCCCTCGCAGGACGAGCGCGTGCAGCAGCTGCGGCGCAGGATCTCGGAGAGGGCGGCCGAGCGCAGCAGGCAGGCGGCCTTGCTGCACGTGTCGGCGCCGCGGACCGCGCGCCCCAAGCCCCGGGTGAGTCCGGATTGGTGGGAGGAGCCCGGGCGACTGAAAGCCGGGGCCGGGTGGGGATGGCGGGCGCGGCGCGCAGGGACCGGCGTCCCGGGGCGGGGATGGCGGGGAGATCGGGTCCGGTCCGCGGCCGGGAGATACGCAGCGGCGGGCGCGGGAGGCGGTGGGGGCGTCCCTGCCCGCGCCGACGCGTTCCCCGGCCTGCAGGCGCAGCTAGAGGCGCAGCACTGGCTGGAGCTGGAGCGGAGCCGCGAGCGCAGGCTGCAGGCGCTGCAGCAGGGAGGCTCAGGACCCGGGCCCGCGCGCCGCCTGGAGGCCGCCTGAGCCGGGCCGAGCGCGCCCCACCCGCTTGCGGGCCACCCCCTACACCCGCCGCCCCAATAAAGAGTGCGGCCCGCGGTGCGCGCCTCCTCTTCCTTGGCCGGGCCCCCCTCGGCCCCGGCCCCCCTGCCTCCGCACCCCGACCGCACCCCTCTCCCTTCCTAGCCCCCGTCTGCCCAGAAAAGCATTGCCGGATAAAAGGCAGGACGCCCAGTTACTGCGTGGGGACAAACTTAGGCTAAAAATGTATCCTCTCCTTATCGGGAATTCAACTGAACTGGGCATCCTGCATTTTTATAAGCGAAATCTGGCCACCCCGGCCCAGGTCCTAGCACTTCCCTACAGCCTAGCATAAGGCATTCCTGGTGCGCACCCCTTCGAAACTCCCAGAACCCCTTCAGATGTGGAAATTTGGAACACCCACCCTTTGCCGGCATCCAGGTGGCTTCACCTAGGGAACCCCCGAGACTGAGTGGCGACTGTGAGTGTACGTTTGGCTGGGGAAGTGGCCAGGATTCTTGAGCGCCAACGTTGCACTGGCCCTTCACGCGCCTCCACCATCCTCACTACGGTCCAGGGACGTAGGAACTGGCCTGCCCCTGTTCTGCTGATGAAGCCACAGGTGCTCAAAGAGGCGATGTGACCGGCCTAGAGGGCCAAAACCCAGAGCTGCGCCTGGGAGCACCCCCTCCTCCCCTTTCTCTAGCATCAGAAGCAGCCCAGATCCAACAAGATCAGGGCCAATGGAGGCAGGACTTCACCCAAGGCAGGGACCAAGATGGATTGGTTCTGCAGTGTCCCGGGACTCCGTGGGCTACAGAAGGCTCCACCTTGAGGACAGGCTTGCTGAGTGAACGCCTGCTGGTGACAGCCTCAAGAAGAAAGTACATTAAGCCACCTTCTTCCCAGGAAAGAGAGAAAAGCGTCAAGTCCGTGGGGTGGTGAGCAGAGCAGTAAGGGGTTGGGGAGTGGAAACTGACAGATAAGCTAGATGTCCAGGGGAGATATATTTCCTTCCCCAACTCCCAATATCCTCCTTGGGCCTGCAGAGGAGATGGTGCCTCAGATGAGGAGGCTGAGTCCCAGGGTACACTCAGACCAGGAAGGCAGGCATCTCAGCAGTGACAAGAACAGGCTAAAGGACAAGAGCCCTACTCCAATATTCTGAGTTTGTGAGAACCCCAGGATTTTACCACCCAGGTAGGTAAGGAGAAGAATTTCCACATCTCTGTAGAATTGCAGCTGGGAGCAGATTAAATTTCATTTAAAGAAATAAACATTGGCCAGGCAAGGGGGCTCAAACCTGTAATCCCAGCACTTTGGGAGGCTGAGGCAGGTGGATCACCTGAGGTCAGGAGTTTAAGACCAGCCTGGCCAACATGGTGAAACCCCGTCGCTACTAAAAATACAAAAATTAGCTGGGCGTAGTGGCTGGCGCCTGTAATCCCAGTTACTCGGGAAGCTGAGGCAAGAGAATGGAGTCGCTTGAACCCAGGAGACGGAGGTTGCAGTGAGCTGAGATCGCACCACTCCAGCCTGGTGACAAGAGTCAAACTCCATCTCAAAAAAAAAGAAATAAACATTGCTCATATCCCGTGTTGTGTGATCCAAACCCATTTAATTTGATATTGATGGAATACATTGATGATGCCTGGCCTAGAAAGCCCCTCTGAGCTCTGGGGGTTTCAAAGGGGGATTTATTAGCTCTCATAATGCCAATCCAAAGGCAGCAGACTTCAGGATGTACCCGATCCAGGAGCTCAGTCTCCACTCTGGTAGCAGTTCCAGCCTGAGGAACAAAGAACAGTTGCCCCAGTCTCATTGGCCTGAATTGAACATACTTGGGCTGAGCCAGTTCCTGCAGTGAGGGAAGGTCTGCATGGGTGCCTGAAGCAAGCACTGTGGCAAGGCAGGGGAATTACCCTTCACCTAGAAGGTTGGCCTCTGGAGCAGAGGGGAGATGTGGCAGCTAACAAATTGAGGGTACTATTGGCAACACTGTTGGTTGGCAGGTAACAAGGTCTTCCCCTGCCCCCTCCTGGACTGAGCAGCCGCTTAGAGCTAGCTTGAGAGCACGTGGGGCCTCTCCTCATACAAACCTAGGTGGGAGCAGGCCTCGGACCATTCCCTAAAGTTGTGGCCTGGGAGTAGGCATTGTGTGATAGAGTGATGGCAAAATGTCTGTGTATCCCTGCCCCTTGCCTTGTGACTTTACACCTCCCATCGAGAGGTGGAGTCTATTCCCCCAGCCCTTGCATCTGGTCTGGCCTAGTGACTTTCTTTGGCTAATAGGGTGCAACAGAAGTGACCACGTGCCAGTTCTGAGTCTGGGCCTCAGGTGGCCTTGGAGCTCCCACTTGTTCTCTTGGAACCTTCGCCAGGCCCCATGTGAGCATGACTAGGGTGGCCTGCTGGGATCAGACACCATGTGGAGGACACCATCTCAGAGGCCATCCTAGACTAGCAGAGCACAAAATGAGAGCGCAGCCGGACAAGAACCTCCCCCAACCCTGCTGTCTTATAGATTCATGAGCAACAATAAATGTCTGTCATTCAAAGTATCAAGCTTTGGGGTGGTTTGTTCCAGAGCAACAGCTAAGGGGCACACCCTTAAGAGCCCAGGGCCTTCACACTGGGGGCCCCTGCCTCCCCTCCCTGCACAGGCAGCTAAGGGGCACACCCTTAAGAGCCCAGGGCCTTCACACTGGGGGCCCCTGCCTCCCCTCCCTGCACAGGCAGCTAAGGGGCACACCCTTAAGAGCCCAGGGCCTTCACACTAGGGGCCCCTGCCTTCCCTCCCTGCATAGGCTCTTTACAGAGAATCAAGCTACTCCCCCAAAGGGGGCCAGCCAGAGTGAGATATGGCCCAGCTAGTGCTGACAATCCCTCTCTGAACCTTTCCTGGCTGGACTGCCTGGGGAGTGGACATTTTGCCTGAGTACAGGCTAGTCAGAAGATCCTTGTTGATAGCATCTGAGACCCACTTGGGCAGGGGCTTTCTTTGGAAATAGTGAAGAAACAGATTTAGTAGCTGGTGTGAGGCCCAGGAACCTGCATTCAGCTGGTTTCGACTTGTGGGACTATGGGAGCACCAAGGTGCCGGTCTTTTCTCTAAGCTGCAGGCGTTCAGGGCCCAAGGGAAGCGCTATTTGTGAAGGAACAAGTTCAGTGCAAGTGAGGCTTGGAGAAGACTTGAAAGCAGCTTTTGTTTTTGTTTTTGAGGCAGGGTCTCGCTTTGTCACCCAGGCTGGAGTGCAGTGACGTGATGATAGCTCATACAGCCTTAAACTCCCGGGCTCAAGTGATCCTCTTGCCTCATCCTCCCTACTAGCTGGGACTGCATGCACTTACCACCATACCCAGCTAATTTTTTATTTTTAGTAGAGATGAGGTCTCACTATGTTGCCCTGGCTGAAGGCAGTCTTTGAGCATGAAACTGGTATTTATAGAGACTTTTTCAACATCACATCTTCAATATATTACAGTTACAAACAGAAAACCCTAACTTTTCCTTAGGCTGTAAAATACAAATTACTAATATTACTTTTTCTAAATCTGATTTTTTTTTTTTGAGAGAGAGAGGGTCTCATTCTGTCAATCAAGCTGACGTGCAATCACAGCTTACTGCAGCCATGACCTCCTGGGCTCAAGTAATCCTGCTGCCTCAGCCTCCTGAGTAGCTGGGACCACAGGGACATGCCACCACACCCGGCTAATTATTATTTGTGTGTGTGTGTGTGGAGAGGGGGTTTTACCACGTTACCCAGGCTCATCTATAAACTCCTCAGCTCAAGCAATCCTCCCACCTCAGCCTCCGAAAGTGTTAAGATTACAGGTGAGAGCCACCATGCCCGCCCTAAATCTGATCATTTTTAACCACCATTTTGATTAATCATGTACGGCCCCATTTATGAACTGAAATTCTCTTAAACATTTTCAACTGCATTTATACACGTAGAATCTAATTTTATTTTTTAGCATTTCAGTTGTCTGCCTTATCAAGTATTAATATTTAAATAATTCTCATAGATATATTAAATGTCTTCATTTCTTTTAAACTTTTAAGTTCTCTTTGCTCCAATTATAATCACAAACTTCGGAAAATGTTATACCTTTCAACTTACAGTCGCTATCAAAAATCAAATACTTAGGGCAGGGTGTGATGGCTCATGCCTGTAATCTCAACACTTTGGGAGGTCGAGGTGAGCAGATAACTTGAGCCCGGGGCTTCAAGACAAGACTGGGCAACATGGCGAAAGCCAGTGTCTACAAAAAAAAAATACAAAAAAATTAGCCAGGCATGGTGGCACACACCTGTGGTCCCAGCTACTCAGGAGGCCAAGGTGGGTTGATCATCTAAACCTGGGGAGGTCGAGGCTGCAGTGAGTGAGTCATGATTGTGCCACTGCACTCCAGCCTGGCTGACAGAGTGACACCTCGTCTCAAAAAAAAAAAAAAAAAAAAAGACTGGGTGCGGTGGCCCACGCCTGTAATCCCAGCACTTTGGGAGGCCGAGGCGGGTGGATCACGAGGTCAGGAGATCAAGACCATCCTGGCTAACACGGTGAAACCCCGTCTCTACTAAAAAATACAAAAAAAAAAAAATTAGCCAGGCGTGGTGGCGGGCGCCTGTAGTCCCAGCTACTTGGGAGGCTGAGGCAGGAGAATGGCGTGAACCCGGGATGCGGAGCTTGCAGTGAGCCGAGATCGCGCCACTGCACTCCAGCCTGGGCGACAGAGCGAGACTCCGTCTCAAAACAAACAAACAAACAAACAAAAAACACAAATACTTAGATATTTTACATGAGAATTACATTTATCTATCAGATACTCTACCATGCCAGATTTCCTTACAATTACGAAAAATAGCAAACACATATTGTTTGTAAATGCAACACAAAAACGTTAATGCTCTGGTTTCTATCTGCCTTGTCATTCCGTTATTTGACTCCATTTTCGAGGTTAGAAACTCACTGTAAGGTGGCCGGGCGAGGTGGCTCACACCAGTAATCCCAGCACTTTTGGAGGCCAAGGAGGGTGGATCACCTGAGGTCAGGAGCTCGAGACCAGCCTGGCCAACATGATGGAACTCCATCTCTACTAAAAATACAAAGAAAATTAGCCGGGCGTGGTGGCAGGCGCCTGTAATCCCAGCTATTCGGGAGGCTGAGGCAGGAGAATCACGTGAACCCAGGAGGTTAGAGCTTGCAGTGAGCCGAGATCGCGCCACTAAAACAAACAAACTCACTGTAAGGAAACAATGTAACCCAAGGCATTTGGGGTGACCTTCACGTTGCCTGAGGGTGCCGAGGGACCAGAGATGCTGGCCATGGACTAAGGTCTGGGTATTCTCAGGCAGCAGGGACAAGGTGGGCTTTTTTCCTGGTTGCTAAACCCACGTCAAAGTCGAGCTCAGGGACTGGAGCTCAAGAAACCCACCGCCCATTCTCCAGTCCGACCGGGGACCTGCATGCACCTCTGCCGTGCTGCCCTGAGTCCTCCAATCCTCCACACTCTTCCTCTGTTATGTACACGTCTCCACCCAGGCCTGCAAAAGTCCCAGCTTCCTCGCAGGGGCAGGGACCCGCACGCCGGCCCAGGGCTTGGCACGCGGGGATGCTGAAACAGGGCCAGGCCTGGTTTCCAGCCGATCGTCAGAGTCCCAAGGCCCAGCAACCTTCCTCACAAAGGCCTCGTTAAGAGGCGAGGAAACAAGAGCCGGGAGAGGGGCGCGGAACGGCGGGCGGGACGAACGACCAGCTCCGCGCCTCCGGCCAGCTGCGTCGAGCCAGGGGCACCGCGGCTGTTGTGCGGCTGGAAATCTAGGAATGGGAAGGTTCGGGGCCTGCTCGGCTCCGGAGGCAGCTGGCGGGTCGTCCCTGGCGGCGTTGGAGCGGTCAGTGGCAGCCGGGCACGGGCGACCGGGTCGCCCGGGTCGCCCTCAGACCGTGACTCCCGAAAAACCTTGCGGGCGGGGCGCGCCCGCGCCGTCTCTTGCCGGAAGGTGCGAGTTAGTGCGCTCGATTGTGGGCGGGGGCGGAAAGAGGCGCGTTTTAAAGTGGTAACAGATGGTTTTCTTATCCAATAGGATTAAAAAATTTGTCCTTACCCGGCCGACCGCGGAAGTAGAGTAGGCGGGCGGCCAATGGGGACATGATGGGGGGCGGAGCCGAGGCCTCCGAAGCGGAAGTGGGTTGCTGTTGAGGCGGCGGCATCTTTCTCGAGGAGCTCTCCTGGGCGGCTGAAGAAGGAGCTTCTTCTCCGGAGTGCGCCGGCGGTGGCGCCTGCGGACCTAACTAGCTCCAGGTTAGGCCGAGCTTTGCGGGAAAGCAGCGGTAAGTCAGGGCCTTGCAGATGCGAGGTTTAGGCAGCTTCGCGGCCTACAGAGGCCTCGGCCCGCGCCTCTTGGGGGAGCCGCGCTGCGCGGCTTGACCCAGCCGAGGCTTTGCAGCCCGGGACCTCGAGCCAGCTCTGGTCGCTCGCACTGCCGTCCGCGCGGGCGCACCGAGCCCGGCTTGGCGCGGGCAACAGAAGTTAGGAGGTCTGCGTCTGGGTCTCGGCTCACCCTGGGGGGCCGCGGCCATGGGGCTTAGTTCCTAGCCTAGGAAGGGAAACTGAGACTCTGGGAGGGGCAGGAACGCCCCCAAGGTCACTTGGAAAGTCGGGCAGGATGTGCTGTTAGGGGGAAGACCCGGGCAGGGTTTTTGTTCCCCGCTGACGACGCCTCCTTTGTGTGTTCGCGCCGCCGCCCCGCCATCGTGGGGCCTGCGAGTTTGCCGGGGTGCGTGGGCCGCGTGGCGGGGCCTTTTGTAGGTCGGGAGGATCTGAGTACGGGTGCGGGCCTGACCGTGGGGGCGCCGAGGTCGCAGTCTAAAACTTAGTAGGGCCTCGATTTCCGGGCGCGCTTCCGGGCCCCGGCTGGTGGTTGGTGGAACGTGCGACTGTGAGGCTTGCGGCCCAGCCCTGCACCGCTCGGGCCCTTCACCGCTCTGGCGCGCCTATAGACAGGTGTATGAAGATTCTCACGACCCGAAACAGAGTTGCTAGTAAACACCGCTTTTCCGCCTTTGATCCATCGAGGGAAGAGGGAAAAGGATAGAGCTTGGGCAAGCCGTTTTGGTAGGGATTTCAGCTTTTGTCTTTCACTTGTCAGTTCCCATAGACGTTCACAAACTTAATAATCTTCGTTCTGTTTCTGCACCAAGTTCTTGAGCCAGACGTAGGGTCTCAGCTCTGGAGCCTGGCTTAGACTGTCCAACTGACTGGGGAGACTGAGGTCCAGAAAAGTGAAGTGGTCTGCCCAAGGTCACATAGCCAGCTATTTGGCAGCAGATGAGGTTAAGTCCTACCTGCAAGATTTGGGTTTTGAATTCATTGACCAGGAGTTTTGGGACCACTGTCAATAAAAGAGACATTGAAGGGAATCTTTTGTTACTTTCTTGGTGATTTGCTTTTTAATGGACAAGGACATATTGGGTTCAGTTTTATCTGTGAGTTTGAGGTGAAATAGAGGCATTCGAGTAGCAAGATATATTGCTGGCTTTTGTATTGCCTGAATTTGAGCTTCCAAAAATCTTACTTTAACACATCGTTTATTGATCTTTTCTTGAATTACTACCTTTGTAAGGACCTTTTGTAAACATTGTTTTTCTAATCTTCATGAAATCTTAATGCCATACGTAAACTATTTCTTTTTATATAATGTATGCACATCTGTGCTTTGTACATAAAATGAGTAAGATTTTTCACTCTCCTCAAGATCAAAGTAGCGTATTTTTGAGGTCTCCTGTATGCCAACCTTTCTGCTTGGAATACAGCAGTAAACAGTCGTGGTCCTCCTGTAGCTGGGTGAGGATGGAGGGAATAAGAGATAACTCATTTTATTGTGTTTTGCAAATACTGCCTTTTTTTTTTTGCAAGGTGAAGGTTTATAGCAAGGATTCATCGAGCAAGTCTGTAAATGCCAGCCATTTTTCCAACAGCATGTGCTCACTTTGTGTCTCTTGTGTCACGTTTGGGTAATTCACAATATTTCACACTTTTTTTTTTTTTTTTTTTTTGAGGTGGAATCTCACTCTGTCACCCAGGATGCAGTGCACTGGCGTGTTCTCGGTCTCACTGTAACCTCTGCCATCTGGGCTCAAGTGATTCTCCTGCCTCAGCCTCCGGAGTAGCTGGGATTACAGGCATGTACTACCACACCCAGTTAATTTTTGTATTTTTAGTGGAGACGGGGTTTCACCATATTGGCCAGGCTGGTCTCGAACGCCTGACCTCAAGTGATCCGCCTGCCTCGGCCTCCCAAAGTGCTGGGATTACAGGCATGAGCCACCATGCCCAGCCCCAAACCTTTTCATTGTTACATCTGTTATAGTGACCTGTGATCAATGTTTTGGGTTACCATGAATAGCACTCATATAAGACAGTGAACTTAATTGGTAAAAGTTGGGTGTGTACTAACAGCTCCACTGACTGGCAGTTCCCAGTCTCTCTCCTCAGGCCTCTCAATTCCTTGAGACACAATATTGAAATTAGGCCAGTCAGTGACCCTACAGTGTCCAGGCAAAAGGAGCAGTCAGTTGAATCTCTCTTACTTTAAGTGAAGTTAAGAAATGTTTATCCTTAGTGAGAAAGGCGTATCAAAAGTTGAGATAGGCCAAAAGCTAGGCCTCTTGTGCTGAATGACAGTTAGCCAAGTTGTGAATGCAGAGGAAGAGTTCTTGAAATTAAAATGCTACTCCAATGAATACATGAATGATAAGCCAAACAGCCTTATTGCTGATAGGGAGAAAGTTTTAGTGGTCTGGATAGAAGATCAAACCATCCATGACATTCCCTTAAGCGAAAGCCTAATCCGGAGCAAGGTACTAACTCTCTTCAATTCTGTGAAGAGTGAGGAAGCTGCAGAAGAAAAGTTTGAAACTGGCAGAGGTTAGTTCATGAGGTTTAAGGGAAGAAGCCACCTCTGTAATGTAAAAGTGTAAGGTGAGGCAGTAAGTGTTGATGAAGAAGCTGCAGCAAGTTATGCAGAACATATAGCTAAAATAATTGATGAAGGTGGCCACACTAAACAACAGACTTTCAATGTAAATGAAACAGCCTTATATGGAAAAAAAAATACTATCTAGGACTTTCATAGCTAGAGAAAGGTCAATGCCTGGCTTCAAAGGACAGTCTGATTCTCTTGTTAGGGGCTAGTGTGGCCAGTGACTTAAGTTGTAACTAGTGCTCATTTACCATTCTGAAAATCCTAGGGCCCTTAAGAAGTATGCAAAAATCTACTGTGTGCTGATCATTGAAACAGGAAAGCCTGTATAGTAGCATATCTGTTTACAGTATGTTTTACTGAATATTTTAAGCCCACTATTGAGATCTACAGCTCAGAAAAAAAGATTTCTTTCAAAATATTACTGCTCATTGAGAATGTGCTTAGTCACCAAAGAGGTCTCATGGAGATGAGTAAGATTAATGTTAACATCTGTTCTGCAGCCCATGGATCAAGGAGTAATTTCAACTCTCAAATCTTACTTAAGAAATGCATCTTGAGGCTGAGCACAGTGGCTCATGCCTGTACTCGCAGCACTTCGGGAGGCCAAAGCTGGTGGATCGCTTGAGCTCAGGAGTTAGAGACCAGCCGGGGCAGCATAGTGAGACCACCCCCTCCACTGCCAGTCTCTTAAAAAAAAAAAAAAAAAAGGGCGGCAGGGGGAAAGAAAGAAATGCATTTTGTAAGGCTACAGCTACATAGATTGTGATTCTTCTGATGGGTATCAACAATGTAAATTAAAAACCTCCTGAAAGGATATACTATTCTAGATACCATTAAGAATATTTGTCTCCAGGCACGGTGGCTCACCCGTGTAATCCCAGCACTTTGGGAGGCGAAGTGGGCGGATCACAAGGTCAGGAGATCGAGACCATCCTGGCTAACATGGTGAAACCCCATCTCTACTAAAAATACAAAAAATTAGCCGGTCTTGGCAGCGGGCACCTGTAGTCCCAGCTACTCGGGAGGCTGAGGCAGGAGAATGGTGTGAACCCGGGAAGAGGAGCTTGCAGTGAGCCAAGATAGCACCACTGCACTCCAGCCTGGGCAACAGAGCGAGACTCCATCTCAAAAAAGAAAAAAAAAAAGAATATTTGTGATTCATGGGAGGAGGTCAAAATATCAACATCAGCAGTTCACGGTGGCTCACGCCTGTAATCCCAGCACTTTGGGAGGCTGGGGCAGGCAGATCACCTGAGGTCAGGAGTTTGAGACCAGCCTGCCCAACATGGTGAAACCCCGTCTCTACCAACAAAATACAAAAATTAGCCAGGCATGGTGGCACGCTCCTGTAGTCCCAGCTACTTGAGGAGCTGAGGTAGGTTAATCGCTTGGGCCCAGGAGGTGGAGGCTGCAGTGAGCCGAGATTGTGCCTCTGCACTACAGCCTGGGCAACAGTGAGATTCCGTCTTAAAAAAAAAAATCAATTAACACAACAAGAACTTGGAAAAAGTTGATTCTGACCCTCATGGGTGACTTTGAGGGGTTCTAGACTTCAATGGAAAAAGTAACTGTAGATGTGGTGGAAATAGCAAGAGAACTAGAATTAGAAGTAGAGCCTGGCCGGGCCTGGTGGCTCACGCCTGTAATCTCAGCACTTTGGGAGGCCTAGGCGGGTGGATTACGAGGTCAGGAGTTCACAACCAGCCTGGCCAGATGGTGAAACCCCGTCTCTACTAAAAATACAAAAAATTAGCAGGGCGTGGTGGCGCACGCCTGTAATCCTAGCTACTCTGGAAGCTGAGGCAGAGAATTGCTTAAACCTGGAGGGGCAGAGGTTGTGGTGAGCCGAGATCACACTACTGCACTCCAGCCTGGGCGACAGAGCGAGACTCTGTCTAGAAAAAAAAAAGTAGAGCCTGAAGGCTGGGCCTGATGGATCACCTGAGGTCAGGAGTTGGAGACCAGCCTGGCCAACATGATAAAACCTTGTCTCTACTAAAAATACAAAAATTAGCTGAGCGTGGTAGTGGGATTGTTACTGCATAGTAATCCCGGCCACTCCAGAGGCTGAGGCAGGAGAATTGCTTGAACCCAGGAAGCAGAGGTTGCAGTGAGCCAAGATCGGGCCACTGCACTCAAGCGTGGACAATAGAGTGAGACTTTGTCTCAAAAAAATAAAAGGGCCAGGCAAGGTGGCTCACACCTGTAATCCCAGCACTTTGGGAGGCCAAGGCAGGCGGATCACGAGGTCAGGAGATTGAAACCATCCTGGCTAACACGGTGAAACACCGTCTCTACTAAAAACACACAAAAAAATTAGCCAGGTGTGGTGGCACGCACCTGTAATCGCAGCTACTCAGGAGGCTGAGGCAGGAGAATCGCTTGAACCCAGGAGGCAGAGGTTGCAGCGAGCCGAAATCACGCCATTGCACTCCATCCAGCCTGGTTGACAGAACGAGACTCTGTCTCAAAAAAAAAAAAAAAAAAAGTAGAACCTGAAGATGTGACTGAATTGCTGCAATTTTTAAATAAAACTTGAACACATGGAGAGTTGCTTCCTGTGGACAGGCAAAGAAAGTGGTTTCTTGAGGTGGAATTTACTGCTGAAGGTGCAGTGAACATTGTTGAGATTATAACAAAGGATTTAGAATATTTTATAAACTTAGTTAATAAAACAGTGGCAGGGTTTGAAAGGATTGACTCCAATTTTGAAAGAAGTTCCACTGTGGGTAAAATGCTGTCACACAGCATTGCACGCTACAGAGAAATCTTTCATGAAAGGAAGAGACAACTGATGCAGCAAACTTCATTTTAAGAAATTGTCACAGTTGGCCCAGTGCGGTGGCTCACGCCTGTAATCCCAGCACTTTAGGAGGCCGAGGCAGGCGGATCACCTCAGGTTGGGACTTCCAGACCAGCCTGGCCAACATGGAGAAACCCCGTCTCGACTAAAAATACAAAAAAATTAGCTGGGCGTGGTGGGGCATGCCTGTAATCCCAGCTACTCGGGAAGCTGAGACAGGAGAATTGCTTGAACCAGGGAGGCAGAGGTTGCGGTGAGCCAAGATTGCGCCGTTGTACTCCAGCCTGGGCAACAAGAGTGAAACTCCATCTCAAAAAAAGAAAAAGAAAAACTGTCACAGCTGCCCCAACCTTCATTAGCCACTGCCCTGATCCATGAGCAGCCATCATCAGGGCAAGACCCTTCACCAGCAAAAATATTACAACTTTGTGAAGACTCAAATGATCATTAGCATTTTTTATTTATTTTTTAAGAGAATATCTCCCTGTTGCCCCAGTTGGAGTGCATTGGTGCGATCGTAACTCACTGCAGCTTCCAACTTCTGGGTTCAAGAGATCCTCTCACCTCAGCCTCCCAAGTAGCTGGGGCTACAGGCGCACGCCACCGCACCTGGCTTTTTGTTTGTTTGTTTGTTTGTTTTTGAGATGTAGTCTCACTCTGCCGCCCAGGCTGGTGTGCAGTGGCGCGATCTCGGCTCATTGCAAGCTCCGCCTCCCAGGTTCACGCCATTCTCCTGCCTCAGCCTCCCGGGTAGCTGGGACTACAGGCACGTGCCACCATGCCCAGCTAATTTTTTGTATTTTTAGTAGAGATAGGGTTTCACCGTGTTTGCCAGGATGGTCTCGATCTCCTGACCTCAAGATCCACCCGCCTCAGCCTCCCAAAGTGCTGGGATTACAGGCGTGAGCCACCTCGCCTGGCCCACACCTGGCTAATTTTTAACAAAGTTTTGTAGACTGGGTCTTGCCCTTTTGTCCAGGCTGGTCTCAGACTCCAGACTCATGATTTAATATCTATGGTTGAGTGATTCCCTACTTCTTACTCTCTTACAGAACCACTCTATAAGATAGTTGTTGTAGTTAGCCCCATTTTACTCTTCCTGAGGCACTGGGAGATCAGGGTCACTTGCCCAAGGTCACACAATTAGTAAGCAGAGCTCGAAACTTCACCCCACCCCTGACTCCTACCTTTGTTCCTTTTGTTAGGCTTTGTTATGTCATCTGCTTTTTTTGTGTGGTGGGAAAGCACATGGCCAATGTTTCTAGAAACTTCAAATAGTAAAAACAAAATAGTATCTTTATTTTTGCTTTCACCGCAGAGGAGTCTGATAATTATCCTCAAGAAAATTTATTGATTCTCAGTAACTGTATTGTATTCCTCAAAGTTATTTTTCCTAAGTTTTCTCCTCTCACCAGCTAAGGGAAGTTGTCCTAGGGCCTAGGCATTTCCCTGTCTGCCACACCTCACCTCTTACTTTAGCCAAACTACTGCTAAATTCTGCTCCTAAATATGGCAGCATTCTGTGTTACCTGCACTAAAATTTGCTTCCCTTGTAAGTACCTTCTTGATGTCTTCCAGTGTTGGTTCTCGCCTCCTACTCTTGCAAGTTGAAAAGTTGAAAATGCCTCAGGTAGAAATGTTCTCTCCTATTCTCCCATCATGATCATCTGTGTTTTTTTGTTTTTTGTTTGTTTTTTGAGACGGAGTCTTGCTCTGTCACCCAGGCTGGAGTACAGTGGCACGATCTCAGCACTGCAACCTCTGCCTCCCGGGTTCAAGCAATTCTCCTGCCTCAGCCTCCTAAGGACCTGGGATTACAGGCATGTGCCACCACGGCTGGCTAATTTTTTGTATCTTTACTAGAGATGGGGTTTCACCATGTTGGCCAGCCTGTCTCGAACTCCTGACCTTGTGATCCACCCACCTCGGCCTCCCAAAGTGCTGGGATTACAGGTGTGAGCCACCACGTCCAGCCCTTTTCTTTCTTTCTTTTTTTTTTTTTTTTAATTTAAGAGAAGGTTGTCTTCCTATGTTTCCCGGGCAGGAGTGCAGTGGCTATTTGCAGGTGCAATTATATAGCACAGTACAGCCTAAAACTTTTTTTTTTTTTTAAAGACAGAATCTTGTTCTTTCTCAACTCACTTCAACCTCCACCTCCTGGGTTCAAGTGATTCACCTGTCTCAGCCTCCCGAGTAGCTGGGATTACAGGTGGGCAGCACCACGTCTAGCTCATTTTTGTATTTTTATTAGAGACAGGGTTTCACTATGTTGGCCAGCCTGGTCTTGAACTCCTGACTTCAGGTGATCTGCCCGCCTCAGCCTCCCAAAGTGCTGGGATTATAAGCATGAGCCACCATGCCCTGCCTACAGCCTCAAACTTTAAGCTAAATTAATCCTCTTGCCTCAGTGTCCCAAGTAAATGGGAATACAGGTGCTGATATGGTTTGGCTGTGTCCCCACCCAAATCTCACATTGAATTCCTACATGTTGTGGGAGGGACCCAGTGGGAGGCAATTGAATCTTGGGGGCAGGTCTTTCCCATGCTGTTCTCATGATGGTGAATAAGTCTCAAGAGATCTGATGCTTTAGGTCGGGGGCGGTGGCTGATGCCTGTAATCCCAGCACTTTGGGAGGCCAAGGCGGGCGGATCACGAGGTTAGGAGTTCAAGATGAGTGTGGCCAACATAGTGAAACCCTGTCTCTACTAAAAATACAAAAATTAGCTGGACATGGTGGTACATGCCTGTAGTTCCAGCTACTTGGGAGGCTGAGGCAGGAGAATTGCTTGAACCCAGGAGGTGGAGATTACAGTGAGCCGAGATCATGCCACTGCACTCCAGCTTGGACAACAGAGTAGACTTAATCTAAAAAAACAAAAGAGATCTGATGCTTTTATAAGGGGGAGTTTCCCTACACAAGCTCTCTTTGCCTGCTGCCATCTATGTAAGGCATGACTTACTTGCTTCTCCTTGCCTTCCGCCATGATTGTGAAGCCTCCCCGGCCATTTGGAACTGGCTTTTGTAAACTTCTTGCTTTTGTAAATTGCCCAGTCTCAGGTATGTCTTTATTAGCATCGTGAAAACATACTGGTACAGTAAGTTGGTACCAGTAGAGTGCGATGCTGCTGAAAAGATACCTGAAAATTTGGAAACAGCTTTGCAACTGGGTAGCAGGCAGGGATTGGAACAGTTTGGAGGGCTCAGAAGAAGACAGGAAAATGTGGGAAAGTTTGGAACTCGCTAGAGACTTGTTGAATGGCTTTGACCAAAATGTTGATAAGGATATGGACAATGAAATCCAGGCTGAGATGGTCTCAGATGGAGATGAGGAACTTGTTGGGAACTGGAGCAAGGGTCACTCCTGTTATGTTTCAGCAAAGAGACTAGCCGCATTTTGCCCCTGCCCTAGAGATTTGTGGAACTTTGAACTTGAGAAAGATGATTTAGGGTATCTGGCAGAATAAATTTCTAAGCAGCAAAGCATTCAAGAGATGACTTGGGTACAGTTAAAGGCATTCAGTTTTATAAGGGAAGCAGAGCATAAAAGTTTGGAAAATTTGCAGCCTCCTGTCAATGTGCTAGAAAATAAAATTCCATTTTCTGAGGGGAAATTAAAGCCAGCTGCAGAGATTTGCATAAGTAACAGGGAGCCAAACGTTAATCCCCAAGACAGTGGGGGGAAATGTCTCCAGGGCATGTCACAGGCCTTCATGGCAGCCCCTCCCATCATAGGCCCAGATGCCCAGGAGGAAAATATGGTTTCCTGGGCTGGGCCCAGGGTTCCCCTGCTGTGTGCAGCCTAGGGGCCTGGTGCCCTGCGTTCCAGCCGTCTCAGCTGTGGCCAAAAGGGGCCAACATAGAGTAGAACTCAGGCTGTGGTTTCAGAAGGTGCAGGCCCCAAACCTTGGCAGCTTCCACATGGTGTTGAGCCTGCGAGTGCGCAGAAGTCAACAATGAGGGTTTGGGAACCTCCACTAGATTTCAGAGGATGCATGGAAACACCTGGATGCCCAGGCAGAAGTTTGCTGCAGGGGCGGGACACTCATGGAGAACCTCCGCTAGGGCAGTGTGGAAGGGAAATGTGGGGTTGGAGCCCCCAAGCAGAGTCCCTACTGGAGCACCACCTGGTAGAGCTGTGGGAAGAGGGCCACTGTCCTCCACACCCCAGAATGATAGATCCACTGACAGCTTGCCCTGTACACCTGGAAAAGCTGCAGACACTCAACACCACCCAGTGAAAACAGCCGGGAGGGAGGCTGTACTCTGCAAAGCCACAGGGGTGGAGCTGCCTAAGGCCATGGGAACTCACCTCTTGGATCAGCGTGACCTGGATGTGAGACATGGAGTCAAAGGAGATCATTTTGGAGCTTTGAGATTTGGACTGCTCTGCTGGATTTCGGACTTGCATGGGGCCTGTAGCCCCTTTGTTTTGGCCAATTTCTCCCATTTGGAATGGCTGTATTTACCCAATGCCTGCACCCCCGTTGTATCTAAGAAGTAACTAAATTGCTTTTGATTTACAGGCTCATAGGTGGAAGGGACTTGCCTTGTCTCGGATGAGACTTTGGACTTTTGAGTTAATGCTGAAATGAGTTAAGACTTTGGGACTGTGGGAAGGCATGATTTATTTTAAAATGTGAGGACATAAGATTTGGGAGGGGCCAGGGGTGGAATGATATGGTTTGGCTGTGTCCCCCACCCAGATCTCATCTTGAATTTCCACATGTGGGAGGGACCCGGTGGGAGGTAATTGAATCATGGGGGCAGGTCTTTCCCATGTTCTGGTGATGGTGAATAAGTCTCATGAGATCTGATAGTTTTATAAGGGGGAGTTTCCGTGCACAAGCTCTCTTTGCCTGCCGCCATCCACGTAAGACGGGACTTACTCCTCCTTGCCTTCCACCTTGATTGTGAGGCTTCCCCAGCCATGTGGAACTGTTAAGTTCATTAAACCTCTTTCTTTTGTAAATTGGCCAGTCTCAAGTATGTCTGTCTCAGCAGCGTGAAAACGGACTAATACAGGTGCACACGGCTGTACTGTCCCCCGTCCTGCTTTTAAGGCTTTCTTTGTTTCCTAATTGTGACTGTTTTTACTTGCAATGTAAAGGCTTCATTTCCCCCATCTCTGAAATTATTTTTTTCTCTTTCAAAAACACTCTGCCATCTTTTCAAGGTATCCGCCATCTCTTTCAAGCATGTGAGGAGCTTGATAACTTTTGTTGGGGGTCGGTGTTCAGAATGACAAGGGTCTTGCCCAGGCTGGAGTGCAGTAGCACAGTCATAACTCACTCTAGCCTCAACCTCCCAGGGCACAAGCGATCCTCCCATCTTAGCCTCCTGAGTAACTGGGACTACAGGCACGTGCCACCACACCCTGCTAATTTTTTTTTTTCTTTGGTATTAATATTTTGTAGAGAAGGAGTTTCACCATGTTGCCCAGGCTGGTCCAGAACTCCTGGGCTCAAGCAATCCTGCCTTGGCTTCCCAAAGTGCTGGGATTACAGGCATGAGCCACCATGCCTGGCCCTAGAGCTTGATAATTTCATTCATTCATTCTTTTTTTTTTTTTTTTTTGAGACAAAGTCTCAGTCTGTCACCCAGGTTGGAGTGCAATGGCGCAATCTTGGCTCACTGCAACTTCTGCCTCCCGAGTTCAAGGGGTTCTCCTGCCTCAGCCTCCTGAGTGGCAGGGATTACAGATGCCCACCACCATGCCTGGCTAATTTTTGTATTTTTAGTAGAGGTGGGGTTTCACCATGTTGGCCAGGTTGGTCTCAAACTCCCAACCTCAGGTAATCTGCCCACCTTGGCCTCCCAGAGTGCTGGGATTACAGGTGTGAGCTCAGACCTTGATAATTTCAGTGAGGAAAAAAAAAAAATCTCATTTACATGTTTGTGCCAAGTGCTGTGCTAGTGGGTGGGGACACCATGATAAGTATTTGATAAGTTATGTTTCTTGATTTAAGGGAGTATAGAAGAAATGGTTAAGTCAGGACTAGGAGGAGTGAGAGAAATGGAAGCAACCTTTGAGGTAGGCCCTGAAGAACGAGCAGAAATTCCCTAAAGCGGGGTGGGAGCGGCAGGACCAACCTGGCCAACTTCGGACCTTCTTTGAGGTCCAAAGTCAGGTACTTTGAACTGACTTCCAGGATACCTGGAGTAAAGTACAGTTCTGTTTGAAGTGTTTGTTTGGAAAGATGAGTTTGTTCCAGTGAGGTTGCTGTATTAGAGAACCACTTGAGAGTTTGCTGCCCACAGTGTCATCTGTGAGAAATATTAGGTGAACGCAAAAAGTTGAGGCCAGCTGAACCAAGCCATGTAATATACACACCTTCCACATAGATCAGTCACCTCAGTTGACTTGTATGTGAGCCACATTTGTGTCCATCTGATGTTACAGCATTCACTCTCTTTGCCTCCACTTCTCAATAACTCACAATCTGTAAACTGACTGAGGCCCGCTTCCACAGAGCAAGCTTCAGGCCTTTTTCAAGGTAAAGTATCACAGTTACTTGTATTTCTTAACCATTTCTCATGTGTAGAGCTTTACTACCATTTTCACTAGATTGTTTTGTGTGTGTGTGTCACTGACAACATTTTTCAGTGTTGTGCCCTAATTCCATTTTTCCTCACAAATGGTGGGTTTTTGCATAGCAAGATGCTTTTTTATTTTTTTTAAGGAACACATATGTCCGTAACTGCAAATGAACCCAGAAAAGTGAGGACGAGTTGGGAGGGGAGGTTGGTATGATATAAAGACTTTGACCTATGTTCTGTAGGCAATGCTTGTGATTATTTGGGAGCAATACTTGCAATATTCTTGGATATTTTGGAGCCTGGTGATTCTTAGCATTACCTTGTGGCGCTTTTCAGTTCCTTGGACCTCCTCCTCCTGCTCTCTTCTGCCTTTCTGTCTCCTTCAGAGCATTCCTGTTGTGCGTGCCTGCTTTTATCTTCCCTGGGAGCCAGTGATTTTTTTGACTTGCATGTGTGTTTTTGTGTTTTTTTAAAGACAGAGTCTCGCTCTATCACCGAGGCAGGAGTGCAGTGGCATGGTCAGGGCTCACTGCAGCTTCAACCTCCCAGTCTCAAGCGAGCCTCCCACCTCAGCCTCCCAAGTAGCTGGGACTACAGTCGTACACCACTATGCCCGGCTAAGTTTTTGTATTTTTTTGTAGAGACAGGATTTCCCCATGTTGCCCAGGCTGGGACACTGATTTGTTAGTCTACTTTCTAGGTAAAGTGTTGAAGGAGAGTTGAAGAGGGCCTAGATTAGGGCTTCTGGGTGCTGGATTTCTCCACCAAGATGCAAGCCCCTAGAGAGTTGAGTTTGGCTAGCCCTTTGGTGACAGCTTGTATTGTCCCTTAGCCCACAGATGCATCTGACTAAGAGTAGAAGAACATGTCTCTCTTTAGGAGCCCGGAGCCAGAGACAGTGCTGTTTGAGATTAGGCCCCCTCTGGTGTGCCCTTCGAGAATTCCCATTGTGGGGCACTGCTCAGTTGCTCCCATCTGGTATGGGTCAAATAATCAGATTTGTGAGTGTCTCACAACCATCCCTGTACCCCAGCCAACCCTGGGTTCTGAATACAGTAGAGGCAGCTAAGCTGCTAGCTGGTCTCCAGCAGGCTCTGTGCTCAGTGGCCATCAACACCAGGTAGCTTGGCAAGCCTGCCTCCTGTGCTGACTGTGGGCCCTGGGGAAGTGTCGAGGATGTTGACGGCCTCTAGCATCTGAGGTACATCTGCCCCTCGGCCTCCGGAGGAGTGGATCCTTAGGTTTCCTTCATTATCTTACCCTTTCTCCTGGCTCCCAGAAATTACCTTGTTTTTATATGAGGCCCCAAAGCCTAGGCCATCTTGGCTGATAGATGTGAAAGCCCTTTGCTCCTTTCAGGCCCCTGGGGATTTTGGTTGTAGCCTGATTGCTGGTGGCAGCTTAATCGGGGCCATAAGATAATTTTATGGAAGACCTGGTTACTTGGCATCTGAACAAGCCTCATTGCCTCTCTGAGCATAGTCTGCTGCTTTCTGCTTTGATCAAATTCATTCCTCTTGTCCCTGCAAACCTTCAGGGGAGGCCAATGTTCAAGGCCCCTGAGCCTTAGGAATAAATAACTCTGGGTGAGAACTGCCTGTCATTGGCTGTGTGCCGGCTTTCTTCAACCTCCTCTGAGTCCTGTTCTAAGTCTAAGCCGTTGTGATTAGCTACATCCTGCCAAGTCTGTTCTGGAAATGAATAAAGCCCTTGCTGAGAGCCGGAAACATTGGTTCCAGTTCCTCCTGGGGTGAAGGTTTGTTTTGCCTTTATTTAATAGCACTCATACCTGTAAGAAGGGACATGCTCTCCAGCCCTTCTGATATAATACCTATTTATTACTTGATTTGTTGATCATCTTTCCAGCTAGGATATATGCTCCATGGGTAGTTTTTTGTTGCTGTTTCCCATCCCATTCCTAGCCCCTGGAGCAGTGCCTTACCCAGACTAGGCACCTGTGAATAGTTAGCAAATTAGTTGATAGAGCTGCCTTCTGGGTGCTAGGAACCATACTGGGTGTTTCATTCAGCGGTCACTGGTTCCACAGAGGTGAGGTGTTCTACTCAATTAAAGATGTGGACACTGAGGCACAGAAGGCAAGTATTTGTCCAAGGCTGTAGGGCTTATTGGCCAGCCACATCATTGCTGACCGCTTAACCACATACCCTCATTTGTATAATGAGCAAGAGGCTCATATTTCTTCTGAGTATTAAGGTGTGGTTATTGATATGACTGAGGGTATCAAAGTTCTGTTTAAGAGGTGTTTGTGAACAGGTGCGGTGGCTCACACCTATAATCCCAGCACTTTGGGAAGTCAAGGTGGGCAGATCACTTGAGGTCAGGAGTTGGAGACCAGCCTGGCCAACATGGCAAAGCCCCATCTCTACTAAAAATACAAAAATTAGCCGGGCATGGTGGTGGGTTCCTGTAATCCCAGCTAGTTGGGAGGCTGAGGCACAAGAATTGCTTGAACCTGGGAGGTGGAGGCTGCAGTCAGCCAAGATCACACCACTGCACTCCAGCCTGGGTGACAGAACAAGACTGTGTCTCAAAAAAAAATTATTTGTTTTTATTGATTTTTATTTATTTATTTATTTTGAGACTGAGTTTCACTTGTTGCGCAGGCTGGAGTGCAATGGTGCGATCTCGGCTCACCTCCACCTCTTGGGTTCGAGCGATTCTCCTGCCTCAGGTTCCCGAGTAGCTGGGATTACAGGCGCCCACCACCACACCCAGCTAATTGTTGTATTTTTAGTAGGGGGTGGGTTTCACCATATTGTTCAGGCTGGTCTCGAACTCCTGGCCTCAGGTGATCCCCCCCCGCCTCGGCCTCCCAAAGTGCTGGGATTACAGGTGTGAGCCACCATGCCTGACCCAGGTCTCTTATTTTCAGTGGGTAATTGTATCAGACTCTGCCTCCCAGGTGGGGTTTGAGGGTTCTGTGTACCTGGTGTAGGCCTAGGCTAAACAGAAGAGCTTCTCGTTAGAGCATCTCCCTGTGGACTGGCTGCAGAGTTACGATATCATTCTGGTTCTGCTGTGCTCCCCACTGCCCCTTTTCAGCTGACTCTTTGCTCATAGGAATACAGTGGTATGAGATAGGGTCATAGAATTTGGTTCCAGTCTAACACTCTTCCTGTTTCCTGCCCGCCTGTATGTCTCTATCCATTAGCAGACTCCTTTATGTATGATAGAGACACATGCACATATGCATACACGGACAGTCCCTGACTTACAGTGTTTCATTTAGAATTTTTCAACTTATGATTTATTGGGAGTTAGCCCCATTGTACGTCAAGGAGCATCTGCACATCGTATACATATATACCATGAATACACATAATTATATGTCACACTCCTGCTAGAGTGGGGGGGGTCAATATCTGAAGTGCTTATAATAGCTTTATTGGGGGGGACCTCTAAGAAAAACAGAATAATTACTTAGACCTTAAATAATAAATCTATAAGAATGAAGAAAGCCCCAAAGCCCTTCCAGCTTCCATCCCGTCAGTCACCTCTCTGTCCTATACTCTGCCACTACCCCGAGCCTCATGGCTTTCTTCTCACCTGGGCTACCCTGAGTCTCCTCCTTGGTCTACAGTCTGACTTGTTCAGTCTCCCATCTGTTCTCACCAGACACAGGTGACATGGTCTCTAAATGCAGATCTCAACATGTCATCTCTGTCCCAAAACCCTCGATGGCCCTGTCCTGAGGGTGTAGTCAGTGAGGCTTGTTAGGAACCCTCGGCACCTTTGTTGTCCTCCACACAGTGCTCGTGTGGGACATCCCTGCTCCCTTCCGCCCACCCCACCCACATACATTGTTTCTTAATTAACTCCTCCTGTCACTTGAGGCCCCATTCAGCACTGCTTCCTCTAGACAGCCCGGCTTGATCCTCAGCGCGTTTGGGCTGGGACTGCGACTCCTTTGCTGCTGCTTCCACTTGCTTAGGTCACCAGCGTCCCACTTCCGTGTTTGAGCTCACTGGCCGCCTTTCAGTTCCCCAGCCTGTGCATTGCAGCTGTTCACTGCTTCCTCCTCCTTGAAGAAGGAGGTTTTGTCTGAGTGACGGCTCCAGGTTCTCCTAGCTTTGTTTCTTTTAAATTCTCTTTTACAGATTCTATCTACCTGCCTCCCCAAGTTTTCACACATTCTGAAATCTCTACGTCCATCCGAGTTCTCACTCTTGAGTTTCCAGCTACCTTGGGCCCTTTCTCCCTGGGTGTCTCACACCCTGCTTTTCTAAAACTACACTCAGCACCTGTTTCTGTTCTCCCTTCCCTCATTGGGTTTTATGGCCTCATTCTTGCAGAGTAAGAAGCTAGATACCTTGGCGTGAGTTGTTTCTCCTTTCACCTTGGAAGCTTTAGGAATACCTAGCATCCGGCTCTCCTGACCATCCCCAGTTAGGAATGACCACTTCTCTACCCCAGCTCCTCTTTTCTCAGTGGCAGGGGCGCCATCAACACCCCACTCTTACCCTCATTTATTCCTTCAATAAATATGAGCATCTGCTTTGTGTAAGGTCTTAGCTAGGTAGAAAGTAAATAGAGCCTTGTCCTCGTAGCGCTTACCTAAGTGAGAGCATACTGGACGAGAGACTGGAGGATGGTGGGGCCCTTTCTTGAAATGGAGTATATGTTGGCGGAAGGAGGAGGCAAGGGTTCCTTTTGGAACACACTAAATTTGAGAAATCTGAAAAATCACCGTCAGTGTTCCCGCTAGTTTCTGGAATTGATGTATTTGATTCTGGCACTAACATACCTATTTGAGGGTGTGGGTCTTGGTATCAGACTGCCCTGGTTTAAGTCTAGGCTCTGTTTACTAGGTGTGGATGACTTTGGGGAAGTTCCTTAACTTTAATCCTTAGCTGCTTCATGGGTAAAATGGGGAACATAACAGTGCTTATTTCCTTACTGGGTGATGTGAGGAGCACATGTGGTGATATTAATATTTAGGAAGCGCAGTGCCTTGTGCAGATGCAGAGAAGGCACCTCTCAGCTGTTGTTAGTTTTCTTATTCCATTGGACTCTCACCTGCATGATCCAGAACCCTTTGTAGTTGGTGAGGGCTACTTTCCCATGACCGCTAAGGTCTCCATTCACTCTGCATTTCTACGTCCCCACCACGCTGGGATGCTCTGCTGGAAATGCTCCTGTCTCACCTCAGTGCCCTGGTGAAATCCAGCCTCTTGGTGGCTTATCCCCAAGACCAGCCTTCCAAATTCCTTTGAACTCTGACTCCTGACCCTTACTAAACCCAAAAGAGAGAGAAAAACCAGATTTGGGGTGAATTGCTGTATGGGCCAGGGCATGGAGAATGAGGGGGCTCCAGAAAGCTTCCCAGGGAAGTAGTAATGGTCTAGCTGGGCCTGCAGGGATGCAGGAGGCTGGTTTCAGAGTGGTGAGGGGTGTGCAGGCCAGGACAGCCACAAGGCACATCTTCAGCAGCCGTATTTGGAAGCCTCAATATCAGTGAAGTGGGAGGAGAGAGGCTTAGGAACAGCCTGGGTGTGGACATCAGGTGTTTCCCTTTGCTCTGCAGGCTGATTTCTCTGTCTTCCTTTGTCAGTAGCTTCTCTTTTCTAAATTCTAAGACACGCTATTGATGTGGCGGGGAGAACAAGCCCCTATATGATAGATGTGCACCCAAATGTAAGATATTTCTTGAGATCAGAAACATTCGTGGATATGAGAACCCAGGACATGTGGTGGATCTGGGACTGTCGTGTGGTCTGAATGATCTTGTGAGTCCTAAGGTGATGTCGAGGCACCTCCCACCTCTGTTGAAACCAACTAGACAAGTCTTTTCCTAGCCAGAGCCTCTTCCCTGAATGTCTGTTTAAAGTTGAACACTTACCAGGTGAGGTGTTGCTTTGAGAAGCATTTGTGCTCCGGGCTGGAGTGCAATGGTGCAGTCATGGCTCACTGCAGTCTTGACCTCCTGGGCTCAGGTGATCCTCCTGTCTCAGCCCCTGGAGTAGCTGGGACTACAAGTGTGCACCGTCACATCTGGCTATTTTTTTAATGTGTTTTTATTTTTATTTTTTGAGACAGAGTCTCTCTCTGTTGGCCAGGCTGGAGTGCAGTGGTGCCATCTTGGCTCATTGCAACCTCCGCCTCCCGGGTTCAAGTGATTCTTGTGCCTTAGCCTCCTACGTAGCTGGGATTATAGGCGCACACCACCACACCCGGCTAATTTTTATATTTTTAGTAGAGACGGGGTTTCGCCATGTTGGCCAAGCTGGTCTTGAACTCCTGATCTCAAGTGATCTGCCTGCCTCAGCCTCCCAGAGTGCTGGGATTACAGGCATGAGCCACTGCCCAGCCTCATTATTTTAATTTTTTTATAGAGACAGGATCTCACCATGTTAACCAAGCTAGTTTCCAATTCCTGGGCTCAAGAGATCCTCCCTCTTCAACTTCCCAAAGTGCTGGGGTTATAGGGCATGAGCCACTGTGCCTGCCCCATTTGTGCATTCTGTTGAGAGCACCCGTAGTCCCATAGTATGGGCCAGCCTAAGGAGATGCAAGTCACCCTTTATTAGAGTGAAACAGTGAAGGGGATTTCCCCTCTAAACCATTGAGGTCAAGCTAGAGAATGAGGCGCTCAGGGAGTGAGATACAGTATGCCATTTTCTCAGAACCAGACGACCAAGTGCTGAAGAAAATGCTCAGCTCAGCTGGGACGGCGGTCCCTTTGGGCATCTCCTGAAAAACCTACTCTGGCCTCCCTTTCTCCTCCTGTACTTCTTGCACACTTAGTTCCTAACTTCGTTATAGCTGCCTGCCAGCACCCTCCTCACCCTTCTCCCCGCCCTAGATTCTGCACAGAGGCTGTGTTTGCTCATTGCTGTATTCCCAGGGCAGGGGCTGTACTGTGAATGAGGCGGGGAGGTATGCATCCTTTCTTAAAGCTGGGTGGGAGGACAGACGTGGTGGCTCATGCCTGTAATCCCAGCACTTTGGGAAGCCGAGGCAAGTGGATCACCTGAGGTCAGAAGTTCGAGACCAGCCTGGCCAACCTGGTGGAAACCCCATCTCTACTAAAAGTAGAAAAATTAGCCTGGTGTGGTGGCACATGCCTGTAGTCCCAGCTACTGGGAGGCTGAGGCAGGAGAATCACTTGAACCTGGGAGGTGGAGGTTGCAGTGAGCCCACTGCACTCCAGTCTGGGCAACAGAGTGAGACTCCGTCTCAAAAACAACAACAACAACAACAAAAAAAAACTGAGTGGGATGTGATATCACACAGCATTTTAGGGCTTGAGCAGAAGGTTGGAGCTGGTCACTGGGAAGGTTTATTTGGAGAGACTGCCAACCTGGTGCTGTGGGGCTGAGTGTGGTGATGGGTATGTGTCAGCCCACAGACACTGAGCCTTTCCAGTGTGCCTGCACTGTTCCAAACACTCTCTTGTAATAACTTCTGGAATCCTCACACACCATTAAGGTAGGTGCAGTTCTGTTCTATAGATAAGGAAATGGGGCACAGAGAAGTTCAATGCCATGCCCCAAGGTCACAGGTTGGGGTTTGCAGGTGCCTGGATTTTATTTTCATTTTTTATTTATTTATTTATTTTTTTGAGATGGAGTTTTGCTCTCGTTGTCCAGGGTGGAGTGTAATGGCATGATCTCGGCTCCTCTGCCTCCCAGGTTCAAGAGATTCTCCTGCCTCAGCCTCCCAAGTAGCTGGAATTACAGGCATCCACCACCACTCCAGGCTAATTTTTTGTATTTTCTAGTAGAGACGGGGTTTCACCATATTGGCCAGGCTAGTCTCAAACTCCTGACCTCAGGTGATCCACCCGCCTTGGCCTCCCAGAGTGCTGGGATTACAGGTGTGAGCTACTACACCCGGCCGATGCCTGGATTTCAATCTCAGTTGCCTGGCTCAAGAGATGTGCCCTAATTGCAGTGCCAGCCTGGCTCCACACACCATGCTTAGGAGTTAGGCCTTGATAAGGAGCCAGGGAAAGTTGCTGCGGCAAATGTTTCGGAAAGATGGCCTGGCAGTAGGGTAGACGGGCACCCAGGGACAGGAGACCCAGCATGAGCAGGCATGGTAATGGTGCACAGGAGGATGACACGGCACAGCACTGGGGATGCACAGAAGGGTGGATGTGAGAGCGTTCCTGTCGTTTCCGCCACCTGGATCCCTCTCACCTGTGTCTGTTTTGCAACTCCATCTCGTTATGCTACTTCAGTACGTTCCATGGTGTGGTCTCTGGAAGCAGCACCTGGGAACTTGTTAGATACGTAAATTGGAGGGCCTAGCAGGCTGTGCTTAACGAGCCCTCTGTGGGGGAGCCTGATACAGGCTCATGCTTGAGAAGCACTCTCCTAATCTAAGCCACTAGCACCCAGCAGTGGGTGGCCACAAGGGTCTTGTCCTTGCTTTGGCTCTCTCTCAACCCTCAGGCTTGCCTGTGCTCAGGGCTTTGTGGCTCCATTAACCATGCGTCGCTGACGCTGAGTTTACCGTGGTCGGCCTCGCTTCTCAGTGAAGTCCAAGGGCCTCGCAGCCTCTGCATCTGGTGATTTCTCTGCCTTTCCTCAAAGCTTCTGCTTGGCTGCCTAGTCCACAGCCTCCCGATTCACCATTCACCTGGTCCCAGCAACAGAAGTCTCAGCTGGACACACAACATGCTTTAGAGTGAGTGGCTCTTGTCTTCTCAACTCCGGACGGCGACAGTGAAATTGTGGGAAGAACCTGAGGCTCTGAGCTGTGGCCTCAGAAGCTCTGTCCCTTCCCTTCTGGTTCCTGAGGAGTTGGTGTGGTCATGTGTGGCAGTCCTGACTCGCACCTCCTCCCAGCAGTTAGCACGGTACCTTGCCAAGGTGGCAGGAGCCAGGAAGAAGAGTAGGAGGTGGCATAATAATTACAATTGCAGGCTTTGGGATCAGGAAGTCCTACATGCGACAAGAATGCTTACTTCCTAAGATGAATATAGGATTAAGGATGTCATTGCGTGAAATAGTAAGCAAATAACCTAGGGACAGGAAGGACCAGTACATTATTGAGCTCAGCTTTGTTTCAATGATGTAAGTGGCAGTATTTATCAAATTAATATCTTTGTTTTTCAGGACTTGAAAATACTGGAAATCTGTCCGGATCCAAATTATTTTGCAAGCCAGATGAGTAACCAGAGGGCATGAAAGGTTGAGAACATTTGACTTCCCTGCAAACCTTGGTATAGATCACTTCCTTTTCTGTAGGAAAGGAAAGGCACCAAAGAGCACAATGAGTACAGTAAGTTTTATCATCTCTTGAATTTTTAATTTTGTAGGGCTAATTAACTACCTTATTCCTTGTAGCACATTAGTGAAAGTGAGTTCCATAATGTCACTTCTAAGTAACCCCACTTCTTGAAGGAGTATGTATAGGAGCTTTCTGGTGGTTACATCAGCTTACTTACCGACATTGAGCTACATTCGAGTCATAAAGGGCAGAGCCCTGAAGACAAAAGGCTGAGAAGGAATAGCTTAGGGTTTGGTAATCTCAGACCTTCACAACAGTTGTCAGTGTCATAGAAATACTAAAACTTTTTGCTTTTTAAAATTGTTTGTAGACTGGGCATGGTGGCTCATGTGTAATCTCAACACTTGGAGGCGTGAAGGTAAAAAGATTACTTGAGCCTAGGACCAGCCAGGGCAACATAGGCCCCATCTCTACAAACAAACAAAATGTAGCCAGGCGTGGTGGGGCGCACCTGTAGTCCCAGCTACTTGGGAGGCTGAGGCAGGAAGATTCCTTGAGCCCAAGAGTTCAAGGCTAGCTATGATCACACCACTGCATTTCGGCAGGATGACTGAGTGAGACTCTATAAAGTATTTGCAACCCAGTTTTCTGTTTTCCCGTCTGTTTTGTTTCCCTGTGACATTCTTGGTTCATTCAGTGTGAGCATGGTAGTAATAATCCATAGTGAAAAGTTTCTTATATTCACTGACCAAAGTTGATTCGTCATTATAATTACTGTTTAGCGCTTTTGTTTGTTTGTTTTTGAAACAGGGTCTCGCTCTGTCACCCAGCCTGGAGTGCAGTGGCCCGACCTCGGCTCACTGCAACCTCCACGTTCTGGGTTCAAGTGATTCTTGTGCCTCAGCCTCCCACATAGCTGCGATTACAGGCATGCACCTCCCCGCCCAGCTAATTTTGTATTTTTAATAGAGACCAGTTTTTGCCATGTTGGCCAGGCTATTTTGGTTTGTTTTTTGAGATGGAGTCTGTTGCCCAGGTTGGAGTACAGTGGTACCATCTCGGCTTGCTGCAACCTCCGCCTCCCAGGTTCAAGCGACTCTCCTGCCTCAGCCTCCGGAGTAGCTTGGATTACAGGCACCTACCACCACACCCAGCTGATTTTGTATTTTTAGTAGAGATGTGATTTCACCATGTTGGCCAGGCTGGTCTCAAACTCCTGACCTCAAGTGATCTTGGCCTCCCAAAGTGCTAGGATGACAGGCATGAGCCACCGCACCCAGCCGTTTTTATTTGTTTTTAAGAGACAGGGTCTCACTCAGTCTCCCAGTCTGGAGTGCAGTGGTGTGATCATAGCTCACTGCAGTCTCCAACTCCTGGAGTCAAGCAATCCTTTCACCTCAGCATCCTGAGTAGTTGGGATCATAGGCATGCACCACCGCACCTGGCCAATTTTTAAGAAAAAATTGGCCAGGTGCGGTGGCTTATGCCTGTAATCCCAGCACTTTGGGAGGCCGAGGTGGGCGGATCACGAGGTCAGGAGATCAAGACCATCCTGGCTAACACGGTGAAACCCCGTCTCTACTAAAAATACAAAAAATTAGCCAGGCATAGTTGGCGGGCGCCTGTAGTCCCAGCTACTCAGGAGGCTGAGGCAGGAGAATGGCATGAACCTGGGAGGCGGAGCTTGCAGTGAGCTGAGATCGTGCCACTGCAGTCCAGCCTGGGGGCAGAGCAAGACTCCATCTCAAAAAAAAAAAAAAGAAAAATCATTTTTGTAGGCATGGAGTCTTACTTTATTACCCAGGCTGATCTTGAACTCCTGGCTTCAAGCAGTCCTCCCACCTAGGCTCCCAGAGTGAGCGACAATACCCAGACTGTTTAGAGCTTTTATCACATCTGTGAGACAGCTCTGGTTTGGTGTAATTCAGGTGTCTCCTGGAACCCCTTGAGCTCTCGAGGAGATTACCTGAAGGTCCCCCTGTCCCAGTTTATTCTCTACTGACAGAGTTCTCACTGCAAGTTTGTTCAAATGATCTAAACTCAAAACATCTGTTGTCTGAGATCCTGAATTCCTTGTCAGACAGACCAGATGTGAAATAGCCTGCTGATTTCTTCCAGTGCTCCAGAAGTACTGTGAATGGTATGGGAAGATGGATGGTGGGGACAGGTGAGACTGAACAAACAGCTGTCAGAGGGAACAGTGATGGAAATGCTGGTCACACCCTCTGAGCCTTTTGGGTCCTCACCCTCTTCTGTTACTTCCTGGCCGCCATTGTGCTCCAGGGCCCACTTTTGATGGTGATACACAAAAAAGCCCACTTCTTTGACCTCCCACCTTGGTGCTTCACCTGCAGGTTACCATGTAGCTCACCTATGGGGAAATAGGTGCTTTAAGCCTTAACCCATCTCTGCTTAGGCCAGATCAGAACAGGCAAAACAATGTAGCCTTTTGTGCATGTGTGTGAAGAAATTGGTTAAAATTCCTGAAAGTTACGGTGTGGTTATAGCTTATGTGGTTGTGATAGGATGGTCAGTTTTCACCAAAAGCTATGGACCTCTGAGGGCCCTGCTAGTGAAAAGGAAGAGAATTATGACCAGAATTATGGGAGGGCCAGAGTGGGGAGCTCTGCAGATATTCCTGGATTGATTGAGCCTGTCTTGAGTGGTGCAGGGAAGCTACTTGGGAGGAGGAGGCTCAGAGACAGCAGAGTGGGAGGGTAAAGGATGTCCTCAGGAAGGAGGTGACATTTGAGTGGGTTCTGGAAAGCTGTGCAAGAATTGGCCAAGTAAAGAAAGGGAGGGACAGGCACTCCAGGCAGGGAAGAAGCTCTGGTTAAAGGCATGGAGGGGTCGATAGAGCAGGCAGAAAAGAGGATTCCTGAGGTTAGGGAGGGGTGGGGACATTCCTGTAATTATCCGTGAGGGGAGATTTTGGGTCCAGGACCCATGGCTGCTTTCTTGGCTCCCTCAGTGGGGCCCAGAAACCACACAGGTAGCTGTGGGACATGGAGGTCTGCTTAGCAGTGCCTAGTAAGAAAGACTTGGTCTGCTACAGGCTGGGCATGGTGGATCACAAGGTCAGGAGTTCGAGACCAGCCTGGCCAACATGGTGAAACCCCGTTTCCACTAAAAATACAAAAAAATTAGCTAAGCACAGTGGCGGGTGCCTGTAATCCCAGCTACTCGGGAGGCTGAGGCAGGAGAATCGCTTGAACCTGGGAGGCAGAAGTTGTGGTGAGCCGAGATCATTCCACTGCACTCCTGCCTGAGCAACAGAGTGAGACTCCGTCTTAAAAAAAAAAAAAAAAAAAAAAGACTTGGCTACAAGGGAAGGAGCCTATACGAGGACAAAGGACATTGTCAAAGAGAATGGGGTAAATATTTTCATTTATTTATTATTATTATTTTGAGACAGAGTCTTGCTCTGTCGCCCAGGCTGGAGTGCAGTGGATGCAATATTGGCTCACTGCAACCTCTGCTGCCCGGGTTCAAGCGATTCTCCTGCCTCAGCCTCCCGAGTAGCTGGGACTACAGGTGCATGCCACCACGCCCAGCTACTTTTTGTGTTATTAGTAGAGACGGGGTTTCAGCATCTTGGCCAGGCTGGTCTTGAACTCCTGACCTCGTGATCCACGAGAATGGGGTAAATATTAAAGAGTCCTAAGTGTTTGAAATGCTTGTTTTCTGGTGCTGTAAAGAAATAGCATTTGAACGTAAATTCAATTTTTTTTAGCAAGGCCATATTTATACTTTCTGCAGAAAGGGTACACTCACCAGTTGTTTTGCCATGAGAATACATTGAATAAAGGAGACAGGGTTATTTATAACTTGATGTGTTTACTCTGCTGCTGTATCCAGTTTTTATTGGCTGGAACAGGACCTCACATTCTGTATTTGTCCCAATTGGCTAGCAACTTAGAACTTTTTTTTTTTTTTTTTTTTGGAGACAGAGTCTCACTCTGTCGCCCAGGCTGGAGTGCAGTGGCATGATCTCGGGGTCACTGCAAGCTCCACCTCCCGGGTTCACACCATTCTCCTGCCGCAGCCTCCCAAGTAGCTGGGACTACAGGTGCCCGCCACCACGCCTGGCTAATTTTTTTTGTATTTTTTAGTAGAGATGGGGTTTCTACGTGTTAGCCAGGATGGTCTCGATCTTCTGACCTTGTGATCCGCCCGCCTCAGCCTCCCAAAGTGCTGGGATTACAGGCATGCGCCACCACACCTGGCCAGAACTTTTGAAAAGAGGCAAAGGCAGAGGAGAATAAAGGAAGGAGGAAGTAACTTGTGGAATGCTGAAAAAGGTAAAAATAACCTTTAAATAAGGAAGAGGAACAGGCTATGATCTAATGCTTGCTTGGACTAATATAAGCATGCCAAGGTAAATATTTAGGCTAAATTGTGGGAGCTAAGAATATAAAGTACATTGATTTCTTTATTATGGCTAGCAGATATTTAAGAATGTTAGTACAGGTCTTTGAATAAATTTTGCTTTTAAGAGAAGTTACTATTTATTTCTAATTAGATGGGGAGGAAAGTCTTTGAAGAGGAACCTCTACTTTACTTTTTACATAAGCAACCTGGTGGCTGCTGGGGAAACCCTTAAAACACTGGGCAGTAGAACTCCACTGAGGTTAGTGTCAGCTCCCTTGAGGCCAAGAGCAGCTGCTCACTTGGGAGTTTTGGCTGCTGTCGCTTGGCCTCTGGGCCCTCCTGGGGCTGGTTCTGTGCTCCTTAGTCCGTGGGAAGTTACTAGACCCAGCTTCATTTCCAAAACATCTCAAGCTGCCATTTGATAAGAGTAGCATTGGAACACAGAATCAGGCTTATCCCTGTTGCCTAGCGAGGGCTTGGCTGGATGGTGGGTGTTCCTGGATCTTGTATGAATCTCTCCTGCAATATCTGGTCCTTTCAGAGTTTCCTGGGACAGATTGACCCTAGTAAGGCTAAGGAATTGGGATAGTAGTAGCATCTTCCGTCTCTGCGCAGTACTTTACATACATGATCTCATTTAGACCTTATAACAGCTCTGCAAGGCTGGTACTGGTGAGGAACTTGAGACTTAGTAGTGCAGTACTTGTCCCAGGTTGTCCAGTGCAAAGGATAGCAGGACAGGGCACAGGGAGAAGAGCACGGAAACACCAGTGGGAATACAAGGTGACAGGCTCTGTTGGGAAGCTCTTTTTTTTTTGGGGGGGGGTGAGATGGAGATTTACTCTTGTTGCCCAGGCTGGAGTGCAATGGCACAATCTCGGCTCACCGCATCCTCCACCTCCCAGGTTCAAGTGATTCTCCTGCCTCAGCCTCCCGAGTAGCTGGGATTACAGGCATGTGCCACCACGCCCAGCTAATTTTGTATTTTTAGTAGAGACGGGTTTCACCGTGTTGCCCAGGCTGATCTTGAACTCCTGACCTCTGGTGATCCGCCTGCCTCTGCCTCCCAAAGTGCTGGGATTACAGGCCTGAGCCACTGCGCCTGGCCAGCTCTGTCTCTTGATTAAGGTGGAGGATATTCTCAGCTTGTCTTTTGGGACCAGGCAGACCAGAAATGCTGGAGCATATTGGCAAACCAGCAGCCTAAGGATTTGGAAGAAAGGCTGGTCAGAGTGTCAGTTGCTTATCAACCAGCTGAGAGCCTGAACTTTCCGGAAGACATGGCTCTTGGGTAGCCACTGGGAACAGGCTTAAAACAGCTTTGGTTCTTTGAGTTCTTTGTGGGGAGTGATTGTCTGGTGTGAATCACAGTTGATAGTGCCCTGAAAGGTTCAAGGCCACATTTCCCAGGGGAAGATAAGCTTTCCACAATGTATAGAAACTCAGAAAACTCCAAGTTCTTTATGCTAAGAAACAAAAAGGGCTCAGAAAGGCTGAACACAAAGTCAAGGAAGAGAAATTGATAACTTTTGGTTAAAGGGAAGAGTTTCCAGCCTTTTGGCCAGGGCATCCACTACCAAGTCCAAATCCTGACTTGGCCTCAAGCTTTTGTAAAGGGATGCATCGTGTCCCTTTTGACCTGCTGATAGTTTTTTTGAGATGGAGTCTCACACTGTCACCCGGGCTAGAGTACAGTGACGCGATCTCGCCTCACTGCAACCTCTGCCTCCCAGGTTCAAGTGATTCTCCTGCCTCAGCCTCTGGAGTAGCTGGGATTACAGGTGCCTGCCACCACGCCCAGCTAACTTTTGTATTTTCAGTAGTGATGAGGCTTCACCATGTTGGCCAGGCTGACCTTGAACTCCTCACCTCATGATTCGCCCACCTCAGCCTCCGAAAGTGCTGGGATTACAGGTGTGAGCCACCATGCCCAGCCGACCTGCTGATAGTTTGATAAAACAGAAGTTTTACTTTCTGGAATTTCTACTCATTTTATGTTTTGGATGGTTTCTCTCTCCGTAAGCATTCAGTATTCTTGAATCTCAAGTTTTGAAAGGAGCCCTAACTTCAAGTCTACTCGCTGGCTTCTTAATGAAGTGAACCATTTCTATTGCCCATTTAGTTCTTCCTGAAACCCTGACATTCTGGTGTTCATGTGACTCTTCTTTCCCCCTTGCTACTCAGAGAAAGCGTCGTGGTGGAGCAATAAATTCTAGACAAGCTCAGAAGCGAACTCGGGAAGCAACCTCCACCCCCGAGATCTCCTTGGAAGCAGAACCCATAGAACTCGTGGAAACTGGTAAGATTGCCAGGGACACTACAACTGTGGGGTGTTAAAGTGGAGAGAGAACACTGTACCAGGGTGAGCTAGTAGAAGGTGCTTTCAGTGTCTTTAGAAGGCCTATGCAGTCTCACACTCACCATGTACAACTCAAAGCTTCACAGATTCTGAAATAGCTTCTCAACTGGGCTAACTGTTCAACTCTGGTAATGTGCAGCAGTGGGGTAGGATCCATTTAAAAAAAAATCTAGCGCAAATGAGATAGCCCACCTTTTCTATCTGAAACTGCATCCCCAATTGCTGGACCTTGTAAAGTACTTCGCTTTCCTCTTCTGTTTTTCATTAGGACATGAAATCACCCAAGAAGGCAAACTTGTCCACAGAGCTCCCTGTGTTGGAGCTTGGTATAGGCAGAGGCCAGATTGGATTTCCCCTTCTGCCTGCTCAAGAAGTGGTTGATGGCTGGCCTAAGTCCCTTTGCTCTGCATATATTGTTTTTATAACTAGGATACCTGCAAACTGGCATTTTATTTTTACTTATTTATTTTTGAGATAGAGTCTTGCTCTGTCGCCCAAGCTAGAGTGTAGTGGTGCAGTCTCGGCTCACTGCAAGCTCCACATCCTGGGTTCACGCCATTCTCCTGCCTCAGCCTCCCAAGTAGCTGGGACTATAGGCACCCGCCACCACACCCGGCTAATTTTTTGTATTTTTAATAGAGACAGGGTTTCACCATGTTAGCCAGGATGGTCTCGATCTCCTGACCTTGTGATCCACCCGTCTCGGCCTCCCAAAGTGCTGGTATTACAGGCGTGAGCCACTGCACCCGGCCATGCAAACTCGCGTTTTAAACAGAAGAAACTTAGTGCAAGATAAATTTCATGGGCCCCCCAGGAGAAATGAAGTTCTCTATATGGTCTCTGAGTTTCACTTCTACAAATGAGTTCTTGAAAGCCTTGACTTGAGGCTAGGATCCTGGCTCTAGACCAAAAAGGAACGAACTGCTTTCCGTCATGGCACTTGTCATCCTCTAGGCAGTCTTACCCCTGTGTGTACTTAGGGCTGCCCATTAGAGCACTGTTTTGTTTTTGTTTCTGTTTGAGGCAGAGTTTCGTTCTGTCAGCCAGGTTGGAGTGCAATCGCGTGATCTCGGCTCACTGCAACCTCTGCCTCCCAGGTTTAAGCAAGTCTCCTGCCTCAGCTTCCCAAGTAGCTGGGATCATAGGCGCCCACCACCACACCCGGCTAAATTTTTTTTGTATTTTTAGTAGAGACGGGGTTTCACCATGTCAGTCAGGCTGATCTCGAACTCCTGACCTCAGATTATCCACCTGCCTTGGCCTCCCAAAGTGCTGGGATTACAGGCCTGAGCCACCCGCCTGGCCTAGAGCACTGTTTTTGTAAGAGCCCAGAATTGTGTTCACCAGAAAGAGAATGGTTCAATAAATTGTTGTATATCAGTATATGGACTGTTGGACAGCCCTTCTTTTTAATAAAGAATGCAATAATTTTATATAAATTATATTGTATATGTAAGATTATCACGGTTTTTATTCTTGTGAAACTTTATGATACAAGAAAATAAAACAGGCCAGCCAGATTGCTTGAGCCCAGGAGTACCAGACCAGCCTGGACAACATAGTGAGACCCTGTCTCTATAAATAAAAAAATTAGCCAAGTGTGGGAGGCTGAGGTAGGAGGATCACTTGAGCCTGGAACATTGAGGCTGCAGTGAGCCGTGATCGTGCCACTGCACTCTAGCCTGGGCAACAGCAAGACCCCACCTAAAAAATAAATAAAAGAAGTTACGTTGGGTTGGGCGCCATGGCTGGCTCCTATAATCCCAGCACTTTGGGAGGCCGAGGCGTGCAGATCACCTGAGGTCAGGAGTTCAAGACCAGCCTGGCCAACATGGCGAAACCCCATCTCTACTAAAAATGCAAAAATTAGACGGGCGTGGTGGCGGGCGCCTGTAATCCCAGCTACTTGGGAGGTTGATGCAGGAGAATCACTTGCACCTGGGAGGCAGAGGTTGCAGTGAGCCGAGATCGTGCCACTGCACTCCTGCCTGGACGACAGAGCGAGACTCTGTCTCAAAAAAAAAAAGTTAAATGCATTACAAGACACTTTCCCCAAATATTAGACCAATACTGTTTCTTAAAAAACTTCATTTAGTGTTTTGTTGTTGTTGTTGTTTGTTTGTTTTTGAGATGGAGTTTTGCTCTTGTTGCCCAGGCTGGGGTGCAGTGGCGTGATCTTTGCATCCCGGGGTTCAAGCAATTCTCCTGCCTCAGCCTCCCGAGTAGCTGGGATTACAGGCATGTGCCACCACACCTCGCTAATTTTGTATTTTTAGTAGAAACGGAGTTTCTCCATGTTGGTCAGGCTGGTCTCGAACTCTCAACCTCAGGTGATCCGCCCACCTCAGCCTCCCAAAGTGCTGGGATTACAGGTGTGAACCACTGTGCCTGGCCCATTCCGTGCTTTTTAATATTAATATTAATAGTAATCAGAAATAAAAATGGTTGTGCGTCATTTTTTACTTTATATAAATGGAAGTTGTACGTTAACTGTTTGGTCCATGTCCTTCTCACCTTTATCCTGTGCACATGTAGACATCACAGTATACCCTAAGGGCTGAAAGGCAAGCTTCACAACAGATGCAACCCATTTTGTATGTTGAGGTTCTAGCTATCAGTATATATCACTGTTATTCTCCATCCAACTAGGGAGACAAACTTGAGAGATAAATGGAAATTAAAAGTTTGTCCTTGGCCGGGCACGGTGGCTCACGCCTGTAATCCCAACACTTTGGAAGACTGAAGTGGGTGGATCACAAGGTCAGGAGTTCAAGACCAGCCTGGCCAAGATGGTGAAACCCCATCTCTACTAAAAATACAAACAAAATTAGCCAGGCATGCTGCCAGGCGCCTGTAATCCCAACTACTCGGGAGGCTGAGACAGAGAATTGCTTGAACCCAGGAGGCGGAGGTTGCAGTGAGCCAAGATCGCACCACTGCACTCCAGCCTTGGCGACAGAGCGAGACTCTGTCTCAAAAAAAAAAAAAAAAAAAAAGAATTTGCCCTAGATTAACCGATGAAGTTACTAAGCTAAGCCTGACTTTTGGTCCTTGGGCCAAGTGAGAGTGGTCAGCTTCACCTGCTGGGAGGAGCAGAGGTTTCAGGCTAGTCCATCCCAAAGAGAAAGGCCTGGGGCTGGGCATGCATGGTGCGTTCTCCCAGATGGGGCACAGAGGCATAGCCGTGTGGAAGTGGGATGCCGTGGAATAGAGGTATGCACATGCGCACACATACATAACCCCCCAGGTACATTTGTAAAAACCATACCTCCCCACTCAGAGCAGAATTCTGGAAGGGTGGTTACTGGCTTTCCCTCCTGAGGGAGGTGTTGGTCCTGGTGCTCTTTGCAGTGTATACTTCAGGATTGTTTTAGTTTGGGGTAAGCCTATAACATTAGCAGTCATACTAAAGTGTAGAGGGATACAACCTTACTTTCCTCTTAATCTTAATGCTTGTTGAAATACTTTCTTTTGAAGCTGGAGATGAAATTGTGGACCTCACTTGTGAATCTTTAGAGCCTGTGGTGGTTGATCTGACTCACAATGACTCTGTTGTGGTAAGTGTTGGAGTGTGAGAGTCGGCTGTTTCTTGGGTATGGGTCCCTGGCCAGTGCCAGCATCTGACAGCCTTGGTCACAGACTCCAAGTCAAGGTTACAGCTTATGCTAAAGAAGTTCATGCATCTTGTGGAATTGAGCTTTTAGAAAGAAAATAAACAGTAACAATAATAATAACAAAGAAGTTCATGCATTCAGTGACGAGAGCCCAAAATGAAAAATGTTTCTGGAAAATCATTTGTTATAGCCTTGTCGCCTATGGAGTAGGTCTGTGTAACCTGACCTTGCCACACCTGGGCACAAAAGTGGTTTGGGGAGAATCTCAAGACCCCCACATCTGTCTTCAGTCCCTGATTCCACAGTTTACACCAGCTGTGTGACCTTGGGCATGTGACTTAGCCTCATTCACTTTCCATGAAATGGGGACAGGTCACTCATGTCAGCAGGGCATGGTGTAAGACATCTTACAACAGATGCCGTGTTTGAGTGCCTGACACCTAGAATGGTGCCCAGTCACTGTGAGTGTATGCCCTCCCAACTGAAAGGAAAGGGAACGTTGGCTCAGCACTGCCCATGGGAAATCTCTCAAGTTCCAAAAGTGCCTGCTACTTAGCATGGCCTCAGGGGATGCAGGCTCCCTGCATTGCCACCTGATGCCTGCTGCGTCCTGATGCCAGGGAGGCTGGAGCCCAGGAGGCTGCCTGTGTCCCTGTCTCATGGCACCGGTTACAGACTGCAGGGGACGTGTGTATACGTGTCCTGCCTGCCAGGAGGGAGGCCTTGTCTGGTCAGAGGACACACGGAGAAGCTATTTCTGATAGACCTGTTTCATGGTGCATGCAGGTCTGGGAATCTGGTCAGCATCTTAAGGGCAAGTTTGCCTCTGGAAGATGCCACTTGAGTGTTTTCTGACAGTGTGCTCGGAACACAGGTCGGGGTGGGGGCACACTTGGCAGCATTGGCAGTGGGGTGGTAAGTGCTGCTGAGGAGGACTGTGGGGTGTGGGGGCTGCTAGTAGCTGAGTCTTCGCCTTGGCCCTGGGCTCACTGGTGTTGGGGTTATCCTGTTTGGCTGATGCCTGGGTATCTGAATAGGGACACCCCATAGGTGTTGCTTCTTAGTTGTGCTGAGAACTTCAGAATAGGGTTATACTGAGAAGTTTCAAGACTTCAATGCAAAGAAAAGGACAGGGATGGAAAACCATCTGAGATAAGCAGCAGTGGGTTTAGTTGTACGTGGTCCCTGCTTAGGTCTCATTAACGTGTTTTCTGAGGTACATACACACATATGACTTTGCTTATCATCCCTGTGTCCTGCATGGAGTTCTGGAAAGATAACTAATTTGGTATATTAGCTGGCAGCTACAGCACAGTCACTGATTTTTCCCCTCTTTCTTTTTCCCAGCTGACACCTTGGTTTCACCAGTTGCTCATTAAAGCTGGAAAGTGGTGTCTGCAGAAGTTTTTTTGTTTTTTGTTTTTTGTTTTTCTTGAATACTCAGTGTTCACCACAGTCTTCTTGGCCTTCTCTCTGCCAGACCCTGAGGAGAGAGCTAGGATTTTGACTGCAGGAAGACAATGATTGATTGGCTTTTGTTGGCTGACAAACCAACATCATTTCCCCTTTCACACTTGTGTTTTCTTTTGCTTTAGAAACAGGGTCTCAGGCTGGGCGCGGTGGCTCACGCCTGTAATCTCAGCACTTTGGGAGGCCGAGGTGGGCGGACCACAAGGTCAGGAGTTTGACATCAGCCTGGCCAACATGGTGAAACCCTGTCTCTACTAAAAATACAAAAATTATGCGGACGCCTGTAGTCCCAGCTATTCAGGAGGCTAAGGCAGGAGAATCGCTTGAACCCAGGAATCAGAGGTTGCAGTGAGCCGAGATCACGTCACTGCACTCCAGCCCGGGCAACAGAGTGAGACTCCATCTCAAAAAAAAAAAAAAATACAAAAATTAGCCAGGTGTGATGATGCATACCTGTAATCCCAGCTACTCGGGAGGCTAAGGCAGGAGAATTACTTGAACCCAGGAGGCGGAGGTTGCAGTGAGCCAAGATCGCGCCACTGCACTCAAGCCTGGGCGACAGAGCAAGACTCTGTCTCAAAAAAAAAAAAAAAGAAAAGAAAAGAAACAGGGTCTCACTCTGTTGCCCAGGCTAGAGAGCAGTGGCATGATCACACCTTACTGCAGCCTCCAACCCCTGAGCTTAAGTGATTCTCCCACATTATCCTCCTGAGTAGCTGAGACTACAGGTGCATGCCACCATACACTACTAAATTTGGGTCGGGTGGTGGTGGTGATTTTTTAATATTTTTGTAGAGACAGGGTCTCACTGTGATGCCCAGGCTGGTCTTGAACTCCTGGGCTCAAGCAGTCACCCACCTCAGCCTCCCAAAGCACTAGGATTACAGGTGTGAGCCACCACACTGGCCAGCTTTGTTTTGTTTTGATGACTAAGCTGCTCTTGCTAAAAGGGCTTCCTCTCTGAACTTCCCTACCTTTCTTCTGTTTCCCTGGGCTAGGGCTCCATGTTGGCAGTCCTACTCCCAATTAACCTGGGGCTGTCTGGTTAACCTTTATAAGATCTGCAGTCATTGGGAGACCCGGGGACCAGGAATATTGGTGTTGAGGGAGCTACCCTGGAAAGTGGATGGGTGGCCAGAGGGAGAGCTGATAGGTAAAAGGGAGACGCTCCTGGCTTGGGAAGCAGGAGTCCTAGGTTCTGGTCTCTCAGATCTACTGGTCAGTTTGATCAGTGGATTTATCTCACACTGTCCTCAGTGTTGTCAGCCACAAAATAACTGCTTTGGACTTGATAGCTCTTGCTAATCATTCTCTACTTATTTTTGATTTTAATAAGTCCAAGTGCCAGTTTATGAATTTACACTGAGACATATACTTGAGTTTGGAATTCTGCCTCTGAGCAGATCTGTTTGGGAGGCCTCTAATGCTAGTCACTGAGGATAAGGGGCATCTGTAGATGGATCGTGTGTTCAGGGTGACCCTAGGCTGCACCTGCAGGAGAGTATAAAATGGATAAATGTATTCATTCTGGAAGCGGGGTAACCTTCCTTACCAGTTCCGCCAGGACCTGTCGAATAGTTTGAGTGCACTGCTTTAGCTCCAGTAGCTCTGTACCTGTAATATAGGAATCCCTGGATACCAGGATCCAGAGGTAGCCGTCAGAACATCAGGGAACCCTCTAAACTTTGTGCCTGTGGTCCCAGCTACTGGGAAGGCTGAGCAAGGAGGATCACTTGAACTCAGGAGTTCAAGGCAAGCCTGGGCAACATAGTGAGACCCTGTCTTCTTCAAAAAAGAAAAAAAGACTGGAAACTTTGCATACAGGTGTGCACATTCTTCCAACTTTCGAAGGAATTCAAAGCCCCTGAAAAATGAAGGGAAATGAAAAATGCGGTAAGATGCAGTGAGAGACTTTGTTCATCTCATTTGATTAGTTTCCCTCAAAATGAACTTTCATTTTTGGCATTGCATAGCCTAGAAAAGGCATCACTGCTGTGTCCCGAGGTGTGAGTGTCTTTGATTTTTACTGGATAAATGCCAGACTTTTCTAAAGAGGGAGCAGTTCACATTCATGCCAGTGTTTGAGGTTCTCCACATCCTCATGGCCACTTTTAATTTTAGCCATTCTGATGCTTGTCCAGTGGTGTCTCATTGTGGTTTTAATTTGTGCTTTTTTATTACAAATGGGATCAAACACCTTTTCATGTTTATTTTTCTCTTTTGTGAAGTGCCTGTTTAAAACTTCTTTGTTTTATAGCTTTTATTTATTTATTTATTTATTTATTTATTTATTTATTTATTTTGAGACAGAGTCTTGCACTGTTACCCAGGCTGGAGTGCAGTGGCGTGATCTTGGCTCACTGTAAGCTCTGCCTCCTGGGTTCACGCCATTCTCCTGCCTCAGCCTCCAGAGTAGCTGGGACTACAGGCAGCCGCCACCATGCCCGGCTCATTTTTTGTATTTTTTTTTTTTTTTTTTTTTGAGACAGAGTCTCACTCTGTCACCCAGGCTGGAGTGCAGTGGCACGATCTCAGTTCACTCAGTTCACCTCCGCCTCCCGGGTTCAAGCAATTCTCCTGCCTCAGCCTATTGAGTAGCTGGGACTACAGGCACGCACCACCATGCCAGGCTAATTTTTTATATTTTTAGTAGAGATGGGGTTTCACCATGTTGCCCAGGCTGTTCTTGAACTCCTGACCTCAGGTGATCCACTCGCCTTGGCCTCCCAAAGTGCTGGGATTATAAGCATGAGCCGCTGCACCTGGCTGTTACATAGCTTTTTTTTATGCAACTTTCGTATATAAACTTTTTTCATCATAAATAGGACTTTTCACTTTAGTACCTAGCTCATCCCAGTAGCTTTTCCAGAACTGCTGTCTTCACCACAAAGCTCCCTACGTTTTCCCAATGCAAACCTGAGTGTTTTTAGCATTTTAACTTTCCTCACAGAGAAGACATCGTGGAGCGGATAAATAGATTTGCAGGCATTTCTGTGTCTTCTCCAGTGCTGTCTGGAATAATTTTCTCCACCACTTCTTTCAAGTTATTTGTCTGCATCTCTCTTTTTTTTTTTTTTTGAGATGGAGTCTCGCTCTGTTGCCCAAGCTGGAGTACAGTGGTGCGATCTTGGCTCACTGCCAGCTCCGCCTCCTGGGTTCACACCATTCTCCTGCCTCAGCCTCCAGAGTAGCTGGGACTACAGGTGCCCGCCACCACACCCGGCTAATTTTTTGTATTTTTAGTAGAGACGGGGTTTCACCATGTTAGCCAGGATGGTCTCGATCTCCTGACCTCGTGATCCGCCCGCCTCGGCCTCCCAAAGTGCTGGGATTATAGGTGTGAGCCACCGCGCCCGGCCTTGGGTCATGATTTCCATCATCTTAGACCTGTTGGTGCTGAGGTTTTCTTTAACCATTGGTAGTCTAGACATCAACATGAGCTTCAATCATGGTCTGCCTTTTTTTTTTTTTTTTTTTTTTTTTTTTTTGAGACGGTTTCTCACTGTCACTCAGGCTAGAATGCAGTAGCGTGATCTCAGCTCACTGCAGCCTCTGCCTCCTGGGTAGCTGGGACTATAGGCATGCACCACCACGCCCAGCTAATTTTTGTATTTTTTGTAGAGACAGGATTTTGCCATGTTGTCCAGGCTGGTCTCGAACTCCTGACCTCAAGTGATCCACCCGGGTGGTCTGCCATTTTTAAATCACACAACACATTTTGTCATGGGTAAGACCCACGCATGGAAGCTAGGCAGTTTTTGCCCTGAACATCTTGAACAGTCAGCTTGAGTTTTCTGCAAGTCAGCAAGCCTTCAAACATAACCCTTGAGGCCATCAGATACAGTTTTGGTTCCTTGAGTCCTATAAACTTTTTAAATCGTTGAAAAAATTGAACTAGAACAAAGCAAACCATTTGTTGTTTTCTTTTTCCCCCCTGAGACAGAGTCTCGCTCTGTCGCCCACGCTGGAGTGCAGTGGCACAGTCTTGGCTCACTGCAACCTCCATCTCCAGGGTGCCAGCGATTCCCATGTCTCAGCCTCCTGAGTAGCTGGGATTACAGGTACACACCACCACGGCCAGCTAATTTTTGTATTTTTAGGAGAGACGGTTTTGCCATGTTGACCAGGCTGGTCTTGAACTCCTGGCCTCAAGTGATATACCTGACTCAGCCTCCCAAAGTGCTAGGATTACAGACGTGAGCCACCATGTCCGGCCTCCTTGGTTGCTTTTTAACAGCAAATAATCTTTTTTTTTTTTCCAAGTTGTGTGCTTTCTCCAAATTTGTTTTTTTTCTTCTTCTTCTTCTTTTTTTTTCCCTTGAAACAGGGTCTCACTTTGTTACCCAGGCTGGAGTGCAGTGGTGCCATCACGGCTCACTGCAGCCTGTACCTTCTGGGCTCAATTGAGCTTCCTGCCTCAGCCTCCTAAGTAGCTGGGACTATAGGGGTATGTCACCATCCCTGGCTGATTTTTTATATTTTTTTGGAGAGACAAGGTCTTACCGTATTGCCCAGGGTGGTCTCAAACTCCTGGGCTCAAGTGATCCTCCCACCTTGGTTTCCCAAAGTGCTGGGATTGTAGTTGTGAGCCACTGAGCCTGACCTTGGGTCACTTTTCATGAGCATTTTCAGTATGCCAGTCTCTGCTCTGGCTAGAAGCAATGCAGTGGTAGAAAAGAGACTGGCAACTCTCTTTAAGGAATCGAGATTCTTTAAGGGGAAGGTTATTGAAAATGTTACTTAGGCTGTTTTTCTTAAATTTCCAAAGATTGTCTCTTAGTAAGGTTGATTTTTCTGGAATCTTTTTTTGGTCTGTTTCTATAATGTATGAATAAGTCACACTATGTGTGTTTTATTCTGTATCCTGCCTGGTTTTCCATTTATGAGACTCTGTAGAAAGGATGCTTGATAAAGGCTTTTCTGGAAGGAAGGAAGGAAGAGGGAGGGAGGGAGGGAAGGAGGGAGGGACAGAACCCTGTAGATCTCTGGGTGTAAAGGACACAGGAGGCACACTGTTGGAATAAGTGAGCCAGCCCAATTCCATAGAAAGAAAGAAGAGCTCAGAAAAGCCCAAACATCATATCCAGGAATTAGCCAAGATGGGTTGGCTACTCAACTACAATGTGATTGTCCGCACCAGTCTTCCCGACTTTCCTGCCAGTGCCGCAAGTAACAGGCATCAGTAACTGCATGATGTGTGTAGCTGTTGGACATTGAGTAGCCTTTTGTGTGCACAGTGCTTGGAGATGGCTGTTTTTCCAGTGGAGCAATGTGCAGTGCTGTGAGCTGTAAAGTTGTCTAAAGCAAGTGTGTCTTGGTGCCCTTGGCTGGGTGAACATTCCTAGAAATGCCAGGGGCCAGCCTGAGTGCACGGGACCCAGTGATTCCTATACTTGCTTCTTTCATGCAGAGGTGTTCTGAGGCTCACCTGTGCTTTTAGAAGCACAAAGGGGCTTCGAGTGACCAATCAGATGTGCCTGCTGCAGGTCCACTCGTCTCTAAATGCTCTGACCTATGGACTGTTGTCCATAGTTGAGAAGAAGCTAGAGTAAAATAAAATGTATGAGTGAGTGAATCTTTTTCTTTTTTTTTTTCTTTTCTCTTTTTGAGACAGGGTGTTGCTCTGTTGCCCAGGCTGGAAGGCAGGGGCCCGAGCTCAGCTCACTGTAGCCTCAACCTCCCAGGTTGAAGAGATCCTCCTGCCTCAGCCCCAGGAGTACTGGGACTACAGGTACACACTGCCATGCCCAGCTTATTCTTTGTATTGACGGGATCTCGCCGTGTTGCCCAGGATGGTCTCGACCTCCTGAGCTCAAGTGATTCATCCCGCCTTGGCCTCCCAGGGTGCTGGGATTGCAGATATGGGACACCATGCCCAGCCGAGGAAGTGTGAATTTCTGATCTTGGGCTAGCTTACCACAGTACTAATTAAACTATTCAGTTCAGGGGATTAGTTAATTGTTGTTATTTCAGTTTTGGTTTTTCACTTATCTTAAAAGCCTCTCAAATAGATTAGAGGCCCCAGAGCTTGTGTTACACCTCTATCCATCTCTCAACTCATCTGGTAGGCATTTATGAAGCGCTGGTACTCTTCCCTCTGCACCTATCTTCTGTGCTGGGCAAGTACTGTGCCACCTGCAGGGCCATAGCTGTGATTTAGGTTCATTACAGAGTTCTTGAGATGTCTGCAGGGATTCTGGAATTTGATGTGACTCGGCCACTGGGTGGAGGGAACACCAGTAATCAATACTGTATTGTCCACCAGCTGAGAGGCCAGGCTGTGGTCGTTGGTTTTGTTTTTTTGTTTGTTTGGTTTTTGTTTTGTTTTGTTTTGTTTTTTGTTTTTGTTTTGTTTTGTTTTTGAGACGGAATTTCACTCTTGTTGCCCAGGCTGGAGTGCAGTGGTGCAATCTCGGCTCACCACAACCTCCACCTCCCAGGTTCAAGTGAGTCTCCTGCCTCAGCCTCCTGAGTAGCTGGGATTACAGACATGAGCCACCACATGCCCGGCTAATTTTGTGTTTTTAGTAGAGGCGGGGTTTCTCCATGTTGGTCAGGCTGGTCTCAAACTCCCGACCTCGGGTGATCTGCCCGCCTCTGCCTCCCAGAGTGCTGGGATTACAGGCATGATCCACTGCCCCAGGCCTTTTTTTTTTTTTTTTTTTTTTTTTAATTAAAGACAGTTTCACTATTGTCGCCTAGGCTGGAGTACAATGGATCTCAGCTCACTGCAGCCTCCACCTCCCGGGCTCAAGTGATTCTCCTGCCTCAGCATCCCAAGTAGCTGGGATTACAGGTGCCCACCACCACACCCGGCTAATTTTTGTAGTTTTAGTAGAGACAGGGTTTCACCATGTTGGCCAGGCTGGTCTCAAACTCCCGACCTCAGGTTTTCTGCCCGCCTCTGCCTCCCAAAATGCTGGGATTGCAGGCATGAGCCACCGGGCCTGTGCTTTTCTTTTTTTCTTTTTGAGACAGTTTCGCTATTGTTGTCTAGGCTGGAGTGCAATGGCGTGACCTCGGCTCACTGCCCCCTCCACCTCCTGGGTTCAAGTGATTCTCCTGCTTCAGCCTCCCAAGTAGTTGGGACTACAGCCACGCGCCACCACACCCAGCTAATTTTTGTAGTTTTAGTAGAGACAGGGTTTCACCATGTTGGTCAGGCTGGTCTCGAACTCCTGACCTCGAGTGATCCGCCCATCTCGGCCTCCCAAAGTGCTGAGATTCCAGGTGTGAGCCACCGCGCCCAGCCTGTGGTGTTGTTCTTATACTGAAGACTCATCTGGAAGCTGTTTTTCTCTCATTAAAAGCGGGGACAGTCAGAATTGTTACCAGTGAGGAAACACTCTGGCGACCCTGTTCTTATGCACCCCAGTAGTTGTGTGTGTATCACCTGCTGCTTGCCAGCAGCCCCTGGGCTCAGTGCTCAGGACAGGCCTCAGTTTGGTACCATCCACAGGCAAGCTGGGTATGACTCACAAGAGACCATAAAGACTCAGTACGCGCACTGTCATGGCTGGGGCACTGGGAGTGTCATACCCTTTCCAGGTGTCCACACCTAATTAGTGGGTCATCTTGGCAGAGGGTGGGGGCATGTTGGAGCTGTAGAAAGCTGGGGTCATTTCTAGCCACAGAAGAATTTGCTTTTGCTCCCAGCTAAACCCAAGGCTTTCCCCAAGGGCCAGCACTGTTACCAGAGCCTCCTTTTCTAGATTTCATGCGGACAGTACATTGTGCCGGCCCTGGTAAGTTTGGTCCTGATGGTGAGGTTGACTGATTGTCCCCAGATTTCCCTTTTCACCGTCTGCAGTCTCCTCTAAGAGGAAAGGGGAGCACGTTTCAGTGGCTCCACGTATGTGGATTATATTCTCATCCTCAAATCAAAGACCTTTATACTCAGTCCTGCATTCTTCCTGCATGGCCGTTTGTGTATGTCAGGATGCCATTTGGGAAACAAAATCCACTCTAATTATTCCTAAGCTTAGTGGATTTTAACATGGAAGGAGAAGCCTAAATCAGCAGTGTCTGGGCTGGGTCTCCAGGAATAACTCTTGACCTCGAAGCATTGACCCACCTAGGGAGCTGCTGTGTCTGCTCCATGAAGAAGGTCTGGAGGCGGCATCCACCCCCTGCACTCATATCTTTGGGTTCGTGTAGACAGTACTGCAGACCCTTTCTAGGGAGGAGAGGCCTGGGCTCAAGACATAGCAGCCTCTGCCAGAAGTGTTTCTTCAGGATGCAGCTGTGCCTGCCAGTGCCAACACCCTCAGCAGCTCAAATCGGCCTCCATCCCCTGCCCTGCCAGTAGCATGAGTGTGTCTGTTTGAGGGAACTCGGTTCACGTCTAGGATCCTGGCTGCACGGGAGTCAGAGTAGAGGATTAGAGCTTCTTGTCACTGTAGGGCAGGATGTCCTGCCCAGGGGACAGGCAGGGTGAGGTGAGCAGTAGGGCTTTGGTGGTGAGAACTTTCCTGAAACAGCCCCTCCTACGTGCTCAGCAAGAGGGAAAGGGCGTTCCACTGGCCCCCCTAGATGGGTAAGAGCACTTGGCCAGAAGGTGGGAGGAACCACGTTTGAAACTGTTGGAGCAGAAATTGTCTAGATGTAAGTTCTGAGCTGGCAGGTGAGAGGCTTGTCAGGTTCTTAGGCCCCCAGGACAGAGAATTGGATTGTGTTCAATCCTTGGTGTGTGTCACACGCATTGGTCATGCATAGCCTGCTTTTCTCTGTTAGTTACTTGTAACAACCTACTGAGCAATGCAAATCCTCCTCCACATGAAGGCTCCACCTTGGCAGTGGCCTACATTGGTCGCGTCAGCTTGAGAGAGCATCATGCCCCTAGTGCTGTCTAAATGTTCACTGCCTCACGTAACCCTCACAACAGCACAGTCAGATGTGGGCTCTGGTGACTCTGCTTCAGAAGAGAAAGCTGCAGCCCCCAGATAGTAAGTAAGGTCCCCAGGTCTTGCAGTCAGCACATGGTGTGGCTGTGGCAGCCCCCAGATAGTAAGGAAGGTCCCCAGGTCTTGCAGTCAGCACATGGTGTGGCTGTGGCAGCCCCCAGATAGTAAGGAAGGTCCCCAGGTCTTGCAGTCAGCACATGGTGTGGCTGTGGCAGCCCCCAGATAGTAAGGAAGGTCCCCAGGTCTTGCAGTCAGCACATGGTGTGGCTGTGGCAGCCCCCAGATAGTAAGGAAGGTCCCCAGGTCTTGCAGTCAGCACATGGTGTGGCTGTGGCAGCCCCCAGATAGTAAGGAAGGTCCCCAGGTCTTGCAGTCAGCACATGGTGTGGCTGTGGCAGCCCCCAGATAGTAAGGAAGGTCCCCAGGTCTTGCAGTCAGCACATGGTGTGGCTGTGGCAGCCCCCAGATAGTAAGGAAGGTCCCCAGGTCTTGCAGTCAGCACATGGTGTGGCTGTGGCTGTGTTCACGCTCCAGGAGACTCCACTAAACACCCAGCAGGGAGAGACACAGCACATCAGCTGGGAGGTGGAGTGACTTGGGAAGTGGGCTTGACTGACTGGGAGAGGTGCACAGATCCTCTGTGGGTGGGAGGAGGGTGGGGCCTCTGCTGCTCACCAGAGGGTTCCACAGAGGGTGTCACACGTCAGAAAAAAGAAATGGCTTCGTTTATCACTTATATCAAACTGATTGCTTCTTTCTCTTTTGTTTTTCTCCTTCTGTTTACAAGATTGTTGACGGTGAGTGGTTTCGTTTCCTTTTTCACTGGGTTTGGAGAGGAAACTGGCATAGGTGAGAGCCGCGGTGCTGCAGGTCTTGCCAGACCATCCCCAAGGGCTTGGAGCGCTCCAAGCAGGAAGATGCCTTCGCAGATGCTGTGGTCAGACCCACACAGCCAGTCCCCCTTGTGCCTGCTGAAGAAACTTCACCACTATCATTGAGCACTGAGCTATAGTCCTTTCTTGTGGCCTACCAGATTTTGGAGAAGGCTGGTAGCTCACAGCAGGGGTTGGGGGGTTTCTCCTGGGAAGATAAGATAGTGGCCTCCAGAGCTGGGCAGAACCTTCTGGGTTATAGCTGAGCATGGCAGCAGTTTGTCTCTGGGGGTCCCAGGCAGGGAAGGAAGAGGGTCTTAAGAGGCGTCAGGATGGGAGTGGTGAGGATGGTAAGAGTAGAGAGCCTCCAACCTGAAAATGTGACCTCTTACCTTAGAAAGAAGAAGACCAAGGAGGAATGCTAGGAGGCTGCCCCAGGACCATGCTGACAGCTGTGTGGTGAGCAGTGACGATGAGGAGTTGTCCAGGGACAGAGACGTATATGTGACTACCCATACTCCCAGAAACGCCAGGGATGAGGGCGCTACAGGCCTCAGGTACCAACGTGCCCCCAGCTCTGCTGCCGCCATGCTAGGATGTGGGGCCAGGGCATGGGAATACTTTTCAGCAAATCTGTGAGCCCTTGGCCCTGGAAGGGCTTGCCCAAGCCTCTACCCAGCATCTGGATACAGTTGGAACTGGGTCCAGAACTGAGTCCAGCTATTCCCACTGTAACCAGAGGATGCCAAGCGCTGACACAGTGTGTGCAGACAGTCCCAGTGGCCCCAGACAGGGATCCTGGGGCTGGTAGGGGCCTGGGGGAGGGCAGGGTGACTCAGGTTGTGTGCACCTTCTCATGTTCACCCTCCCACATGCCCTTGGGGCAGTTGGCTTTCCTGAAAGTCTCTCGGATGCCCGCGCTAAGGCAGAGTCAGGAGGCCAGGGACGGGACTCTTGTAGGGGATAGGGGCCACTCACGTGACAGGGTATAATAAAATGTTTGCGTTGACTGAGAAACTAACGTGAAGCACTGTGCTCTTAGGCCCTCAGGTACTGTCAGTTGTCCCATCTGCATGGACGGATACTCAGAGGTAAGTAAACCAAGCTGTATCTTCCAGGCTTCTGGTTTCTAAACTTCACTGAAAGAATTGGATGAGACAGGATCTTCCCCCTCGGTGGGATTGGACACCCCTACTCACAGTCATGCCTGGGCCGTCACTTATTGCAGATCTGCCTGTGAGGGGAGAATGTGCCAGTTTCTCCTTGGACCCTACAACTTTCACCTTCAGCCCCTATACTCCTGTATGCCCTGAGCTTCCGGGTGCAAATGCGTCCTCCTTTTTTGTGCCCCATCCTGGCTCTAACTGAAAGCTGCTAGTGTTTACTGGGGTCCCTCATAACCCTCTTGGGCTGTCACACTGTTGAGATGCCATGGCCCCTGCCTCCTGCTCTCCAGCTGAGAGAGACCACAGCAGACACAGTTAGCTCTCCAGACCCCTCCCTGTTGTAGCCTGGCCCTTGCTTTCCTTTAATTAGTCATCTTAGGCATAGGTGGGTGGGATTCTCTGGCCCCATGGCTGCTCTGGGACAAGGGCAAACTCGGAGGCTCTTCTTTTTAATGCCTTCTAGATCGTGCAGAATGGACGTCTCATCGTTTCCACAGAATGCGGCCATGTCTTCTGTAGCCAGTGCCTCCGTGATTCCCTGAAGAATGCTAATACTTGCCCAACTTGTAGGAAAAAGATCAACCACAAACGGTACCACCCCATTTATATATGAAGTATTCAGAGCCCCCCAGGAGAGACGGATGGACAGACAGACAGCCAGGTTCTCCAGTGGTATCTGCCTCCATTTTCCTGAGATCAAAAAGACTGTTTCGAAACCAACATCTGATATGTAAACTGCTCTTTTGTTTCCAACCCCTTCCTTTTGTTATCTCCAGTTTGATGCTATGGCGCTGGACCCAGGGCCCTCCCAGGCCATCTCTGTTCCTCTGGGGTGGTCCAGTTCTAGAGTGGGAGAAAGGGAGTCAGGCGCATTGGGAATCGTGGTTCCAGTCTGGTTGCAGAATCTGCACATTTGCCAAGAAATTTTCCCTGTTTGGAAAGTTTGCCCCAGCTTTCCCGGGCACACCACCTTTTGTCCCAAGTGTCTGCCGGTCGACCAATCTGCCTGCCACACATTGACCAAGCCAGACCCGGTTCACCCAGCTCGAGGATCCCAGGTTGAAGAGTGGCCCCTTGAGGCCCTGGAAAGACCAATCACTGGACTTCTTCCCTTGAGAGTCAGAGGTCACCCGTGATTCTGCCTGCACCTTATCATTGATCTGCAGTGATTTCTGCAAATCAAGAGAAACTCTGCAGGGCACTCCCCTGTTTCCTAAGAACGAAAAAGTGCAATAAAGGCCATTCGTTACCTACTTTTCAGCAGCCCACAAGATGTAGCACTATTAGTGTCCCCCTCAGAGGCTTAATGTTGCCTGTGGAGCAGTGCCCATCCCAGCCCGTTTCTGCCCACCAGTTGTTCTCAGGAACCTTACCCATGCTCCAGCGTCCTTCACCTGGCACAGGACATGCAAGATAAATAGGGCAGGCACGTGTTTGGGTGTCCTCTCTTTTCTGATAAAATCCATCCCGTGTTTGCCACACGCCCTCCAGTCCTCAGTTCCCACTGCCTAACGTCTGCCCCCGTGTAGATACTGAGAGGTGGTGGCAGTAATTGTGGCCTTATCAGCCGCTCAGTTCCAGGCTTTTGCCCAGGTCACTGTTGCCCCATGTTCGGAGAACCTGGCCCACCTGTCTTGGCTTTCTCATCCTTCCCAACCCAGTGCCGTTTATTTCAGAAGCTTCCTGGCCACTGGGCTTGGATGCTTCGGGCTTCTGACTGCTCCATAGGTTTTGACTGGTGAAACAGGGGCCCAGATGACAACCTCTCCTTCGCTCCACAGGTACGCGGGAGCCTCAGGTTCTCTCAGGGGCAGCAAAGTGGCCCAAGCTGCCCCTGACAGCACAGGGCCTGGGGGGTGGCTAACGAGAGAGGCCTTACAGTGCCGGCATGCCTCCTCTTCCACTGTCGTCCTTCCTCAGAGGGCCTCACGCCAAACAAACGGCCTTTTCGTGTGAAACATCTTCAGGGCGGGAAAGGGGCCACTTCTGGCTTTGTTAGCAATAACTGACCTTCAGTTTACCCTTCTGAAGGAGCAGGGACTCAGCACAGAATTCACTTTAGACGGGGCTGAAGGAGTGTCCCTCCTCTATGTGAAAAGAAAATTGTTTTATTCTTCATTCTGACTTTTTAACTGTTTGGCTCACTTCCAGTTAGTTTGAATGAAAATAATAATTTTCTACTTGGAGTTGAAGAGGGCAGAATCCGCAGCTCTCATCATTGTGATGTGTAGCATGTCTGCCCTCTGACTGGACATCATTGCCATTAACTTTCTTCTGGGCATCACGGCAATGTCACGATGCCCAGACTTGGAGCAAGGCAACCTTGGAGTCAGTCCACTCATAAAATATGGTAACACCCATTTTAAAATTTAAGTTTTGTCCTTAAAGACAACTTCAGTGGTTAATTATAAAAGTTGTGTTACTTCGTCCTAAATTAAATTGATAGAAAGATTTAAAAATGTGTTTTGTTTCTACTATTCAGAAACTGCGAACTAGGGAAAGGTTGGTATGAAGAAATGTCTTTCCTTTTTTCAATGTACATAGTTCAACTCTTTCTTTGTTACATTTAAACTATATCCATGGATATCAGTCTGCTTTGGACTCCTCTGCTAGTGTTACAGATGGAAATAAAACCATTAATTTGAACCAAATATCTTTTACACATTCATTTGCTCTTTGGAATCAATTTCCCCCCTTTTTGCCAAGGTGCGGGGTTCTTATCTGCCTCACGTTGAGTGTATTTTGCATTGGTGTGTGTTCAGGAAGTTTCCATGTCCTAAATCCAGCAAGCATGTGAGAGGCTGTTCTTGGAGCACAGCCACAAGCCCAAGCCCTGGAGTCCCTAAGAGAGCAGAGTCTACTCTGAGAGGCAAGGTTGACCAAGGAGCTGTCTGCTCAGCTCGGCCAGTCTCTCAGAGGTGCTGGGGGTGCTGCTCTGAGTGGGATGGACTGAGATTGCCCTGGAAACCTTGCACTGCAGCACCCCCCTTTGCCCCTGACCACCTAGATACAAAATTTGCCCTCTGAGTGGGAGTCAGCACTGGGAGTGCATGGATATGCCAGCCACTGCCACAGGCGAGCAGTGCCAGCAAAGCCACAAGGAGGGAATGGGCTTGGCAGTGTGGCCAAGCTCTCCCTTTGCCTCTGCCCTCTGTACCTATCCAGCTGTCCCCAGGGACTAGAAAGGCTAACATGCTGGCTGCCTGGGTCCCAAAGGCCTACCATCCAGTGCAGTTTGCTTACCATGCTCCTGGCACTGCACTTTTGGCTCTGTGGGCAGTGAGACAGACATCATGGAACATGTTTACAGAGGAGACAGTCCCCCAGGCCACTGGAAAATTGAAACTGATGAGGGTGGGGTACGGGAAACCAGGAGATCCAGCAGGAAGAAGTTGAAGCTGTCCAGAAAGCTCTCTCTGAATAAGGGCTGCTAAGTTGCCATCTTCAAGGTCCAGAAAGCTCTCTAGGGAAAGAGGAAAGAATTCCAGAGACCCCAGGCCAGGCCTGTGAAAGTTATGAGAAAGAGCTTCTTGCTGGCATACAGTAGGGTCTGCAGGCTCCCCGATACCTAAAGGCATTGGACCAGACACTTCTGGTGGCTACCCAGGGCCTGGCAGTTCTTTACCCCAGGAGCAAGCCTAGGGGAGGCAGGGAGCAGTGTATCCCTAAGACTGGTACTGCTGGAGTGGGTCTGGTCCTGGAAAGGAGGGAGCCCCCAAGGCTGGCTATAGAAACTCAAAAGATGTCTGTATTAACTTTTTCGGTGGGGGGGTGGTTTTGTTTTGTTTTGGCAGCATAGAAACAATTGATTCTCTATATTGTGTATCCAGAATCCTTGCTATTTTTTTTTTTTTCCTAAGACGGAGTCTGGCTCTGTCGCCCAGGCTGGAGTGCAGTGGCTCGATCTCAGCTCACTGCAACCTCCGCCTCCCAGGTTCAAGCGATTCTCCTGCCTCAGCCACCCAACCAGCTGGGATTACAGGGACGTGCCACCATGTCCAGCTAATTTTTGTAGTTTTCGTAGATACGGGCTTTCACCATGTTGGCCAGGCTGGTCTCAAACTCCTGATCTCAAGTGATCCGCCCGCCTCGGCCTCCCAAAGTGTTGGGATTACAGGCGTGAGTCACCACTCCCAGCCCCAACTCTATTTTTTTTTTCTTTTTTCTTTTTTTCTATTTTTGTAGAGACGGGGGTCTCATCACGTTGCCCATCCTGGTCTTTAACTCCTCGCCTCAGGCGATACTCCTACCTCAGCCTCCCAAAGGTGCTGGAATTAAAAGTGTGCGCCACCGCGCCCAGCCTAGCCCAGTACATTATTATTACACACAAATGGTGTTTGTGTTTTAGTGTTTCATCAAGAAAGATGTTTGCTGTAGGTTCTAGTTAGATAACTGTCAGATGAGGGAGGTTCATTTTCCTACCATGAGATAAGCATTTATCTTTTTTTTTTTTTTTTTGAGACGGAGTTTCACTCATCGCCCAGGCTGGAGTGCAGTGGTGCAATCTCTGCTCACTGCAGTCTCCGCCTCCTGGGTTCAAGCAATTCTCCAGCCTCAGCCTCCCGAGTAGCTGGGATTACAGGCATGCACCACCATGCCCGGCTAATTTTTGTATTTTTAGTAGAAACGGGATTTTACCATGTTGGCCAGGCTGCCCTCAAACTCCTGACCTCAGGTGATCCGCCTGCCTCGGCCTCCTCAAAAGTGCTGGGATTACAGGCATGAGCCATGACACCTAGTGGCATTTGTCTTCAATTTCTGTTTTTTGTTTTTGTTTTTTTTTAACGAGACAGATTCTTGCTCTGTTGCCAAGGCTGGAGTGCAGTGGCACAATCTCGGCTTACTGCAACCTCCACCTCGGGGTTCAAGCGATTCTCCTGCCTCAGCCTCCTGAGTAGCTAGGCATGCACCAGCACGCCTGGCTAGTTTTTGTATTTTTAGTAGAGACAGGGTTTCTCTATTTTTGTTTTTGGTCACAAGTGAATGTTCAATCTTACCAGTCCTTTTTCTGCTTCTATTGAGACAAGATTTGTTTGCCTCTCTAATCAGTTAATGTATTGGGTAACATAGTTATATGTTGTTTAACTACAGGGATATGTTCTTTTTTTTTTTTTTTTTTTTTTTTTTTTTTTTTTTTTCCAGAGACAGATTTTCACTCTGTCACCCAGGCTGGAATGCAGTGGCATGATCTCAGCTCACTGCAGCCTTCACCTCCCACATACAAGCGATTCTCCTGCCTCAGCCTCCAGAGTATAGCTAGGATTACAGGTGTGCACCACCATGCCCAGCTAATTTTTTCTGTTTCTAGTAGAGACAGAGTTTCACCATGTTGGCCAGGCTGGTCTCGAACTCCTGACTGCAAGTGATCCACCCACCTCAGCCTGCCAAAGTGCTGGGATTACAAGCGTGAGCCACTGCGCCCCACCTTACAGGGATATGTTCTGAGAAATGTGTTGTTAAGCTGGGCTCTGTGGCTCACGCCTGTAATCCCAGCACTTGGGGAGGCCGAGGTGGGTGGATCACGAGGTCAGGAGTTCAAGACCAGCCTGGCCAAGATGGTGAAACCCGTCTCTACTAAAAATACAAAAGTAGCTGGGTACGGTGGCAGGCGCCTGTAATCCCAGCTACTTGGGAGGCTGAGGCAGGAGAATCTGTTGAACCTGGGCAGCAGAGGTTGCAGTGAGGCAATATTGCGCCACTGCACTCCAGCCTGAGTGATAGAGTGAGACTCCATCTCAAAAAAAAAAAAAAAAAGACAAAAAGAAATGTATTGTTAGGCAATTCTGCTGTTGTATGAACATTGTACAGTGTAATGTGTAATTAAACCTAGATTGCAGAGCCTACTACACATCTAGGCTATGTGATATAGCCTACTGCTCTGGGCTACAAACCTGTACATGTTACTGTACTGAATACTGAAGGCAGTTGTAACACGATGGTAAGTATTTGTGTATCTAAACATAGAAAAGGTACAGAAAAGGCAGGGCGTGGTGGCTCATGCCTGTATTCCCAGCACTTTGGGAGGCCAAGGCAGGCAGATCACCTGAGGTCAGGAGTTCGAGACCAGCCTGACCAACATGGAGAAACCCCATCTCTACTAAAAATACAAAATTAGCCAGGCGTGGCGGCACATGCCTGTAATCCCAGCTACTCAGGAGGTTGAGGCAGGAGAATCGCTTGAATCTAGGAGGCAGAGGTTGCAGTGAGCCGAAATCATGCCATTGCACTCCAGCCTGGGCAACAGAGACTCCATCTAAACAAAAAAAGAGAAAAAATGGAGGCTGAGTGCAGGGGCTCACACCTGTAGTCCCAACACTTTGAGAGGCAGATGTGGGAGGATGGCTTGAGCTCAGGAGTTCAAGACCAGCCTGAGCCACATAGTGAGACCCTGTCTCTATTATTATTATTATTATTATTTTTTTTTTTTTGAGATGGAGTCTCGCTCTGTTGCCCAGGCTGGAGTGCAGTGGGCGATCTTGGCTTACTGCAAGCTCCACCTCCCAGGTTCACGCCATTCTCCTGCCTCAGCCTCCCAAATAGCTGGGACTACAGGCGCCCGCCACCACACCTGGCTAATTTTTTGTATTTTTAGTAGAGACGGGGTTTCACCATGTTAGCCAGGATGGTCTCGATCTTCCGACCTCGTGAGCCGCCTGTCTCGGCCTCCCAAAGTGCTGGGATTACAGGCGTGAGCCACTGCGCCCAGCCATGTCTCTATTATTTTTAAAAAATAACAATTAAAAACAAAAACCGTGTACATTAGCCTAAGTCTACACAGGGTCGGGGTCATCATCATCACTGTTTTCCACCTCTTCCTCTTGTCCCACCAGAAGGTCTGTAGGGCCGATAACACGTGGAGCTCTCATCTGCGGTGACGGTGCCTCTGGAATACCTCCTGAAGAACCTGTGAGACTGTTTTGCAATTGACTTCTTTTTTTTTTTTTTTTTTTTTTTTTTGGAACAGCATCTTGCTTTGTCACCTGTGTTGGAGTGTGGTGGCACAATCATGGTTCATTGTCATTGCAGCTTTGACCTCCCGGGCTCAAGTGATCCTCCCACCCCAGCCTCTCAAGTAGCTGGGACTATAGGCACCAGGCCTAGCTAATTTTGTTTATATTTTACAGAGGCAAGGTCTCACTGTGTTGCCCACGCTGGTCTCAAAGCAATCCTCCTGTCTTGGCCTCCCCAAAGTGCTGAAACACAGGTGTGAGCCACTGTGCCAAGCCTAACCTTTTTTTTTTTTCTTTTTTTTTTTTTTTTTAATAATAGAAGGGCCGGGTGCAGTGGCTCACGCCTGTAATCCCAGCACTTTCGGAGGCCGAGGCACGTGGATCACCTGAAGTCAGGAGTTTGAGACCTGCCTGGCCAACATGGTGAAAACCCATCTCTACTGAAAATACAAAAATTAGCCAGGTGTGGTGGTGCACACCTGTAATCCCAGCTACTCGGGAGGCTGAGGCAGGAGAATAGGAGAATAGCTTGAACCCGGGAGGCAGGGGTTGCAATGAGCCAAGATCACACCACTGCACTCCAGCCTGGGCGACAAGAGCAAAACCCCATCTCAAAAAAAAAAAAAAAAAAAATAATAATAATAATAATAATAATAATAGAGTACAATCTTAAAATATAATGACTAAGCCAGTAACATAGTCACTTATTAAGTATGTACTGCACATAAATTATATGTGCTATAACTTTATACAACTGGTGGCACCGCATGTAACAATGTACTACAACATGACAGCTAAGCTGTCACTAGGCAATAGGCATTTTTCAGCTCCATTATACTCAACGGGACCACCATTGTGTATGTGGTCTGCTGACTAAGGTCTACAGCAGCACATGACTGTATTTGATTTTCTAGCAGACACTATACTTGCATTTCTCTGATAACTTCACCCTATTCATGATACTTTGTCCTTCTATATGTTTGTTTGTTTGTTTTTGTTTTGTTTGTTTGTTTTTTTTGAGATGGAGTAGCTGGGATTACAAGCACCCGCCACCATGCCCGGCTAATTTTTGTATTTTCAGTAGAAACGGGGTTTCACCATGTTGGCCAGGCTACTCTTGAACTCCTGACCTCAGATGATCTGCTGTCCTTGGCCTCCCAAAGTGCTGGGCTTACAGGCGTGAGCCACCATGCCTGGTCACTACTGTACATTTCAAGACCCCCAGTGGATGCCTGAAACCTCAGTACCAAATTGTATATATATTGGTTTTTTCTTATACGTATGTACTTACACATGATAAAGTTTAATTTACAAATTAGGCACAGTAAGAGGTTAGCAACTAATAAAATATTGTATATGTAGTACTTTTTTTTTTTTTTTGAGATGGAGTCTTGCTCTGTCACCCAGGCTGGAGTGCAGTGGCATGATCTCTGCTCACTGCAAACTCCGCCTCCTGGGTTCCAGCAATTCTCCTGTCTCAGCCTCCTGAGTAGCTGGGATTACAGGCGTGCACCACCGTGCCCGGCTAATTTTTGTATTTATAGTAGAGATAGGGTTCACCATGTTGGTCAGGCTGGTCTCGAACCCCTGACCTCGTGATCCACCTGCCTCGGCCTCCCAAAGTGCTAGGATTACAGGCGTGAGTCACTGTGCCCAGCGCAGTACTTTCTTTTCCAGTGTTTTGTGTGTGTTTTGTAGAGACAGGGTCTCACTATGTTGCCCAGGCTGGTATTGAGCTCCTGGCCTCCAGCAATCCTCCTGAATATGGTCTGAAAATATTTCATTGTAGTGTGTGCTATGAGTAACTGTGTTCTCAAAGCAAAAACATAGAAAGCGGTGTACTGCTGTATTATATTTTAAGATTCATTAATGTTTGTAGTTCATTTTTCTCACTGTATATTATTTTATTAGATGGATATGCTTCAATTTATCCACTATTTGGGTCATTTAAGTTTTGGGGCTAGGCCGGGCGCGGTGGCTCACGCCTGTAATCCCAGCACTTTGGGAGGCCGAGGCGGGTGGATCATGAGGTCAGGAGATCGAGACCATCCTGGCTAACAAGGTGAAACCCCGTCTCTACTAAAAATACAAAAAATTAGCCGGGCGCGGTGGCGGGCGCCTGTAGTCCCAGCTACTTGGGAGGCTGAGGCAGGAGAATGGCGTGAACCCGGGAAGCGGAGCTTGCAGTGAGCCGAGATTGCGCCACTGCAGTCCGCAGTCCGGCCTGGGCGACAGAGCGAGACTCCGTCTCAAAAAAAAAAAAAAAAAAAAAGTTTTGGGGCTAATAGCCAAAAAATGAGCGTTCTGTGTGTCTCTTTTGGTGCAGTTTTGCTCGCATATCTAATGGATATATACTTAAAAGTGAAATTACTGGACTATAGAGTACGAACATACTGAAAAGCTCACAAATATATGGAAATTAAATAGAACACTTAACCAATGGGTCAAAGAAGAAATCACAAGAGAAATTAGAAAATACCTTGAAAAGGGTGAAAATAAAAAGAAAACATACCAAAATTTATGCAGCAGAAGCTCTGCTCAGGGGAATATTTGTAGATATAAACAACTACATTAAAACATCTCAGCCAGGCGCGGTGGCTCACGCCTGTAATCCCAGCACTTTGGGAGGCCAAGGCGGGCAGATCACGAGGTCAGGAGATCGAGACCATCCTGGCTAACATGGTGAAACCCCGTCTCTACTAAAAATACAAAAAAGTTAGCCGGGCATGGTGGTGAGCGCCTGTAGTCCCAGCTACTCCGGAGGCTGAGGCAGGAGAATGGCGTGAACCCAGGAGGTGGAGCTTGCAGTGAGCCTAGGTCGTGCCACTGCACTCCAGCTTGGGTGACAGAGCGAGACTCCGTCTCAAAAAAAAAAACTCAAACCAATACATAATTGTATACCTTAAGAAACAAACAAACAAAAAACTAAATAAAAAGTTAGCAGAAGGAAGGCCATAATAAAGATTAGAGTCAAGATAGGCCCGGCGCGGTGGCTCACACCTGTAATCCCAGCGTTTTGAGAGGCGGAGGCAGGTGGATCACCTGAGGTCAGGAGTTCAAGACCAGTGTGGCCAATATGGTGAAACCCCATCTCTACTAAAACTACAGAAATTAGCTGGGCGTGGTGATGCACACCTGTAATCCTAGCTACTAGGGAGGCTGAAGCATGAGAATCGCTTGAACCCGGGAGGTGGAGGTTGCAGTGACCCAAGATCACACCATTGCACTGTAGCCTGGGCAACAGAGTGAGACTCCATCTCTAAATACATAAATTGGCTGGGCGTGGTGGCTCACGCCTGTAATCCCAGCACTTTGGGAGGCCAAGGTGGGCAGATCACCTGAGGTCAGGATTTTGAGACCAGCCTGGCCAACATGGTGAAACCCCGTCTCTACTAAAAATACAAAAATTAGCTGGGCATGGTGGTGGGTGCCTGTAAGCCCAGCTACTTGGGAGACTGAGGCAGAAGAATCGCTTGAACCTGGGAGGTGGAGGTTGCAGTGAGCCAAGATTGCACCATTGCACTCCAGCTTGGGTGACAGAGTGAGACTCCATCTCAAAAAAAATAGATAAAGAAACCGGGCGGCATGGTGGCTCACGCCTGTAATCCCAGCACTTTGGGGGGCCGAGGCAGGCAGATCATCTGAGGTCGGGAGTTCAAGACCAGCTCTTGACCAACATGGAGAAACCCCATCTCTACTAAAAATACAAAATTAGCCAGGCGTGGTGGTACATGCCTGTAATCCCAGCTACTCAGGAAGGCTGAGGTGGGAGAATCACTTGAACCCGGGAGGCAGAGGTTGCGGTGAGCTGAGATCCCGCCACTGCACTCCAGCCTGGGCAACTAGAGCAAAACTCGGTCTCAAATAAATAAATAAAAGAAAAAATTAAAAAGTTAAGGATGGCTGGGCACGGTAGCTCACGCTTGTGATCCCAGCACTTTGGGAGGCCAAAGCAGGTGGATCACAAGATCAGGAGACCCAGATCATCCAAGTAACACAGTGAAACACCATCTGTACTAAAAATACAAAAAATTAGCTGGGCGTGGTGGCGGGCGCCTGTAGTCCCAGCTACTTGGGAGGGTGAGGCAGGAGACTCGCTTGAACCTGGGAGGCAGAGGTTGCAGTGAGCCGAGACTGCAGCACTGCACTCCCGCCTGGCAACAGAGCGAGACTTCGTCTCAAAAAAAAAAAAAAAAAAAGTTAAGGATAGGACATGACTACCGACTTTACAGAAGTAAGGATTATCACACACTACTGTGAGCAACTGTTTGCCAAAAAATGGGATAATATAGATGAATTCCTAGAAACACACTACCAAAACTGATTCATAAAGAAACAGAATTAAATAGTCCTGCAGCAAGTGAAACTGCAACAATCGAAAACTTCCCAACAAAGAAAAGCCCAGGACCAGATGACTTCACTGGTGAATTATTTTTTATTTATTTTTTTAATTTTTTGAGATGGAGTCTCACTCTGTCCCCCAGGCTGGAGTGCAGTGGTGCAATCTCAGCTCATTGCAAGCTCCGCCTCCCGGGTTCAAGCGATTCTACTGCCTCAGCCTCCCAAGTAGCTGGGACTACAGGTGCCCGCCACTATGCCTGGCTAATTTTTTTTTTTTTTGTATTTTTAGTAGAGACGGGGTTTCACCGTGTTAGCCAGGATGGTCTCGATCTCCTGACCTCGTGATCCACCCACCTCAGCCTCCCAAAGTGCTGGAATTACAGGCGTGAGCCACTGCGCCCGGCCTTTTTTTTTTTTTTTTTTTTGAGATGGAGTCTCACTTTGTCACCCACGCTGGAGTGCAGTGGCACGATCTCGGCTCACTGCAACCTCCGCCTCCCAGGTTCAAGCAATTCTCCAGCCTCAGCCTCCCGAGTAGCTGGGATTACAGGCGCCCACCACTACGCCCAGCTAATTGTTTGTATTTTTAGTACAGACGAGGTTTCATCATGTTGGTCAGGCTGGTCTCAAACTCCTGACCTCATGATTTGCCCAACTCGGCCTCCCAAAGTGCTGGGATTTTTTTTTCTTTTTTCTTTTTCTTTTTTTTGACAGAGTTTTGCTATTGTTGCCCAGGCTGGAGTGCAATGGCGTGATCTCGGCTAACTGCAACCTCTGCCTCCCAGGTTCAAGTGATTCTCCTGCCTCAGCCTCCCGAGTAGCTGGGACTACAGGCACCTGCCACCATGCCCGGCTAATTTTTTGTATTTTTAGTAGAGATGGGGTTTCACCATGTTAGCCAGGATGGTCTCAATCTCCTGACCTCGTGATCTACCCACCTCAGCCTCCCAAAGTGCTGGGATTGCAGGCATGAGCCACTGCACCCGACCTTCACTGGTGAATTCTAACAAACGTAAAAGAAAATAAAGACTAATCTTTCTGAGGCCAGGCACGGTGGCTCATGCCTGTAATTCCAGCACTTTAGGAGGCCAAGGCAGGCGGATCACCTGAGGTCAGGAGTTCGAGACAAACCTTGCTGAGGTGGTAAAAACCCATCATTACTAAAAGCACAAAAATTAGCCAAGAACAGTGGTGGGCGCCTGTAATCCCAGGTACTCAGGAGGCTGAAACCGGAGAATCGCTTGAACCTGGGAGGCGGAGGTTGCAGTAAGCCGAGATCGTGCCATTGCACTCCAGCTGGGGTGACAAGAGCAAAACTCTGTCTCAAAAAAAAAAAAAAAAAAAAAAAAAAGGCCAGGCGTGGTGGCTCACGCCTGTAATCCCAGCACTTTGGGAGGCCAAGGCAGGTGGATCACGAGGTCAGGAGATAGAGACCATCCTGGCTAACACGGTGAAATCCTGTCTCTACTAAAAAAAAAATTAGCAGGGCGTGGTGGCAGGCGCCTGTAGTCCCAGCTATTCAGGAGGCTGAGGCAGGAGAATGGCATGGAGGCAGGAGAATGGCATGAACTCAGGAGGCGGAGCTTGCAGTGAGCCGAGATTGCGCCACTGCACTCCAGCCTGGGCGACAGGGCGAGACTCCGTCTCAACAACAACAAAAAAAAGACTAATCTTTCTCAAACTTCATTGTAAAATGAACGGGAAAGAAAACTTTCTCACTCATTTTGTGAGGTCAATAGTACCCTAATACTGAAGCCACCTAAAGACGTTGCAAGAAAATAAAACTGCAGAACTGGCCAGGCGCGGTGGCTCACGCCTGTAATCCTACCACTTTGGGAGGCTGAGGCAGATGGATTACCTGAGGTCAGGAGTTCGAGACCAGCCTGGCCAATGTGGTGAAGAAACCCTGTCTCTACTAAAAATATAAAACTTAGCTGGGCGTGGTGGTGGGTGCCTATAATCCCAGCTACTCGAGAGGCTGAGGCAGGAGAATCGCTTGAACTCAGGAGGCAGCAGTTGCAGTGAGCTGAGATCACGCCATTGCACTCCAGCCTGGGTAACAAGAGTGAAACTCTGTCTCAAAAAAAAATTGTAGAACAATGTATTTTATTAATATAGATGCAAAAATCCTAAACAAAACACCTTTTCATGATAAAAACCCAAGTGCAGAAGAAAACTATCTCAACATTATAAGGGCCATATTAAAAGGCCACATTTCGCCAGGCGTGGTGGCTGATGCCTGTAATCCCAGCCTCAGCCTTTGGGAGGCCTAGGCGGGTGGATCACTTAAGGTCAGGAGTTCGAGACCAGCCTGGCCGAGAAGGTGAAACCCCATCTCACCGTGTGTACAAACACTCATTTTGTATTTCTAAAACTATAAAAATTAGCCGGGCATGGTGGTGCACGCATGTAGTCCCAGTTACTTGGGAGGCTGACGCAGGAGAATGGCTTGAATTAAGGAGGCAGAGGTTGCAGTGAGCTGAGATCATGCCACTGCGCTCCAGCCTGGGCGACAGAGTGAGATTCTGTCTAAAAAAAAAAAAAAAAGAAACCCACATTAATATTATATTCAGTGGTGAAAGACTGAAAGCTTGAAAGCTTGTCACCTTAGATCCAGAAACAAGACAAGAACGCTTGCTGTTGCCGCTTCTACTGAACCAAATACTGGAAGTTCTAGTCAGAGCAATTAAGCAAGAAAGAAACAGGCTGCATCCAAATTGGAAGTGAAGAAGTAGAACTATCTCTGTTCACAAATGACATATTATATATAGAAAACCGGCCAGGCATGGGGGCTCACGCCTGTAATCCCAGCATTTTGGGAGGCCCAGGTGGGCGGATCACTTGAGGTCAGAATTTTGAGACCAGCCTGACCAACATGGTGAAACCCTGTCTCTACTAAAAATACAAAAATTAGCCGGGCATGGTGGCGGGCACCTGTAATCCCAGCTACCTGGGAGGCTGAGGCAGGAGAATTGCTGGAACCCGGGAGGCGGAGGCTGCAGTGAGCCAAGATTGCGCCACTGCACTCCAGCTTGGGTGACAGAGCGAGACGCCATCTTAAAAAAAAAAAAAAGAAGAAGAAAAGAAATAAAAAGAACTTGTGTATCAAAGGATGCTATCAAGAGTAAATGGCATATTTGCACATAATTTACAAAATAAAATTTTTTAAATATGAAAAGACAACCTGCAGGATGGGAGAACATTTGCAAGTCATCTGATATTGGATTAATACTCAGAATATATAAAGTACTACAACTCAACAACAGAAACAGACAACCTGCCAGGTGCGGTGGCTCACGCCTGTAATCCCAGCACTTTGGGAGGCTGAGCCGGGTGGATCACGAGGTTAGGAGTTTGAGACCACGCTGGCTAACATGGTGAAACCCCGTCTCTACTAAAAATACAAAAAATTAGCCGGGCGTGGTGGTGGGCGCCTGTAGTCCCAGCTACTCGGGAGGCGGAGGCAGGAGAATGGCGTGAACCTGGAAGGCGGAGCTTGCAGTGAGCCAAGATCGCGCCACTGCACTCCAGCCTGGGCAACAGAGCAAGATTCCATCTCAAAAAACAAACAAACAAACAAAAAAACCACAGACAACCCAATTTGAAAATGGACAAAGGACTTAAATAGATATTTCTCCAAAGAAGGTATATAAATGGCCTACGTACTCCAGGGGTTCACATGGGAAGATTGCTTGAGCCCAGGGGGTCAAGGCTGCTGTGAGCCATGAACGGTGCCACTGCATTCCAACCTGAATGACAGAGCAAGACGCTCTCTCTAAAAAACAATAAATGAAAAATTTAAACAGTAGAGGTTACCACAGCCTGAGGGTAGGGGGAATGTAAAGTTACTGTTTAATGGCTACAGAATTTCTGTCTGAGATGATAAAAAAAAGTTCTGAAAATAGTGGTAAAAGTTGCCCAACATTCTGAATATAGATAATGCCACGGAGTTGTACACTTAATGATTAAAATAGTCAGTTTTGGCTGGGCACGATGGCTCATGCCTGAAATGCCAGCACTTTGGAGGGCTGAGGTGGGTGGATCACAAGGTCAGGAGATAGAGACCAGCCTGGCCAACATGGTGAAACCCTGTCTCTACTAAAACTACAAAAATTAGGGAGGCCGAAGCGGGCGGATCACCTGAGGTCAGGAGTTCAAAACCAGCCTGACTAACATGAGGAAACCCCGTATCTACCAAAAATACAAAATTAGCCGGGCGTGGTGGTGCATGCCTGTAATCCCAGCTACACGGGAGGCTGAGGTAGGAGAATTGCTTGAACTCAGGAGGTGAAGGTTGCGGTGAGCCAAGATCACGCCATTGCACTCCAGCCTGTGGCAACAAGAGCGAAACACCATCTCAACAAAAAAAAAAGAAAGAAAAAGAAAAAGCCAGGCACTGTGGCTCACACCTGTAATCCCAGCACTTTGGGAGGCCAAGGTGGGTGGATCACGAGCTCAGGAGATCGAGACCATCTTAGTTAATGCGGTGAAATCCCATCTCTACTAAAAATACAAAAACTTAGCCAGGCATGGTGGCACGAGCCTGTAGTCCCAGCTACTTGGCAGACTGTGGTGGCGTGCACCTGTAATCCCAGCTGCTAGGGAGGCTGAGGCAGGAGAATCGCTTGAATCCGGGAGGCGGAGGTTGCAGTGAGTAGAGATTGCGCTGCTGCACTGCAGTGTGGGCAACAGAGGAAGCCTCCAGCTCAAAAAAAAAAAAAAGTTTTGGCTCGATGTGGTGGCTCACACCTGTAATCCCAGCACTTTGGGAGGCCGAAGCGGGCGGATCACCTGAGGTCAGGAATTTGAGACCAGCCTGGCCAACATGGTGAAACCCGGTCTCTGCTAAAAATACAAAAATTAGCCGGGCGTGGTGGCAGGTGCCTGTAATCCCAGCTACTTGGGAGGCTGAGGCAGGAGAATTGCTTGAACCCAGGAGGTGGAGGTTGCAGTGAGCTGAGATCGCACCATTGCACTCCAGCCTGGGGGACAAGAGTGAGACTTCGTCTCAAAAAGAAAAAAAGTAAGTTTTGTATTATACATATTTTATAGCAATTTCTTTTTTTTTCTTTTTTTTTTTTAGACGGTTTCTCACTCTGTTGCCAGGCTGGAGTGCAGTGGCTTGATCTTGGCTCACTGCAACCTCCACCTCCCAGGTTCAAGTGATTCTCCTGCCTCAGCCTTCTGAGTAGCTGGGACTACAGGTGCGCGCCACCATATCCAGCTAATTTTTTGTATTTTTAGTAGAGACGGGGTTTCACCATGTTGGCCAGGATGGTCTCTATCTCTTGACCTTGTGATCTGCCAGCCTCAGCCTCCCAAAGTGCTGGAATTACAGGTGTCAGCCACTGTACCTGGCCAACAATTTCTTAAAATGCAAAACTAAACAAAAGGAGAGTTTAGCATAAAATAATATGAAATACATAGGAATAAGTCTGACAAAAGATGTGTCAGGCAAGTACACTAAACCTCAAAACATTGCTAAGACTAAATAAATGTATATAAATATAGCTCACGAACTGGAAGATGCAATAATGTTTAGATATCACTATCTACAAATTCATCTGTACATTACCACAATCTTTGTTAAAATTGACCAGATTTTTTTAAAGAAATTGACAAGCTGATTCTCAAATTCACATGAAATTCACAGGAATTTCATATGAATATGAATATGCAAAACAACATTGGAAAGAATAGTCTGGATGAAGTGGCTCACGCCTGCAATCCCAGCACTTTGGGAGGCCATAGCAGAGGATCACTTGAGCCCAGGAGTTCGTGACCAGCTTGGGCAACATAGTGAGACCCCATCTCTACAAAAATAAAAATAAAAAAATAGCTGGGCATAGTGATAGGTGCCTGTGGTCCCAGCTACTCAGAAGGCTGAGATGGGAGGGTCACTTGAGCCTGGGAGGTCCAGGCTGCAGTAAGCTGTGATTGAGCCACTGCACTCCAGCCTGGGTGGTAGAGTGAGATCCCATTTCAAAATAAACAATAAAATAATAAAGTTGGACCGGGTGCAGTGGCTCACGCCTGTAATACCAGCACTTTGGGAGGCCGAGGCCGGCGGATCACAAGGTCAGGAGATCGAGACCATCCTGGCTAACAGAGTGAAACCCCGTCTCTACTAAAAATACAAAAAAATTAGCCAGGTGCGGTGGCAGGCACCTGTAGTCCCAGCTACTCGGGAGGCTGAGGCAGGAGAACGGCATGAACCTGGGAGGCAGAGCTGGCAGTGAGCCGAGATAGCGCCACTGCACTCTAGCCTGGACGACAGAGCGAGACTCCATCTCAAGAAAAAAAAAAAAAAAAAGGCTCATGCCTGTAATTCCAGCACTTTGGGAGGCCGAGGTGGGTGGATCACGAGGTCAGGAGTTGAAGACCAGCCTGGCCAAGACAGTGAAACCCCATCTCTACTAAAAATACAAAAAAATTAGCCTGGTGTGGTGGCAGGTGCCTGTAATCCCAGCTACTCAGAAGGCTGAGGCAAGAGAATCCCTTGAACCCAGGTGGCAGAGGTTGCAGTGAGCTGAGATTGTGCCATTGCACTCCAGCTGGGTGACAGAGTGAGACTCTTTCTCAGAAAAAAAAAAAAAAGGTAAGCATATCTCTTCCATATGACCACTCTTAGGTGTTTACTTAAGAGAAATGAAAACGTGTTTATATGATGACTTGTACATGAATGTTCTGGTGTTTTTGTTTGTTTGTTTTTCGGTTTTTTTAATTTATGAATGTTGATAGTAACTGTAATAACCAAAAACTGGAAACAACCAAAATATTCATCAACAGATAAATGTATAAACAAACTATGAGACATCCATGCAGTGGAATACCACTGAGCAATGAAAAGGAATTTTTTTTTTTTGAGATGGAGTCTCACTCTGTCGCCCAGGCTGGAGTGCCGTGGTGCGCTCTCGGCTCTCTGCAACCTCCGCGTCCTGGGTTCAAGCGATTCTCCTGCCTCAGCCTCCCAAGTAGCTGAGACTACAGGCGCCTGCCACCACACCTGGCTAAATTTTTGTATTTTTAGTAGAGACGGGGTTTCACCATGTTGGCCAGGATGGTCTTGATCTCCTGACCTCATGATCCGCCCACCTCAGCCTCCCAAAGTGTTGGGATTACAGGCGTGAGCCACTGTGCCTGGCCAAAGAATGCATTATTTTAAAAACGTTTTTGTTATATAAATTCTTTTTATTTTGCCCTTATTATGTTTCATTGACATATAATTGTACATATTTATGAAGTACAGTGTGATAATTTGATACATGTATAGAATGTGTAATGATCAGAGTAGCATATCCATCACCACAAACATTTATTATTTCCTTGTGTTGCGAACATTCATAATCTACTCTTCTGCCTATTTGAAAATATACAGTAAATTTTTGTTAATTACAGTCACCCTATAGTGCCAGCCATAGAACACTAAACTCATTTCTTTTACAAAGCTGTACTGTTTTTTTTTTTTTTTTTTTTGAGACAGAGTCTTGCTCTCTTGGGCAGGCTATAGTGGCACAATCTCAGCTCACTGCAACCTTCATATCCCAGGCTCAAGTGGTTCTCCTGCCTCAGCCTCCCAAGTAGCTGGGAGTACAGGCGTGTGCCACCATGTCCAGGTAATTTTCGTATTTTTAGTAGAGACGGGGTTTCACCATGTTGGCCAGGCTGGTCTCAAACTCCTGACCTCAGGTGATCCGCCCGCCTCGGTCTCCCTAAGTGCTGGATTACAGGAGTGAGCCAAGGCGCCCAGCCTCAAGCTGTACTTTTGTATCCATTAACCAACCTTTGGCTATCTCCCTCTCCCCACTACTCTTCCCTACCTCTAGAAACCACTATTCTAAGCTGGGCACAGTGGCTCACGCCTGTAATCCCAGCACTTTGGGAAGCCTAGGCAGGCGGATCACAAGGTCAGTAGTTCGAGATCAGCCTGGCCAACATGGTGAAACCCTGTCTGTACTAAAAACTTAGCCGGACATGGTGGTGCACCTGTAATCCCGGCTATTTGGGAGGCAGAGGTGGGAGAATTGCTTGGACCTGGGAGGCAGAGGCTGCAGTGAGCCGAGATCATGCCCTGCACTCTATCCTGGGCAACAGAGTGAGACCCTGACTCAAAAAAAACAAAAACAAAAACAAAAACAAAAATTACCCAGGTGTAGGCCAGGCGCGGTGGCCCACGCCTGTAATCCCAGCACTTTGGGAGGTCGAGGCAGGCGGGTCACGAGGTCAGGAGATCGAGACCATCCTGGCTAACATGGTGAAACCCCGTCTCTACTAAAAATACAAAAAATGAGCCGGGCATGGTGGCGGGCGCCTGTAGTCCCAGATACTCAGGAGGCTGAGGCAGGAGAATGGCGTGAACCTGGTAGGCGGAGCTTGCAGTGAGCCGAGATCGCGCCACTGCACTCCAGCCTGAGCGACAGAGCGAGACTCCATCTCAAAAAAAAAAAAAAAAAAAATTACCCAGGTGTGGTGGCGCGTGCCTGTAGTCCCAGCTAGTTGAGAGGCTGAGGCGAAGAATCACTTGAACCCAGGAGGCGGGGAGGTTGCAGTGAGCCAAGATCAGGCCATTGCACTCCTGCCTGGGCAACAAAAGCAAAACTCTGTCTCAAAATACATAAATAAATAAACAAAAAATAAAGAAATCACTGTTCTACTCTCTTACTTCTATGAGATCAACTTTTTCTTTTTTTTGCTTGCTTGCTTTTTTGAGACAGTTTTGCTCTTGTCATCCAGATTGGAGTGCAGTGGGATGATCTCAGCTCACTGCAACCTCCGCCTCCCGGGCTCAAGTGATTCTCCTGTTTCAGCCTCCTGAGTAGCTGGGATTATAAGTGCCCGCCACCGTGCCTGGCTAATTTTTGTAGCTTTAGTAGAGACGGGGTTTCACCACGTTGGCCAGGCTTGTCTTGAACTCCTGACCTCAAGTGATCCACCTGCCTCACCCTCCCAAAGTGCTGGGATTACAGGTGTGAGCCACCGCACCCAGCCAAGATAAACTTTTTTAGCTTGCACACATGAGTGATAAAGTGGTACTTATCTGGCCAGGCCCAGTGGCTCACGCCTGTAATCCCAGCACTTTGGGAGGCCAAGGCGGGTGGATCAAGAGGTCAGGAGTTCGAGACCAGCCTGATCAACATAGTGAAAGCCCCATCTCTAATAAAAATACAAAAAAAATTAGCCGGGCATGGTGGCGGCTGCCTATAGTCCCAGCTACTCGAGAAGCTGAGGCAGGAGAATGGCGTGAACCCGGGAGGCGGAGGTTGCAGTGAGCCACGTCGCGCCACTTCACTGCAGCCTGAGTGACAGAGCAAGACTCTGTCTCAAAAATAAATAAATAAAATAAAAATAAAAAAAATAAAGTGGTACTTATCTTTCTGTGCCTGGCTTTTTCACATCACATAATGTCCTGCAAGCTCATCTATGTTGCAGCAAATGACAGAAATCTGGGGGTTTTAATGGCTAAATAGCATTCCAAAAAATTGTGCTCCCTTGTGTATATAGCATTTTATCAGTTCATCTGTTTTTTTTTTTTTTTTTTTGAGGCAGAGTCTCACTCGATCTTGGCTCACTGCAACCACCACCTTCCAGGTTCAAGCAATTTTCCCGCCTCTGCCTCCCAAGTAGCTGGGATTATAGGTGCTTGCCACCACGCCCGGCTAATTTTTGTATTTTTAGTAGAGATGGGGTTTCTCCATGTTGGCCAGGCTGGTCCCAAACTCCTGACCTCAGGTGATTCGCCCACCTCGGCCTCCCAAAGTGCTAGGATTACAGGCATGAGCCACCAGGCCCGGCCTGTCATTATTTTTATTCTTTTCTTTCTTTCGTTTTGTTTTGAGTTTTTGAGACGGAGTCTCGCTCTGTGGCCCAGGCTGGAGTGCAGTGGCTTGATCTGGGCTCACCGAAAGCTCCGCCTCCCAGGTTCACGCCATTCTCCTGCCTCAGCCTCCTGAGTAGCTGGGACTACAGGCATCCGCCACCAGGCCCGGCTAATTTTTTGTATTTTCAGTAGAGACGGGGTTTCACCGTGTTAGCCAGGATGGTCTCAATCTCCTGACCTCATGACCCGCCCCACCTCGGCCTCCCAAAGTGCTGGGATTACAGGCGAGAGCCACACTGTGCCCGGCCTCTTTTTTTTTTGACGGAGTTTTGCTCGTTGCCCAAGCTGGAGTGCAATGGCACTATTTCGGCTCACTGCAACCCTTGCCTCCCGGGTTCAAGCGATTCTCCTGCCTCAGCCTCCCGAGTAGCTGGGATTACAAGTGTGTGCCACCATGCCCAGCTAATTTTTGTATTTGTAGTAGAGACGGGGTTTCGCTTTGCTGGCCAGGCTGTCTTGAACTCCCGGCCTCAGGTGATCCGCCCACCTCGGCCTCCCAAACTGCTGGGATTACAGGCATGAGCCAAGGCACCCAGGCCTAATGGTCATTATTGTCATTCATTGATTCAGCAAATAGTAGAGTGCTGGGTGCTCAGCCTCTTGCTTTGCAGTAGCTTGGGTGTCAGAGGTGTGTGAGGCAGGCATTCTCAGGTTCTCTCCTGCCCAATAAAACCTTTTGTCTTTGGGGATACTGGTGACATCATGAATCCCAATCCTGTGCAATGTGCTATGACAAAGGAAAGGACAGGGGTTGAGGCAAGGGGCAGGGACAGCCTATGACACTGAAAAAGAGGCCAGAAACGCATTCCTACCCGCTCTCTCAAAATCCATGTTCAGTGGCAGGATCATCCAAGACCCTGATGGGGCGGGGGGCCTTTTTTCGTCTAGGATGGTATCTGAATGGCTTTAAGGGTAGCTTTCTTCTGATCACATGAGATTTCTGCTTGTGTCATGAAGAATGGGTCAGAGGATCAGGAGGCTGTGGCTGCAGCTGGGGCGGGTTGCGGGGACCCAGGACGAACAGTAGAGCTCGGTTAACGCTGCAAGGGGAGCCTGGCAGGCCGTACATCCCAATGCCAAGCCCGCCGCCTCTCGGCCTGACACCACCGGTGGAACCAAAAAGGGGAAATCATGTCCTTTGTGCCTCTGTGTCTGTGGTAAGCGGGGCCCTCCAGGGGGCGGAGCCGCCGGCAGGGTCCCCCCGTGGCCCGGGTCTCAGGGCAGAGCTCTGCCTGGGGCTCGCAGATGTCTGCAAGGCCGCGGAGGGAGGAGGGTCCAGACGCAAGCCCTTATTTCTGATCTGGACGTCTGCGAGGGTCTGACCCGGCTAGTCGTCCCCGAGGTGCGTGAGTGCGAGGGTGTGGGACACGGCCGGATCGTCCTAGGGCCCCGTGGATTAGCAAGGCACCGGGACCACTGGAGAGGGCTTAACGGGATAGCAGGGAGAGGGCGGGCTCGGGAAGAGCACCCTTTAGGCGAGGGGTTCTCGGGGAACCGACCGGCGTGTCCCAGCCCCAGGCCCGGTCCAAGATTCGCCGGCTCCGCCGCTGCCTCCGCACCCAGGCGGACCCCACCGCACCGCGCCCGGCTTTCCAGCGCTGCCCGAACCCCCGCCCAGCCCACGAGGCAGGGATTCTGTGGTCCTCACTGAGTCATCTGGACCAGAACTAGACTAGCCCAAGGTCACCGGGCGTTCCTGGCGAGGCCAGGGCCGCGCCGCGCCGCCCCTGGTGCATCCCGGGAGCCGCGCCGGTCTGCGGCACCTGGGCGGCGGACAGGGGCGCGGGCGAGGCGGGCGGGGCGGGCGGGCAGCGGACACCGGTCAGAGAGGCGGAACTCCCTGCCGCCAGCCGTGTAGTTTGCCTCGCGGGCGGCGGCGCGGCCTCCTGCCGGCCTAGCCCTACGCCCGACCACAACGCCCAGAAGGCCGCGCGGCGCGGGCGGGACCTGCGGCGACGAGCGAGGCGGTGACATCACCGCCGCATCCAGCTCCCTGGCCCCAGCTCCTCCCAGCGCCCGGGCCCTCGGCCTCGCAAGGCCTGACGGGAATCGTGGTCCACCCCCGGGTACCCCCAGCTGCTGCACGGGCAGCACGGACTTCAGTTCCCGGCGTGTCCTGCGCGCCGAGGCACGTTAACGGCAGGAGGGGGTGGGCAAGCAAAGGGAAAAGCAGAGCCGGGGGGCGGAGTAAGGCGGGGTGGGGGTGGGGGGTGGGGGCCCACACCCCTCCCCCTCCCCGCTGCTCCTTCCCCCTCCCCCGACGTAAACTGGGATCCCTTTCCCCTTGTGTCCGCCATATTGGACTCTAACTCTGGTCAGCCGCGGCGCCGGGACTGTGGACTCGCGGTTCCTCCCGCCCAGCGGCCTGCCCCGCAGCTCCCGCCCGCCCCAGCCCTCCCCGACCCGGACGCGACCCCGCGCAGCGCCCCCCGGCTGGCCGGAGCGCCCGCCGCCGCGGCCGCCTCAGCCTCCCCGCCTTCCCCGCCCTCCGCCGCCGCCCGCGGCCCCCGCGCCCGCTCTGCGCCCCTCTCCCCGCCCGCCATGAGCCCAGCCGACGCCAAGCGCGGGGCCAAGCGCCGGAAGAACAAGCGGGGCGGCGGCGGCGGCTCGGGCGGGGGTAACGGCGGCGCGAGCAGCGGCAAGGCCGGCCCGGCGGCGGCGCTGCGCGGTTCCCAGGCCGCGGGCCTGGCGGCCCCGGGCAGCGCGGCAGGCCTGGTGGGCGGCGCGGCGGCGGCCAACGGGCCTCTCGGCGCGGGCGCGAGCGCGGGCGGCGCCGCCCCCGGAGGCTACTTCGAGGTAAGCGGCGGCAGCGGGCAGGGGTCGATGGCGGTACGCGGTTGCCGTTCCCTCGCGCCTTGGCGGAGCTCGGCCTCCCGCTGTCGGCCCCGGGCCTGGGAGCGGGATGCTGCGGGCGGGCGGATAACGGGTCCTGCGGCGCTGCGCTTGCCGAGGTCCCGGGGCAGGGCGGCAGGTGGGCCGTGCTCGGCGTGACGCGGCCTCTGTCAGCCTCTTGAGAGGAGAACCTGAGCAGAGGCGGCGGGAGGGCTACACCGGGGCCGCCGCTCACGGCGACGGGCTGGTCCGCAGGCTGGAGCAGCCCCTCAACGGGCGGGGACGTCTCCGGGGTGCAGCTCCGCGCACGGCGCTTCGCCTTCCGCTGGACCCGGCGGGTGATACCCGCGAGGCCCGGGCTTCTGTCGTGGCGCCTCGCCCGCTGCGGCGGTTCCAGAGCGACTGCGATTCCGGGAGTGAGCAAAGCTGCCCTTTCGCTCCCAGGGCTTTGAAATGTTTCTCTGGCCACCTTCGTTATTCCGTGCGCGTGATGATTGAGAAGGGCCTCCCGGAAGTTTTCCTTTGGTCCTCCTATGTGGTTATTTGAAATCTACCTGACAGCCACCTGGAGCTGGCAGCCCTGGCCCCTCCTCCCCCGCTTTGTTAAGTTTTCAGGGGTATTTAGTGGTTTGGTTACTCAGGTATGTATTTAGGGTTCGAACTTAAGGAATTTGAAAGGTGATTTTTTTCAGTTTTGTTTATGAAGACAGCTAGCACACATTGCACCTACCAATTATGGATTCCTGCCACTTTTATTCAACCGTTGGTCACAACATTTCAGAGGGTACACTATTTATAAGTGGGTATGCAATTGGCGCAGTCATTTCCAGTTATCCCATTGTCTGCTGAAAGAGAATAGATTTTTTTTGAAAAGTTGCGTTCTTATAATGTTATTTAAACTCTTAAATTATGTAGTTTTAAAGATATTGCAATTAAAAAATGAAAGAAGCGTTGGGAGTATTTTTGTGCTAAATCATGACACAAATTGTTCTTTTTTTTTTTTTCTTTTGAGAACGGAGTCTCGCTCTGTCGCCCAGGCTGGAGTGCAATAATGGCGCGATCTTGGCTCACTGTAACCTCCGCCTCCCGGGTTCAAGCGATTCTCCTGCCTCAGCCTCTCGAGTAGCTGGGACTACAGGCATGCGCCACCATGCCCGGCTAATTTTTGTAGAGACAGGGTTTCACCATGTTGGCCAGGCTGGTCTCGAACTCGTGATCTCAGGTGATCCGCCCACCTTGGCGTCCCAAAGTGCTGGGATTACAGGTGTGAGCCACCGCGCCCGGCCGTTTTTATTATTATTATATTGTTACATTAGGGTCTTGGGCTGTAGTCCTGGACTTCAGTCTCCCGAGATTGCCCTCATCCAGTATCCTGGAGATCAAAACAGGCCGCAGTTCTTGGGATCAAGGATGAGTCTTGAGCGTTTGGATCTTTGGGGTTTTTAAGGGCAGTGTTTGCTGCTGTCGGGTAGGGGAGGGCGGGGGGGGTTTGCCTGTGCATATCCTTACACAAAATATTGATAATTTTTGGTGTAGCTGGATGTGGAATATATTCATTTCTATTGATTCAATAAAAACCAGTTGGTGGCACAATAAAATTCTTAGTTTTAGCCTTTCATACCATTTCAAGTTTTAATAATTTACATTTGCTTTGCAATACTTAGGTAAAATATAACTTTATTATTTTTATTTATTTTTTTTTGAGACAGAGTCTCACTCTGTCGCCCAGGCTGGAGTGCAGTGGTGCGATCTTGGCGCACCGTAACCTCTGTCTCCCGGGTTCAAGCGATTCTCCTGCCTAACCCTCTCAAGTAGCTGGGACTACAGGTACCTGCCACCATGCCTGGCTAATTTTTTTTGTATTTTTAGTAGAGACAGGGATTCACTATGTTGGGCAGGCTGGTCTTGAAGTCCTGACCTCCTGATCCACCTGCTTTGGCCTCTCAAAGTCCTGGAATTACAGGCGTGAGCCACCGTGCCCAGCCCTGCCTTTATTATTTTTGTCGCGTTATTCAAAATCAGATAACTGTATGCCTATTATTATTAAGATAGGGTCTTGCTATGTTGCCTAGGCTGGCCTTGAGCTTGTGGGCTCAAGGGATCCCTCTCATCTTAGTTTTACTAATTACTAAGGGCACAGACCCTTGCCACTGTGCCCACCTGAGTATTATTTTTGACAGGACTGTGATATTCTGTTAAACTAGTATGCATCAGGGTTTTGTTGTTTTAAAAGAGACACGGTCTCTCTCTGTTGCATAGGCTAGAGTACAGTTGCCTGGTCATAGCTCACTGTAACCTCCAATTTCTGGGCTAAGCAGTCCTTCCATGTAGCTAGGCCTCTAGGTATGTGCCACCATGCCTGGCTAATTTGTTCTTTTAATATAGATACAGGGTCTCACTATGTTACCCAGGCTTGTCTTGAACTCTTGACCTCAAGTGATCCTCCCATCTCTGCCTCCCAAAGTGCTGGGATTACAGGCCTGAGCCACTGCACCTGGCCTATCAAGGTTTTTGACCATGACCCACTCTTATGACCCACTCCAAGAAATAAAATCCGTTAAGATCTAGGAAACATACACATAAACACAAAAATTTCACAAAACATTTTAGGGCCGGGCACCGTGGCTCATGCCTGTAATTCCAGCACTTCGGGAGGCCGAGGTGGGTGGATCACCTGAGGTCAGGAGTTCGAAACCAGCCTGGTTGACAGATGATGAAACCCCAGAGATGGTGAAACCCCGTCTCTACTAAAAATACAAAAATTAGCCAGGTGTGGTGGTATGCACTTGTAATCCCAGCTACTCGGGAGACTGAGGCAGGAGAATTGCTTGAACCTGGGAGATGTAGGTTGCAGTGAGCTGAGATCTAACCATTGCACTACTGCCTGGGCAACAAGAGTGAAACTCTGTCTCAAAAAAAAAAAAAAAATCCCATCCTTGTTGACACGGTGAGACCTCATCTCTGCTAAAAATACAAAAAATGGCCGGGCGCAGTGGCTCACGCCTGTAATCCCAGCACTGTGGGAGGCCGAGGCAGGCGGATCACGAGGTCAGGAGATCGAGACCATCCTGGCTAACACAGTGAAACCCGTCTCTAGTAAAAATACAAAAAATTAGCCGGGCGTGGTGGCGGGCACCTGTAGTCCCAGCTACTCCGGAGGCTGAGGCAGGAGAATAGTGTGAACCTGGGAGGCGGAGCTTGCAGTGAGCCGAGATGGCGCCACTGCACTCCAGCCTGGGCGACAGAGCGAGACTCCGTCTCAAAACAAACAAACAAACAAACCCCAAAAAATTAGCCAGGCGTGGTGGCGGGCGCCCTGTAGTCCCAGCTACTCCGGAGGCTGAGGCAGGAGAATGGCATGAACCCAGGAGGCTGAGCTTGCAGTGAGCCGAGATGGCGCCACTGCACTCCAGCCTGGGTGACAGAGTGAGACTCCGTCTCAAAAAAACAAACGAACAAAAACGAAAAAACAGGCCGAGTGCGGTGGCTCACACCTGTAATCCCAGCACTTTGGGAGGCTGAGGCAGGTGGATCACCTGAGGTTAGGAGTTCCAGACCAGCCTGGCCAATGTGATGAAACCCCATCTCTACTAAAAATACAAAGAATAGCCGGGAATAGTGGTGGATGCCTGTAATCCCAGCTACTCCGGACGCTGAGGCTGGAGAATCACTTGAACCTGGGAGACGGAGGTTGCAGTGAGCCCAGATCACATCACTACACTCTAGCCTGGGCGACAGTGCAAGACTGTGTCTCAAAATCCGTCTCAAAAAAAAAAAAAAAAGGGCAGGCGCAGTGGCTGACACCTATAATCCTAGCACTTTGGGAAGCCGAGGCAGGAGGATCAGCTGAGGTCAGGAGTTTGAGACCAGCCTGAGAAACATGGAGAAACCCTGTCTCTACTAAAAATACAAAATTAACTGGGTGTGGTGGCGCATGCCTGTAATCCTAGCTACTCAGGAGGCTGAGGCAGGAGAATCGCTTGAACCTGGGAGGTGGAGATTGTCATGCCAGCTACTCTGGAGGCTGAGGCAGGAGAATTGCTTGAACCTGGGAGGTGGAGATTGTCATGAGCTGAGATTGTGCCATTGCACTCCAGCCTGGGCAACAAAAGCGAAACTCTGTCTCAAAAAATAACAAAAAACAAACAAAATATTTTAATACTTTTCTGATCTTTTCTGTTCCATGTAATCTCATTAATAAAATCTGGGTTATAGTCCACAGAATTAGTTCATTGTGTACTTTTTTTTTTTTTTTTTTGAGACAGAGTCTCGCTCTGTCACCAGGCTGGAGAGCAGTGGCGTGATCTTGACTCACTGCAACCTCCACCTCCTGGGTTCAAGCGATTCTCCTGCCTCAGCCTCCTGAGTAGCTGGGACTACAGGCGCGTGCCACCACGCCCAGCTAATTTTTGTATTTTTAGTAGAGACAGGGTTTCACCATGTTGGCTAGGATGGTTTCTCTTTCTTGACCTTGTAATCCACCCACCTTGGCCTCCCAAAGTGCTGGGATTACGGGTGTGACCCACTGCAGCCTCTCTATTGTGTACTATTGAGTTGTGTGCTGCACCTTGACAGTTGCTTTTACTGTATTTTAAGCTTTTAAAATATGCCACCATCTTTTATGGTATTTTATTTTATTTTTGAGACAGAGTCTTGCTCTGTCGCCCAGGCTGGAGTGCAGTGGCGCCATCTCGGCTCACTGCAACTTCTGCCTCCTGAGTTCAAGTGATTCCTCCTGAGTTCAAGTGATTCTCCTGCCTCAGCCTCCCGAGTAGCTGAGACTACAGGAGTGCACCACCACACCTGGCAAATTTTTTTTTTTTTTTCAAGACAGAGTCTCACTGCGTCACCCCAGCTGGCGTACAGTGGGGTGATCTTAGCTCACTGCAACCTCCGCCTCCTGGGTTCAAGTGATTCTTTTGCCTCAGCCTCCTGAGTAGCTGGGATTACAGGCATGTGCCACCACACTTGGGTAATTTTTGTATTTTTAGTAGAGACGGGGCTTCACCATGTTGGTCTAGAACTCCTGACCTTGTGATCCACATGCCTTGGCCTCCCAAAGTGCTGGGATTACAGGCGTGAGCAACCACGCCCGGCCATTTTTTGTATTTTTAGTAGAGACGGGGTTTCACCTTGTTGGCCAAGCTGGTCTCGAACTCCTGACCTCAAGTGATCTATCTACCTGCCTGGGCCTCCAAAAGTGCTGGAATTACAGGCGTGAGCCACTGCACCTGGCCGATATTTTAAGCTTTTAAAGCTGTCTTTAGTTTTTAAGTTTCTTTGTAAGTATTTTAATAATTGTTCATTAAAGAAACTCTTTATGGTAACTGGGGTAAAATATTCTTGACACAGATCACAGAAAGTCTTAATGTAATTCTGAAGCCTCTGAATTGTTTCCCCACAGATGGTGAGCTTTTTGGAGTACCTTGTATGGTGCAAAATGGCACCCAAAACAGTATCAACCAGAAACAGTGAGTGGTTTCTGGCCCTATGGTTCCCAGGGAGGCTTTCTGAGTCCTGGCAAGCAGCCTCTACACTCCGTAGTCACCAGGCCAGGAGGTGGATAAGAGAGAAGGCCGAGTGGAAGGACTGTCTTGATTTTCAGGAGTGGTCACAGTCCCACTGTCCTGTGTGCGGGACACAGCACTATGTGTTATACCCAGGACCACCTTCATCGAGGTGGCTGCTGAGCCAAAGAGGGTGTTTCTGCATGTGGGTAGCTTCAACAAAGGAGGAGGACCATGGGAGAAGTAGGAAAACATAACTTAGCTTATAGGGTCTTTGACTCAAAACAGAATTCTTATACACAAAGCTTGGGGAACCACAAATTTGTTAGGCTCTGTTCCATGGGCAAGGTATCAACCTTGCGCTACCTCAGTTTTCTTTTCTTTTTTTTTTTTAAATGGAGTCTCGCTCTGTCACCCAGGCTGGAGTGCCCTGGCGCAATCTTGGCTCACTGCAACCTCCGCCTCCCGGGTTCAAGTGATTCTCCTGCCTCAGCCTCCCAGGTCGCTGGGGCTACTGGTGTGTGCCACTATGCCCAGCTTATTTTTTGTATTTTTAGTAGAGACAGGGTTTCATCATGTTAGCCAGGATGGTCTCGATCTCCTGACCTCGTGATGTACCCGCCTCGGCCTCTCAAAGTGCTAGGATTACGGTGTGAGCCACTGCATTTGGCCACTACCTTGGGTTTCTTAATGATAGGGCACCACAGGCTTGGTAGCTCATACCTATAATCCCAGCATTTAGGGAGGCCAGGGTGGGAGGATCACTTGAGTCCAGGAGTTTGAGATCAGCCTGGGTGACGTGGAGAGACCCTCCCCGCCACTGCTCTACAAAAAATTAAAATAAAAATTAGCCACCATAGGGACCGGGCATAGTGGCTCACGCCTGTAATCTTAGCACTTTGGGAGGCTGAGGTGGGCAGATCACTTGATGTCAGGAGTTTGAGACCAGCCTGGCCAACATGGAGAAACCCCATCTCTACTAAAAAATGCAAAAATTAGCCAGGCATGGTGACGAGCGCCTGTAATCTCAGCTACTCAGGAGGCTGAGACATGAGAATCGCCTGAACCCGGGGTGGGGGGTGCAGGGCTGAGGTTGCAGTGAGCAGAGATCACACCATTGCACTTCAGCCTGCACAAAAGAATGAGACATTGTCTCAAAAAAAAAAAAAAAAAAAAAAAAAACCAAAAAATTAGCCACCATACAGCGTATCCTCTGCTTTGATGGTATGATCGTTGTATAAACATGCTGGTATGATTATTATGGATCTTTGGGGTACATGAGGGTGCACTTAGAAGCCTTCCCTGTATTGTAGAAATTGCGACCACGGTGAAATTAGGTTATCATTAACTCTAGTTCATATTTGCCTAGTGACCTGAGGAAATAGGTTGAAGAAAAATGTAGAACTTCCTGTGTCTTAACTAAAATTAACAATTTTAACTTTTAAAAGTTTAAATGGTTACCATACACGCTTTAGAAATGGTGTACCTGCAGAGAGCATGTCTGTGATTCAGTATTTTTTCTATGTGTACACCTATGTAATAAATATATCAAGATAAAGAATATAGGTTGGCACAGTGGCCCATAGCCATGATCCCAGCACTTTGGAAGGCCGAGGTGGGAGAATCACTTGAGGCCAGGAGTTCAGGACCAGCTTGAGCTATGTAGTGAGACTCTGTCTCAACAAAAAACTTAATTCTAATTAGCCTGGCCAGGCGCTGTGGCTCACACCTGTAATCCCAGCACTTTGGGAGGCCGAGGTGGAAGGATCACGAGGTCAGGAGTTTGAGCCCAGCCTGGCCAACATGGTAAAACCCCATTCTCTACTAAAAATACAAAAAAATTAGCTGGGTGTGGTGGTGGGCGCCTGTAATCCTAGCTACTCGGGAGGCTGAGGCAGGAGAATTGCTTGAACCCAGGAGGCAGAGGTTGCAGTGAGCCCAGATCGGGCCACTGCACTCCAGACTGGGTGACAGAGCAAGACTCTGTCTCTGAAAGAAAAAAAGAATTAGCCTGGTGTGGTGGTGTATACCTGTAATCCCAGTTATGTAGGAGGCTCAGGCTAGAGAATTGCTTGAGCTCAGGAGTCTGAGGGTTACAGTGAGCTGTGGTTGTACCACAACAGCACTTCAACCTGGGTGACAGGGAGACCTCATCTTAAAAAAAAACAAAAAAGACTATAGATAGAACAATTTTCCGGATGTTCCCTCATCTCCTTCATGGTCGTTTCTACTACTGATCTCATCTGTATCCTTTAAAAGGATTTTGACTTTGAATTTCTTTCTTTCTTTTTTTTTTTGAGACGGAGTCTCCCTCTGTCACCCAGGCTGGAGTGCAGTGGCGTGATCTCGGCTCACTGCAACCTCTGCCTCCTGGGTTCAAGTGATTCTCCTGCCTCAGCCTCCCGAGTAGCTGGGATTACAGGCATGCGCCGCCATGCCCAGCTAATTTTCGTATTTTTAGTAGAGATGGGGTTTCACCATGTTGGCCAGGCTGGCCTTGAACTCCTGACCTCAGGTGATCTGCCAGCCTCAGCCTCCCAAAGTGCTGGGATTTCAGGCGTGAGCCACCACGCCAGGCCCTCTCTTTGAATTTCATAGAACAAGAATTTTTGTGCTAGGGCTCTTTGGCTCAACATTATATTTGAGATGCATCTGTGTTGTTGTCCTAGCAGTGGATCATTTTTTTTTTCATGGCATGTAAACTTACTGTTGTGTTAATATTCCACAATTCATCTCACCATTCTAATGGACATTTGGATTGTTTTATGGCTGCTATGAGTCAACTGATGTGTCTATTCCTTTCTGTACATGTGTTTTGGTGGACATGAGCACTCAGTTGGTCATATGGCTGGGGGTAGAATTGCTGGGTGTACTTCGATTTGACTTTAGTGGGTACTGCCTGATAGTTTTCCTAAATGGTACTGTTATATGCTAATTTTTAGAAATTAACATGTAGCAAAATTGATACTAATTAAAAAAATTTTTTGAAACAGACTCTGACTCTGTTGCCTTGGCTGGAATGCAGTGTTATGACAATGGCTCATTGTAGCCTCAGCCTGTCCTGCTCAAGCAGTGCTCCCACCTCAGCCTCCCAGGTAGCTGGGACTACAGGTGTGCACCACCATGCCTGGCTAATTAAAAAACAAAAATTTAAGGCCAGGTGCGGTGGCTCACGCCTGTTATCCCAGCACTTTGGGAGGCTGAGGCGGGCGGATTATGAGGTCAGGAGTTTGAGACCAGCCTGACCAACATGGTGAAATCGTGTCTCTACTAAAAATACAAAAATTAGCGGGGTGTGGTAGCAGGCGCCTGTAATCATAGCTACTCGGGAGGCTGAGGCAGGAGAATTGCTTGAACCCAGGAAGCAGAGGTTGCAGTGAGCCGAGATTGTGCCACTGCACTCCAGCCTGGGGGACAGAGCAAGACTCCGCCTCAAAAAAAAAAAATTTTTTTTTTTTTGTAAAGATGGGGTCCCACTGTGTTTCCCAAGCTGATCTCAAACTCCTGGGCTCAAGCAGTCCTCCTACCTTGGCCTCCCAAAGTTTTGGGATTACAGGTGTAGGCTACTGTCCCAGCCAAAATTGAATGTTTAAAATGTGCATTTTGCATTTGAATTTTAACAACTGTAGATTCATATATCTACTACCACAATCAGGATACAGAACAGTTTAATTGTTCACAAAAACTCCCTCATGTTATAGTTACACTCTCCCCAACTCCTAAAGTCTTGGCAGCCATTACTGTGTTGCTTGGTATGATTTTATCTTTTGGATAAGTCCTGTAAATGGACTCATACAGTCCATTTATGACTGTGTAGTCTTTTCAGGAAGGTTTATTTCACTCAGCATAATGACTTTGAGATTCATCCAAGTTGTTGCATGTATCAGTAGCTTGTTCTTTTTTACTGCTGTGTAGTATTCTGTTGTATAAATGTACCACAGTTTGTCCATTTTTCCATTGGTGGACATTGGGGTTGTTTTGAGGTTTTGGTGATTATAAATAGAGTTGCCATAAACATGTCTATACAGGATTTTTGTGTGAAAGTAAATTTCAATTTTCTAGGTAAATACCAAGGAGTAGGAGCTGGTCATATGGTAACATTATGTGAAACCGCTGAACTGTTATCCAGAGTGGATAATACCATTTTGCCTACTCACGCAATGTCTGAGAGTTCTGGTTGCTCTGCATCCTTGCTAGCACTTGAGATTTTCAGTGGTTTTTGTTTACACTATTATTATTAATATTTTTTTAGTAGAGATGGGGTTTTGCCATGTTGCCCAAGCTGGTCTCAAACTCCTGAGCTCAGGCAGTCTACTGGTCTGGCCTCCCGAAGTGCTAGGATTACAGGTATAAGCCCTGGCCTAAACTGTTTTTTAAAAAACCCTTTTTGTGGGCTGGGCGTGGTGGCTCACGCCTGTAATTCCAGCACGTTGGGAGGCCGAGGCAGGCGGATCACTGGAGGTCAGGAGTTTGAGACCAGCCTGGCCAAGGTGGTGAAACCCCGTCTCTACTAAAAATACAAAAAGTAGCTGGTTGCGGTGGCACACACCTGTAATTCCAGCTACTCGGGAGGTTGAGTTGAGGCAAGAGACTTGCTTGAACCTGGGAGGTGAAGGTTGCTATGAGCCAAGATCACACTACTGCACTCCAGCCTGGGCAACAAGAGCGAGATTCTTGTCTCAAAAAATAATAATAACAATAATAATAATAATTCTTTTTGTGGAAATGGGGTCTCACTATGTTGCCCAGGCTGGTGTCTATCTCCAGGGCTCCAGCGATCCTCCCACCTTGGCTTCCCAGTGTTAGGATTACAGGCGTGAGCCACCGCACCCAGCCTAAAACTAGACAGACAGTTTATAATTCCTGACCTTAGTATGTGTGTGTGTGTGTCTGTGTGTGTGTGTGTGTGTGTATGTATTTTTTTTTTTTGGAAGTGGAGTCTCACCCTTTCGCCCAGGCTGGAGTGCAGTGGCGCGATCTTGGCTCCCTGCAACGTCTGCCTCCTTGGTTCAAGCAATTCTCCTGCCTCAGCCTCCCCAGTAGCTAGGATTACAGATGTGCGTCACCACACCTGGCTAATTTTGTAGTTTCAGTAGAGATGGGATTTCACCATGTTGGCCAGGCTGGTCTCGAACTCTTGAACTTAAGTGATCTGCCCACCTTGGCCTCCCAAAGTGCTGGGGTTGCAGGCGTGAGCCACTGAGCCTGGCCTCTTAATATTTTAATAAATAGGTCTGTAGTGGTATCATAGTTTTAATTTGCATCTCCCTGGTGCCTAATAATATTAAACATGTTTCCTGTGTTTATTTGCCATTCCTGTATCCTCTTGGGAGCAGTGTTTTATCAAGACTTTGCCTATTTTTTTTTTTTTTTTTTGAGACAAAGTCTTGCTCTTGTCCCCAGGCTGGAGTGCAGTGGCACGATCTCGGCTCACTGCTACCTCTGCCTCCTGGGTTCAAGTGATTCTCCTGCCTCAGCCTCCCGAGTAGCTGGGATTACAGGCGCCTTCCACCATGCCTGACTAATTTGGTATTTTTAGTAGAGATGGGGCTTCACCATGTTGGCCAGACTGGTCTTGAACTCCTGACCTCAGATTATCCGCCCGCCTCGGCCTCCCAAAGTACTGGGATTTCAGGGGTGAGCCACCATGCCCGGCCTACTTTGCCTATTTTTTGAAAGTTCTCCATGATTCTGAATTCAAATCCTTTGTCATATATAATTTGCCAACATTTTCTTCAACTGTGTAGCTTATCTTTTTGTTGAGACAGTGTCTCATTCCGTCACCCAGGCTGGAGTGTGGTGGCATGATCTCGGCTCACTGCAGCCTCCGCCTCCCAGATTCAAGTGATTCTCATGCCTCAGCCTTCTGAGTAGCTGGAGTTATAGGGATGTGCCACCGCGCCTGGCTAATTTTTGTATTTTTAGTAGAGATGGGGTTTCACCATATTGGCCATGCTGGTCTTGAACTTCTGACCTCAAGTGATCTACCGGCCTCAGCCTCCCAAAGTGCTGGGATTATAGGTGTGAGCCACCGGACCCAACCTGTTAACTGGTTTTTTGCAGAGAAAAAAAAATGTGAATGAAGTTCCGTTTACCAATTTTTTCTTTTGTGGATCATGGTTTTGGTGTCATTTCTAACATCTCTGTTTTAGCTCAAGGTTATGAAGATTTTTTTCCTTCTATGTTTTCTTCTAAAAACTTTTTAGTTTACTTTTTTGTTTTTTTTGTTTGTTTGTTTTTGGTCAGACAGAGTCTCATTCTGTCGCCCAGGCTGGAGTGTAGTGGTGTGATCTCGACTCACTGCAACCTCCGCCTCCCGGTTTAGGTGATTCTTGTGCCTCAGCCTCCTGAGTAGCTGGAATTAACAGGCGTGTGCCATCATGCCTGGCTAATTTTTGTATATTTAGTAGAGATGGTGTTTCACCATGTTGGCCATGCTCGTCTTGAACTCCTGACCTTAAGTGATGGGCCCACCTCAGCCTCCCAAAGTGCTGGGATACAGGTGTGAGCCACTGCACCCAGGCTGTAAACCGGTTTTTTGCAGAGGAAAAAATATTAATGTGAATGAAGTTCAGTTTATCAATTTTTTTCTGTGTGGATCATGGTTTTGGTGTCATTTCTAAGATCTCCATTTTAGCTCCAGGTTATGACGATTTTTTTCCCTCTATGTTTTCTTTTTTTCTTTTTTTTTTTTTTTTTTTGAGACGGAGTCTCGCTCTGTCGCCCAGGCTGGAGTGCAGTGGCGGGATCTCGGCTCACTGCAAGCTCCGCCTCCCGGGTTCACGCCATTCTCCTGCCTCAGCCTCCCAAGTAGCTGGGACTACAGGCGCCCGCCACTACGCTCGGCTAATTTTTTGTATTTTTAGTAGAGACGGGGTTTCACCGTTTTAGCCAGGATGGTCTCGATCTCCTGACCTCGTGATCCGCCCGCCTCAGCCTCCCAAAGTGCTGGGATTACAGGCGTGAGCCACCGCGCCCGGCCCCCTCTGTTTTCTTCTAAAAATTTTATAGTTTTACTTTTTTGTTTTCTTTGAGATGGAGTCTCACTCTGTCTCCCAGGCTGGGGTGCAGTGACACCATCTCGGCTCACTGCAACCTCTGCCTCCTGAGTTCAAGTGATTTTTCTGCCTCACCCTCCCAAGTAGCTGGGACTACAGGCATGCACCACTGCACCTGGCTAATTTTTTGTATTTTTAGTAAAGATGGGATTTCACCATATTGGCCAGGCTGATCTCGAACTCCTGACCTCGTGATCTGCCCTCCTTGGCTTCCCAAAGTGCGGGGATTACAGGCATGAGCCACCGCACCTGGCTTTTTTTTTTTTTTTTAATTTTAATTTTTGAGACAGAGTGTCGCTCTGTGGCCCAAGCTGAAGTTTAGTGCCATGATTTCTGCTCACTGCAACCTCTGCCACCTGAGTTCATGTGATTCTTGTGCCTCAGCCTCACAGGTTGCTGAGACTGTGGTGGTGCCAGGTGTGCACCACCACTCCTGGCTAATTTTTGTACTTTTAGTAGAGACGGGGTTTCGTCACGTTGGCCAGGCTGATCTCGAACTCCTGGCCTCTAGTCATCTACCTGCCTTGGCCTCTCAAAGTGCTGGTATTACAGGCGTGAGCCACCACACCCAGCCTAGACTGTTTAAGTCGTAGGTGACATTATTGATTTTGGATATTGAACCAGCTTTACATTCCTAGAATGAACCCCTCTTGGTCGTTTGTTTGTTTGTTTGTTTATTTTTGAGGCAGAGTTTCGCTCTTGGTGCCCAGGCTGCAGTGTAATGGCACGATCTTGGCTCACTGCAACCTCTGCCTCCCGGGTTCAAGCGATTCTCCTGCCCCAGCCTCCCGAGTAGCTGGGATTACAGGCATAAGCCACCACACCCAGCTAATTTTGTATTTTTAGTACAGACGGGGTTTCTCCATGTTGGTCAGGCTGGTCTTGAACTCCCAACCTGAGGTGATCTGCCCACCTCGGCCTCCCAAAGTGCTGGGATTACAGGCATGAGCCACCACGCCTGTTGGTTGTTTTTTTTGTTTTTGTTTTTTCAATTTATATTTTTATTTATTTATTTATTTATTTATTTATTTATTTATTTATTTATTTAGAGATGAGTCTTGCTCTGTCTCCCAGGCTGGAGTGCAGTGGCGCCATCTCGGCTCACTGCAAGCTCTGCCTCCCGGGTTCACGCCATTCTCCTGCCTCAGCCTCCCAAGTAGCTGGGACTGCAGGCGTCCGCCACCACACCTGGGTAATTTTTTATATTTTTAGTAGAGATGGGGTTTCACCATGTTAGCCAGGATGGTCTTGATCTCTTGACCTCGTGATCCGCCTGCCTTGGCCTCCTAAAGTGCTGGGATCACAGGTGTAAGCCCTGCCTGGTCATTTATTTTTTAATTGCTAGACTTAAATTCACTAAATTTTATTAAGCATTATTGGTCTGTTTTCATGAGGGATGTTTGTCACTAGCTTTCTTAAATTGTTTTTGCCTGATTTTGGTTTTACAGGTTGAATATCCCTTATCTCAAATGTTTGGAACCAGAAGTCTTTTGGATTTCAGATAATTTCACATTTGGGAATATTTGCATTATGCTGATTTAGCACACCAAATCTGAAAATCTGAAATCAGAAATGTTCCAGTGAATTTTTCCATTGAGTGTCATGTCAGTGCTGAAAAAGTTTCAGATTTTGAAGCATTTCAGATTTTGGATTTTTGCATTTGGAATGCTTAATCTGTAGTATTAATGCTGGCTTCATTAAAGTAAGATGGGAATTATTTCTTTCTCTATGTTAGTATCTGATTTTCAAGGAATTGGTTCATTTCATCTAAGTATTTGAATTTATGTGTATAGAGTTGTCTGCAGTATTGCTTTATTATCCTTTTAATGTCTGTGGGAGTCTGTAGTGATGTCTGCCCTTTCATTCCTGATATTAGTAACTTGTTTTTACCTTTTATTCTTCCTTGCCAGTCTTAATAGAGGTTTCATCATTTTTTAAACCTTTTTGAAGAACCAGCTGTTGGTTTTACTGATTTTTCTCTGTTTTTCCGTTTTCAGTGTGTTTGATTTTTTTTTTTAAACACTTTGCCTTATTATTTGCTTTGGGTTTGTTTTTTATTTTTATTTTTATGTTTTATTTTATTTTAAGAGGCAGGGTCTTGTACGGTCTCCTAGTCTGGAGTGCTGTGGCTTGATCATAGCTCACTGTAACCTTGAACTCCTGGACTCAAGGGATCCTTCCACCTCAGCCTCCTGAGCGGCTGGGACTACAGGTGCAAGCCATCATGTCTGGGTAAATTTTTTTTTTTTTTTTTTTTCGAGACAGAGTCTTGCTCTGTCGCCCAGCCTGGAGTGCAGTGGCTGGATCTCGGCTCACTGCAAGCTCCGCCTCCTGGGTTTACGCCATTCTCCTGCCTCAGCCTCCGGAGTAGCTGGGACTACAGGTGCCCACCACCACGCCCGACTAATTTTTTGTATTTTTAGTAGAGACGGGGTTTCATCGTGTTAGCTAGGATGATCTCGACCTCCTGACCTCATGATCCGCCCGCCTCGGCCTCCCAAAGTGCTGGGATTACAGGCGTGAGCCACCGCGCCCGGCTGATTTTTTTTTGGTATTTTTTGTAGAGACGGGGTTTTGCCATGTTGCTCACGCTGGTGTTTAACTCCTGAGTTTAAGCAATCTGCCCACCTCTGCCTCCCAAAGTGCTGGGATTATAGGCGTGAGCCACCGTGCCTGGGCTTTTCTAATGTGAATATTTAATGCTATAAACGTCTCTCTGAGCCATACTTAAGCTGTATCCCACAAATTTTGGTATGTTGAACTTTCTTTTCTTTTCTTTTTTTTTGAGACGGAGTCTCGCTCTGTCCCCATGCTGGAGTGCAGTGACACGATTTCTGCTCACTGCAAGCTCCGCCTCCTGGGTTCATGCCATTCTCCTGCCTCAGCCTCCTGAGTAGCTGGGACTACAGGCGCCCACCACCATTCCTGGCTAATTTTTTGTATTTTTAGTAGAGACGGGGTTTCACCGTGTTAGCCAGGATGGTCTTGATCTCATGACCTCGGGATCCGCCTGCCTTGGCCTCCCAGAGTGCTGGGATTACAGGTGTGAGCCACCGCGCCCGGCCACAGAACTTTCTTTTTTTTTTTTTTTTTTTTGAGACAGTCTTGTTCCATCGTCCAGGCTGGAGTGCAGTGGTGCAGTCTTGGCTCACTGCAACCTCTGCCTCCCAGCCTCAAGCAATTCTCTTGCCTCAGTCTCTTAAGTAGCTGGGATTACAGGCGCCCGCCACCATGCTCAGTTAATTTTTTGTATTTTAGTGGAGTCAGGGTTTTGCCATGTTGGTCAGGCTGTTGTCAAACTCCTGATCTCAAGTGATCCACCGGCCTCGGTCTCCCAGCGTGCTGGGATTACGGGCTTGAGCCACTGTGCCTGGCCGAAGTTTCATTTTCATTCAGTTTAAAACACTTTCTAGCTGGGTATGGTGTTGTATGCTGTAGCTCCAGCTACTCAGTAGGCTGAGGCAGGAGGACCACTTGAGCTCAGGGGTTCCAGGCTGTAATGCGCGATGATAGGACCTGTGAATAGCCAGCCATTGCACTCAAGCTAGGTCCACATAGCAAGATCCCGTCTCTAAAATAATTAAGTAAAGTTCTAATTTCCCTTCTTTTTGTTTTTTTTTTTTTTTTTGAGGCGGAGTCTCACACTGTCGCCAGGTTAGAGTGCAGTGGTGCGATTTCGGCTCACCGCAACCTCTGCCTCCCGGGTTCAAGAGATTCTCCTGCCTCAGCCCCCTGAGTAGCTGGGACTACAGGCGCGCACCACCATGCCTGGCTAATTTTTGTATTTTTAGTAGAGATGGGGTTTCCCCATGTTGGCCAGGTTGGTCTCCATCTCTTTACCTCGTGATCTGCCCGCCTTGGCCTTCCAAAGTGCTGGGATTACAGGCGTGACTTCTCCTTTGACTTACAGTTTATTTAGAAGTTGGTATGGTTTGGCTATGTTCCCACCCAAATCTTGTCTTGAATTGTGGCTCCCACAATTCTCGTGTGTTGTGGGAGGGACCTGGTGGCAGGTAATTGAATCATGCATGTAGGTCTTTCCCGTGCTGTTCTCCGTGATGGTAAATAAGTCTCACGAGATCTGATGGTTCTGTGAGTGGGAGTTTCCCTGGGCAAGCTCTCTCTTTTTGCCTGCCACCATCCATGTAAGACCTGACTTGTTCCTCTTTGCCTTCCACCGTGATTGTGAGGCCTCCCCAGGCATGTGGAACTCTTTTTAAACTTTTTTTTCCCAGTCTTGGGTATGTCTTCATCAGCAGTGTGAAAATGGATTAATACAGAAGTGTGCTGTTTAATTCTGTTATCTCTCCCTTTTATTTATTTATTTTTTTGAGACTAGGTCTTACTCTGTCACCCAGGCTGGAGTGCAGTGGCACGATCTCGGCTCACTGCAACCTCTGCCTCCCGGGTTCAAGTGGTTCTCCTGCCTCAGCCTCCCTAGTAGCTGGGATTACAGGTGCCCACCACTGTGCCCAGCTAAGTTTTGTATTTTTAGTAGAGACGGGATTTCACCACGTTGGCCAGGCTGGTCTTGAACTCCTGACCTCGTGATCCACCCCGCTCAGCCTCCCAAAGTGCTGGGATTACAGTCTTGAAACCACCGTGTCCGGCCACCTGTATCTCTCTATTACTGAATTTTTGTCTGATTTTTACCATTGTTAACATCAGAGATCATTCTTTTTATGATTTTAAGTTTTTCAAAAAATTTAAGGTTTTATGGTCTGTTTTGGTAAATGTTACATATGAACTTAAAAATGTATGTACTACTATTATTGGATGGTTTCTGAATGTCAATTAGATCCAGTTGGCTGATAGTTTTTTTTTGGTTGATGGTTTTGTTCGCTTCTGTATTCTTGCTGAGTTTTTGTCTACTAGTTCTTTTGATTGCTGAAAGAGGAATGTTGAAGTCTCTGCCTAAAATTGTAGATTTGTTCACTTTTCCTTACAGTTTATTTAGCTTTTGCTTCATGTATGTTTGAAGCTGTGTTTGATGCATATACATTTAGGATTGTTAGGTCTTGGTGAATTGACCCTTTGTCATTTAAGCTGTATCCCTCATCCTTGGTAGTTTGCTTGTCTCTAAAGTCGCTTTTGTCTGATACTACTAATATAGCCTCTCCAGCTTTCTGCTAATTAATATTGGCATGTTATATTTTTTCTATCTTTTTGCTTTAAACCTATCTATATTATTTGAAATGAATTTCCTGTAGATAGCTGCCTGATTATTCTTCATTAATTGTGCTTATTCATATTTTCATTTTTAATTGTAATGTGTATGTGAAATATACTTATTGGAGACCTTTTTTCCTGGCCTAATAACTAATTTAATATTTATTTGGTGCTATTATAGGATGCTGCTTTGCATTGTATTTGATAAAGTTCTCTTTACTAGACTTTTTGACCTTGTAGGCTTTGTAAACTGATTTGCTAGATTACATGAACATGGTGACACAAGCCATCTTCATTTTAGAGTTTGACCAGTATGAGTTCAAATCATAGGCCTCTATATGTCATGGGCCTGTATAACATTTATTTTGTTTTTACTATGGAAGTAAGTTTTAGCTGGGCTCTATGGCTCACACCTGTAATCCCAATAATTTGGGAGGCTAGAGGTAAATATATAAATCCCAGAACCATCTAAAAATCTATAACTTGGTGACCAAATTCTAGATAATATTGGGGTCCAACCGATTTTGAAAACTTATTATATTTTAATGGAATTAACAGCTGGGTGCAGTGGTTTACAACCATAATCCTAACACTTTGGGAGGCCAAGGCAGGAGGATCCCTTGAGCCCGGGATTTTGAGACCAGCCTGGGCAACATAGTGAAACACTGTTTTTTGTTTGTTTGTTTTTTGTTTTTGAGACAGAGTCTCGCTCTGTCACTCAGGCTGGAGTGCAGTGGCGCAATCTCGGCTCGCCGCAAGCTCTGCCTCCCGGGCTCACGCCGTTCTCCTGCCTCAGCCTCCGGAGTAGCTGGGACTACAGGCGCCCACCACCACACCCAGAGAATTTTTTGTATTTTTAGTAGAGACGGGGTTTCACCGTGTTAGCCGGGTGGTCTCGATCTCCTGACCTTGTGATCCACCTGCCTCGGCCTCCCAAAGTGCTGGGATTACAAGCGTGAGAGACACTGTTTTTTTTTTTTTGAGATGGAATTTTGCTTTTGTTGCCCAGGCTGGAGTGCCATGGCCTGATCTCGGCTCCCTGAACCTCCAGGTTCAGGCGATTCCCCTGTCTCAGCCTCCCGAGTAGCTGGGATTACAGGCATGTGCCACCACGCCTGGATAATTTTGTATGTTTAGTAGAGGTAGGGTTTCACCATGTTGGTCGGGCTGGTCTTGAACGCCTGATCTCAGGTGATCCGTCCGCCTTGGCCTCCCAAAGTGCTGGGATTACAGGCATGAGCCACTGTGCCCGGCCAGTGAGATACTGTCCTTTTTTTGTTGTTGTTGATGGCGTCTCGCTCTGTTGCCAGGCTGGAGTGCAGTGACGCGATCTCGGCTCGCTGCAACCTCCACCTCCCGGGTTCAAGCAATTCCCCTGCCTCAGCCTTCCGAGTAGCTGGGACTACAGGTACGCACCACCAAACCTGGCTAATTTTTTGTATTTTAGTAGAGATGGGGTTTCACCATGTTGGCCAGGATGGTCTTGATCTCCTGACCTCATGATCTGCCTGCCTTGGCCTCCCAAAGTGCTGGGATTACAGGCGTGAGCCACCACGCCCGGCTGAGATACTGTCTTTACAAAATAAAAGAAGGGAGTCAGGTGTGGTAGTGTGCACCCACAGTTCTAGCTACTCAGGAGGCTGATGTGGGGGGATCACTTGAGCCCGGGAGGTCGAGACTGCAGTGAGCTGTGATCATGCCACAGCACTCCCGCCTGAGTGACAGAACAAGACCCTGTCTCAAAAAAGGAAATGTTTTAATTTCTAAACTACCTTGGAGTAATTCCAATAATGTTTGTGGGACAGAATTACTGCTTGTTGTTTTCTTGAGGAAATTGACTTTTTCCCTTACGTAAGTTAATAGAGGGTGATGTCAAGTAAAGAACATTGTTCTCTTGAATATTTTGAGCACCATGTTAGATAGAGCTTGAAACTGAATGAGAGGTTGTAGAATCTAATTCTTATGGCACAGGATTTTTAAAAATAAACTTTTTATTTTAGAATAATTTTAGATTTACAGAAAAGTCACCAAGATAGTACACTGGTCCCCCATTACCTGCAGGGGATCCATCCCAAGACCCCTACTGGATGCCTGAAATTGCAGATAATACTCAACCCTAAAATATACTATGTTTTTCCTATATATAGTACCTTTACCATAGGTAAAGCTTAATTTGTAAATTAGGCACAGTGAGAGATTAACAACAATAACAGTAATAGGACAATTATCACAATACATTGTAATAAAAGTTATGTGAATGTGGTATCTCTCTCTCAGAATATCTTATTATACTGTGCTCACCTGTTTTTGAACCACAGTTGATCACAGGTAACTCAAACCACTGAGAAGTGCAGCTGTGGATGAGGGCGATGAGGGCATACTATTGAGCCTGGAGTTTGTGCATTCTCTTCAGCCAGCTCTCCCTAATATGGATATTCTAGCGAACCTTGGTATATTTGTCAAAACTAAGAAATTAGCATTGGTACAACATTATTAACTACAGATTATTTGGATTTTTAAAATGTCCTGTTTCTGTTCCAGGATCTAATCCAGTACACCACAGTGCATTTAGCAGCCCAGAATTTTCATTCTTTTTAGTTTTCTCACCTATGAAATGGTGAAGCTTTTTATTTTCTTCAAAGGATTCCTGAGAAGCTAATTAATATTCAGATTTATAGTATGGTAGTAATTTCATGCTCATGCTAAAATTCAGTAAAATGGTTAACTTTTGGCTGGGCACGGTGGCTCACGCCTGTAATCTCAGCACTTTGGGAGGCTGGGATGGACGGATCATGAGGTCAGGAGATCAAGACCATCCTGGCTAACATGGTGAAACACTGTCTCTACTAAAAATACAAAAAATTAGCCAGGTGTGGTGGTGCACGCCTGTAGTCCCAGCTACTCGGGAGGCTGAGGCAGAAGAATCGCTTGAACCCAGGAGGCAGAAGTTGCAGTGAGCCAAGAACGTGCCACTGCACTCCAGCCTGGGTGACAGAGTGAGACTCCGTCTCAAAAAAAAAAAAAGTTAACCATTTAATAGTGTACTACAAGGCTGGGCGCTATGGCTCATGCCTGTAATCCCAGCACTTTGGGAGGCCGAGGTGGGTGGATCAGTTGAGGCCAGGAGTTCAAGACCAGTCTGGCCAACACGGTGAAACCCCGTCTCTACTAAAATATGAAAGTTAGCTGAGTGTGGTGGCGCATGCCTGTAATCTTAGCTACTGGGAAGGCTGAAGCAGGAGAATCGCTTGAACCGGGGAGGAGGTTGCAGTGAGCCTAGATCGTGCTACTGTATTTCATCGTGTTTGACAGAGCGAGACTGCATCTCAAATGAAAAAAAAAAAAAAGGAAAGAAAAAAATAGTGTACTACAATCTAATTACTTTTCCTAAAAATACTTGGTAATTATTTCACTTAGGTGAAAGTAGCCCACCAAGGCAAACATTGTCTACGAGTTACTAGTTAGAGTACAGTCCCTATTGCCCAGGCTGGAGTGCAATTCCGCCGTCATAGCTCACTGCAGCCTCCAACTCCTAGGCTCAAGAGATCCTCCCACGTCAGGCTTTCAAGTACCTGGGACTACAGGCACGGGCCACCACACCCAGCTAATCAAAATTTTTCTGGGGGGGATGAGATCTTGTATGTTGCCTAGACTGGTCTCAAACTGTTGGCCTCAAGCAATCCTCCTGCCTTAGCCTCCTGGGTATTTGGGATGACTGGGATCACAGGCGGGAGCCACTGTACCTAGCTGTTTCTGTCTTTAAAAGCACACAAAATCAGGCTGGGTGCAGTGGCTCACGCCTGTAATCCCAGCACTTCGTGAGGCCGAGGTGGACAGATCACTTGAGGGCAGAGGTTCGAGACCAGCCTGGCCAACATGGTGAAACCCCGTCTCTACTAAAAATACAAAAGTTAGCTGTTCATGGTGGCATGTACCTGTAATTCCAGCTACTCAGGAGGCTAAGGCAGGAGAATTGCTTGAACCCAGAGGGTGGAAGTTGCATGAACTGTGATCGTGCCACTGCACTCCAGCCTGGGTGACACAGTGAGACTCCATCTCAAACAAAAACAGAAACAAGAACAGCATAGGAAGACGGCTATAGCTATTGTTAATATTTTTCCTTCCTTTAAAAGAATAATGGGAGGGTTTGGATCAATGATTTCAATTAAATACCGCTGCACAAACTGAATTGAACTGTTCTTTGTGTGTTTGTACATTTACAGATGTCCACACCTGTATTCCACTGGGAATGCTAAGATGGTCAAATCATAGATGCATAGAACTTCAGAACTGGAGGGGACAACGACAGAGCCCCTGTTTATTGCCAAGACAGTATTTGTTAGCTGAGGAAACTGAGGCCCGAAGACTTGAGTTTGAAAAATTCCTCTAATTGTTGTAGTCGGTGTCCCCTCACATACCTTTCAATTTCTGTGGCTTTTGTCACTTCTCAGTACCAACTGAGATAAAGAAACCACCTTGCTATTCTTTTTAAATTTTTATTTATTTCAGAGACAGGGTCTTGCTCTGTCACCCAGTCTGGAGTGTAGTGGCACAATTATAGCTCATTGTCAACTTGACTTCCTGGGCTCAAGCAATCCTCCCACCTTGGTCTCCCAAAGTGCTGGGATTACAGGCGTGAGCCACTTTGCCCAGCCCTGTCCTGCTAGTCTGGTCTTCCTTACTCTCGCCGTAGTCTACTGCATTTTCTCTTCTCTGTGAACACACTCTGCTGCTTCCTCCTCCCTCTGGATGTCTTCCACCTGCCTTTGTACGTGAGCACCAGGACGTCTTGAGCTTTCTTTGACGGCCCCTCTCTTGTTCCTGCCAGACTCCGGCTGCACGGACAGCTGAGCGTCCTTGCCGTTCGCTTCCTTTTGCCTTGCTGTTCCACTGCTGTTGCGGTGCCTGTTGGGTGCTGCGGTGATCCTGACCTGCTTGTGTAGTGCGGCCTGCGTGGCCTGATCGGGCCGGGTTTTTCTTGCCTCTGCGCCTTTGTGCACGCTTTTCTTTTCTTTTCTTTTTTCCTTTTTTTTTTGAGATGGAGTTTCACTCTTGTTGCCCAGGCTGGAGTGCAGTGGTGCGATCTTGGCTCACTGCAAGCTCTGTCTCCCTGGTTCAAGCCTGCCGAGTAGCTGGGATTACAGGTGCCTGCCACCACACCCAGCTAATCTTTTGTATGTTTAGTAGAGATGGGGTTTCGCCATGCTGGCCAGGCTGGTCTCAAACTCCCGACCTCAGGTGATCCACCCGCCTCGGCCTCCCAAAGTGTTGGGATTACAGGTGTGAGCCACCGCGCCTGGCCTGTGCAGGCTTTTCTTTCCAGTGAGTTCTTCTGTCTTTGCCTGATTCGCCCCTTTCTGAGATGGAGACCATGCGCTGTCCCCATGGGAAGCATTTCTTCACCGTCCGAGGCCAGGCTGTACCTTCCCTTCTGAGTTCCTGTGGTGCCTGTCCTGGCTCGGCCACACCACTTAGACTGGATTGGAACATCTAAACTGCGCTGTGGCCTGCTTGGCACATAGTACATAGGCAGAAACATTGCTCAGGGAGCCAGGCCATTTGATGTGAGCTTCTGCATTTCTTCCCTCTTCACCTTTCTTTGGGACGTCTTTTGTCTTTTGATTTGGAAGAAAGCATCTATCCATTTTTCCAAAGTTAACTGCGTGCTCCAGGGGTTGTTAACTGATGGTTTTTAATGAGTCTGTTAATTCATGGAAACTCAGTGCAGAATTTATGTGTAGTACGTTATCTTGAGGCTTCTGCAAAACAGCTTTGTCGTTTCTCTCCTGTGTCTTGAATCTTTCCACTTCTGTTGGGTTATTTTCCTTTGTATTCAGATTGTGTCTTTCTTCCCTTCCTCTTCCTCAGTGTTTTTATTTTTAGTTTTTGTGGAGGCAGGAGCTCACCATGTTTCTCAGGCTGGTCTCGAACTCCTGGGCTCAAGTGATTCACCTCACCTGCCTCAGCCTCCCAAAGTACTGGGATTACAGGCATGAGCTGCTGCACCTGGCTCCCTTTGAGCTTTTGGCACATGACTGTGATATCCACCTTTCTAGAACTTTCTTTGCCTTCCTGTGCATGGCACCATGCCATTGTAGTTCTCCTCCTGACTCTTGCTTTGCTTACTCTCCAGGCTTTGGTGAACTTTTATGTCCTTACAACACCTTGCTGTAGGTTATTCTATGTTGAGTTCTTCCTCTCAAGTTCACACTTAATATGTTAGGCATATATGCTGGTAGAGATTTCTTTTTTCTTTTTTGAACAGGATCTCGCTCTGTTGCCCAGGCTGGAGTGCAGTGGCGCAGTCTCAGTTCACTGCAGCCTCTGCCTTCCGGGTTCCAGGCAGTTCTCCCATGTCAGCCTCCTGAGTAGCTGGGAGTACAGGTGCGTACAACCATGCCCGGCTAATTTTTATATTTTTTGGTAGAGACAGAGTTTCACCATGTTGGCCAGGCTGCTCTCAAACTCCTGCCCTTAAGTGATGGGCCCGCCTTGATCTCCCAAAGTGCTGGGATTACAGGCATGAGCCACCATGCCTGGCTGCTTGTAGAGATTTCTTTTTTTTTTTTTTTTTGAGACCGAGTCTCACTTTGTCGCCCAGGCTGGAGTGCAGTGGCGCAATCTCGGCTCACTGCAACCACTGTCTCCCAGGTTCAGGTGATTCTCCTGCCTCAGCCTGCCGAGTAGCTGGGATTACAGCTGCTTGTCACCATACCTGGCTAATTTTTGTATGTTTAGTACAGACGGGGTTTCACCGTGTTGGCCAGGCTGGTCTCGAACTCCTGATCTCAAGTGATCTGCCTGCCTCGGCCTCCCAAAGTGCTGGGATTACAGGCGTGAGCCACCGTACCCGGCTGAGATTTCTGATGACAGAAACTCAAATGGGTTATCAGTAACCCTCTAACATTGTGGATATTTATTAGAATGTTGTTTGAGGCCTTTTCCCCCCATAGCTGTGGCTTGTGAACTCAACTTGTGTATGTTTAGATCAAACTCTTCTTCCCATATTACAAAATAGTGCTTAGGTATTATTGGTTTGTTTGCTAAGTAACTTATCAAAAGGAGTTTTGTCTAAAGATCTCAGGTCATCTGTATGTGGTTGTGCACTGGACACAGTTTCCACATCTGTCAGGTAAGAAGATTGTGTTAGATAATCTCGAAGGCCTTTTATAACTTTATGATAATTGTAATTGTCACTCTTTCGGTCAAAAGATTTCAGTGACTAGGCCAGGTGTAGTGGTTCATCCCTATAATCGCAGCACTTTGGGAGGTTGAGGCAGGAGGATTGCTTGAGCCCAGGAGCTTGAGACAAGCCTGGGCAACATAGGGAGACCCTCGTCTCTACAAAAAATATAGAAAAAATCAGCTGGCTGCGGTGGTGCGTGCCTGTAGTCCTAGCTACCCAGGAGACTGAGGCAGAAGGATCGCTTGAGCTTCGGAGTTAAACACTGCAGTGAGCTGATGGCACCACTGCACTACAGCATGGTGGCAAAGCGAGACCCTGCCTTTAAGATCATTTAAAATTTCGACGACTGCTCTTCACCCCTTTCAAGAGTCTCAGAAACTCTAGGATGTAAGGAGTGATGATCCCTTAGGCTGTAGGAAAAACACATTACTACTTATATTTCTAAATAAGGCATTGAACTTTACAAAAGTGGCACCCACCCCCCAACTTGATCTGCATTTCCTTTTTTTGTTTTTTTTTTTTTAGACGGAGTCTTGCTCTGTTGCCAGGCTGGAGTGCAATGGTGAGATCTTGGCTCACCGCAACCTCCGCCTCCCGGGTTCAAGCGATTCTCGTGCCTCATCCTTCCCAGTAGCTGGGATTACAGGCGTCCACCACCATGCCCAGCTAATTTTTGTATTTTTAGTAGAGACAGGGTTTCACCTTGTTGGCCAGGATGGTCTGGAACTCCTGACCTCATGATCTGCTCGCCTTGGCCTTCCAAAGTGCTGGGATTACAGGCGTGAGCCACCACACCTGGCGATTTGCATTTCTTTCTTTCTTTTTTTTGTTTTTTTGAGACGGAGTCTTGCTCTCTCGCCCAGGCTGGAGTGCAGTGGTGCAATCTTAGCTCACTGCAACCTCTGCCTCCCAGATTCAAGCGATTATCTTGCCTCAGCCTCCCAAGTAACTGGGATTACAGGCGCCTGCCACCATGCCCAGCTAATTTTTGTATTTTTAGTAGAGATGAGGTTTCACCATGTTGGCCAGGCTGGTCTTGAACTCCTGACCTCGTGATCCGCCTGCCTCTGCCTCCCAAAGTGCTGGGATTACAGGCGTGAGCCACTGCGCCTGGCCTTTGATCTGCATTTCAGTCATGGGTGAGTCTTAATCTGTTCTGAGGCAAGAGAGACACTTCCAATTCAGGAATTTGTATGCATGACACAGCTGTGGAAGCCTTGGCATTTAATGAGCACTCAGTCAGTACATTCTTGAGTTCTGCTAATTTTAATTAAACTGGTCTTCACAAAAACAGAGACTGGGCATGGTGGCTCCCACCTATAATCCCAGTACTTTTGGGAGGCCGAGGTGGGAGGATTGCTTGAGGTCGGGAGTTCAAGACCAATCTGGTCATCTCTACAAAAAAAAACAAAAAAAAAAACCTCCCAAAACCAAAACAAGTAGTCTTCAAAGAAACTCTGGATCAGAGATAATGCTAATAGTGTGTGTGGAACAACAAGGACATTTATGGCAGAACCAACACTTCCACTTTCTGTGCAAGCTCTTCATTGGCCATGTATGAAGTTTAAAAAAATGATCTCAGCAGAACTGGGAATCAACCCTCAAAGATTATTTGAAATCTGGATTTACATCCACTTTTATTAATGACAAGCCATGCCTGAAGTGTTTATCTTGCCTTGAGATGTTAGGGAAGGAAAGTATATAGAGCCTTCACATTCACCAAAATATTTTAAGCATTCATAAGAGAAACATCACCTATAAATTTTCAGCTGTATTTAAAGTCATGCACTACACAATCTAGTATTTTATAAAATTGTATTAAGCTCAGAGAAACTCCTTTTTGAGTTTTCTTACTTTTATTTCTGTATTGCTTAGGGTTCAGATGCAGAAGCAGCTGTAGTTTTCATAGGCAGGCATTTAATACGGAGAATTAGTAGCATATGGCATTTAAAATTATTTATTATATTTGTTTATTTTTTGAGACAGGGTGTTGTCTAGGTGCTGGAGTGCAGTGGCGTGATCATGGCTCACTGCAGCCTCAACCACCCAGGCTCAAGTGATTCTTTCATCTCAGCCTCCTGAGTAGGTGGGACCATAGGCACCTCTACCAACCTGGCTAATTTTTTTTTTATTTTTTGTAGAGACGGGGTCTCACTTTGTTGCCCAGGCTGGTCTCAAACTCCTGGGGTCGAGTAATTCTCCTGCCTTGGCCTCACCAAGTGCTGGGATTACAGGTGTGAGCCACCACCCCTGGCCAGGAGCATGTAACTTTTTGAAAGGTCTAGTGGAAAAGGCTCTTGTCTGGGCTTCCATGAATGACTTCCATCACAAAAGGACAGCATTCAGCTGTGGAGGTGGAGGAGCCAGTCTGCACCTCTGCCACAAGTATCTAATATTGGAGACAAAATAGCCACCTACTATTTGGGAAAAGTATTTTCGAACTTTTTTGTACTGGAAAAAGTGCTATTTTTCCAATAGGGGGTGGGGGAGTGAGCAGAATGGCAGAAATAATACATAGGAAACAATATGGCAACAAAAGAAATATATTATTTTGTCAGCAAATATTTTTGGAGTATTCATAGAATCAATTCCAGGAGATTTGGAAGAGTAAATGGTTAGAATAAATGATGGTGTGGGGGTTTGCTCTGGGATGATGGAAACACTTGTGGTTTTTTTTGTTCTTGTTTTTTATTTTTGAGATAGGGACTCACTCTTGTCGCCCAGGTTGGAGGGCAGTGGCACCATCCGTTGCTCATTGCAGCCTGAACTCCTGGGCTCAAGAGATCATCCTGCCCCAGAGTAGCTGAGACTACAGTCACATGCCACCATGCCTGGTTAATTAAAAAGAAATTGCAGAGCCAGGGGTCTTGCTGTGTTACCCAGGCTGGTCTTGAACTCCTGGCCTCAAGTTATCCTCCCACCATGGCCTCCCAAAGTACTGGGGGAGTATAGGAGTGAGCCACTGCACCTGGCTACGTGGGTATTTTTATAGGTGTTAGCCTGTTTTTTTTTGATAGATTCCAGTTGAGTACTCTTTTGATGAGACGCAAGCTTGTGGATTCTGAAATGATTTCATTAGTAAACAAGGTTTTGTGGGAAAACTGGATATACACAATGATAGAGTAGCCTTTTTTTTTTTTTTTTTTTTTTAAAAGATGCAGTCTCCCTCTGTCGCCAGGCTGGAGTGCAGTGGTGCGATTTCAGTTTACTACATCCTCTGCCTCCCAGGTTCAAGCAATTCTCCTGCTTCAGCCTCCGGAGTAGCTGGGACTACAGGCGTCCACCACCACCCGGCTAATTTTTGTATTTTTAATAGAGACAAGTTTTCACCGTGTTGGCCAGGATGTTCTCGATCTCTGGACTTCGTGATCTACCTGCCTCAGCCTCCCAGAGTGCTGGGATTACAGGCGTGAGCCACCGTGCTCAGCCAGAGTAGCCACTTTGTAATAAAAAAAAAAAATTCATGTAGTCCGTCAGGTAAGAAACAAAGGTAGAAAGAGATTCTTGGGTAGGGCAGGATTGCAGAAAGAGTAACATGAGAAATGGGTTCACCACATGATGCATAGGGAACTGCTTACAGCAACCAGTTGAAGCCAGAAGCACTAATGGGTCAGCCTGAGACCTTTATAGAGTAGTACATCTTCACAATATTTTGTAATGACGGGGGAGTAACTGAAAGTACTTGGCAAGACACAGGGGTTTGCTGGCTATCTTTTGGCAAAGGTAAAAGCATTGCCTATTCTGAAGGTGAATTGAATGTTTTTCTTTTACATAAAGGTAAGTGGTCTAAATTTACAAACCTTTGCTGTAATAAGTGGCTGTCAGTAGAAAGCTATCTAGCAAATCCAGTATTTTTGAGAAAAAGAAACACGTAATCTGTCCCCTCAAGGTAAAGGTGACATTTTAACAATGAGTGGAAAATTGCTTTTTTTTTTTTTTGAGACGGAGTCTCGCTCTGTCGCCCAGACTGGAGTGCAGTGGCACAATCTTGGCTGACTGCAAGCTCTGCCTTCTGGGTTCACGCCATTCTGCTGCCTCAACCTGACGAGTAGCTGGGACTACAGGCGCCCGCCACCTCGCCCGGCTAATTTTTTGTATTTTTAGTAGAGATGGGGTTTCACCGTGTTAGCCAGCATGGTCTCGATCTTCTGACCTCGTGATCTGCCCACCTTGGCCTCCCAAAGTGCTGGGATTATAGGCGTGAGCCACCGCGCCTGGCCAATGGAAAATTGCTTTTTGATAGAAGGTTGCTGTGATGAGCGTTTTGTAAATGGACGTTTAGGCCAGTTGCGGTGGCTCACACCTGTAATCCCAACGCTTTGTGAGGATGAGGCGGACGGATCACTTGAAGTCAGAAGTTTGAGACCAGCCTGGCCAACATGGTGAAACCCTGTCTCTACTAAAAACAAAAATTAGCTGGACGTGGTGGTGTGCGCCTGTAGTCCCCAGCTACTCGGGAGGCTGAGGCAGGAGAATCACTTGAACCTGGGAGGCGAGGTTGCAGTGAGCCAAGATCACACCACTGCATTCCAGCCTGGGGGACAGAGTGAGACTCTGTCTCAAAAAAAGAAAATGGATGTTTAGAATTGTCTCCATTGTGTGTGTGTGTATATTTGCTAAGAATAATGTAAATAGTCATTTTACTGCACACTTAAACTTGGAAATGAAATTTTGCAGCTTGTTTAAAAGCTTCCTTTTGTAACAATAGTGTCTTGAACTTATTAAAAATACAAAAATGTGATACCTTCTGATTACTATGTAAGAACAAGGAACTCTGATGAAGAAGATGTAAATTGACTAGCTGAATTTCTTTTTCTTTTTTTTTTTTTTTGAGACGGAGTCTCGCTCTGTCGCCCAGGCTGGAATGCAGTGGCACAATCTCGGCTCACTGCAAGCTCCGCCTCCCAGGTTCACGCCATTCTCCTGCCTCAGCCTCCCGAGTAGCCGGGACTACAGGCGCCCGCCACCATGCCCGGCTCATTTTTTTTTTTTTTTGTATTTTTAGTAGAGACGGAGTTGCACCTTGTTAGCCAGGATGGTCTCGATCTCCTGACCTCGTGATCCACCCGCCTTTGCCTCCCAAAGTGCTGGGATTACAGGCGTGAGCCACCACGCCCGGCCTGAGCCACCACGCCCGGCCTGACTAGCTGAATTTCAACAGAAACCTTGCATAATTGATTGATGAGATTGAAAACCAGTTTTCATAATTTAGCAAGTGCAGCCAATGATATACTTCTACTTCGCTATATGTATCTTTGAGTGGGACCTTTTTCAGCAAAGACTGCCAGTAAAACTGACTCTCTAAATAATTGAATTTAGAGTACTCCTAAGATCTGGTTTTAACACAAAGTATTCAACCAAGATTTTTAAAATAATGAGGTACAATCATATTGATCTCCATAAGTTTTTTTGTCATGATTTTTGGTGACACAACAAGTTTTGTGTTGTTATTAAAAAGTATGTGAGAAGATGATTTTATTTTCATCTCATTGTATGTTTTTATATTTTGTGTATTTTTTTAATGAACATAAATTACATTCATTAACTGCTGCAGAGTGCCTTCTGCGTTACCAGTAGGAGTTACAGGGTGATCTCAAAAGCCGTGCACCTTGTGCCATGCCCAGATGAACAGGCACGGTTGTGTAGACTCAGGATATGTGTGCTCAGGCCTTACTGGCCAGGTGTCCCTGCCGATGAAGTCTGCTAGTGACTGAACAGGGACTTCTTGGGCACCTCAATCATCTCTCCAGGTGGGTCCCTTCCTCCTTTCTTCCATTACCCTGTGCCTCTGCAGGGGTGTGGCTGTTGCCCTCCAGCACGTCCTGTTTTCCTGTTGGGGTCATGGCTTCTGCCTTCGCCCTTCAGAAGCCTGTTATCTACTACTTCTCGTCTCCATTTCCCACCCCTTCCTCCTGGTTCTGCCTCTGAGAATCCTTCAGAGCTGGCTTGATGCCGCCTTTTCTATTCCACTTACCTTCCAACCACAGCAGCAACTTCTCTAGTGATACTTTACACCTTTGTTTTACCTATACATTGATTATATTTTATGAGATTGGATATTTTAAAAAATATGATGTTAGCTGTGGGCTTGTAAAATTTTTTTTCAAAAAGATTGGAAGTTTATTGAATGCAGAACAATTTTAAGGCCTAGTACGTTGTTCATAGCCAGTAAGTGTTTCTTGACTGAATCAAGTAAGATACAGAATTAGGGATTTTAAAAAATTGTCTAAAAATGTTAATGTCAGTGGCTGGACATGGTGGTGCACACCTGTAGTACCAGCTGCTCAGGAGGCTGAGGAGGGAGGATCACCTGAGCCCAGGAGTTGCAGGCTACAGTGAGCTGTGATTGTGTCATTGCACTTCAGCCTGGGCAGCAGCAAGACCCTGTCTGTAAAAATAAATAAATAATTTTAACATCATATTTGGGTCTGTAGAAGTTTTCTGCCATGTGAATTTAGACAGAGGCCAGCCAATTTCGTCTGATTTTCAAATGTACATTCTAAGCCAGCATTCCCCACAGTGAGGTGTGTGTTGTTACCAGGTGTAGTGACCAAAGTATAAAGGGAAAAAACGAGAAGCATTCCAGTGAAAAAGGAGGAGTGATTATTTGGAGAATAATAAATCTTAGTAACGATTGCTTGAATGTGGCTTTTTGTGTACAACACAGTTGATTAGAAATTTAGTTACTTCTGATTCTAGATTATAGAAGGATTCTGTTAAGATTGTTCTTTTCCTTTTCCTTTGGCATGGAACCTCAGAAGGTACAGGATAAAGACTTTAGATCATTCTGGATGTTTAACACTAGTGTGGTTACTCATTCAGATTTCTTTTGTTGTTGTTGTTTTGCTTTTTTTTTTTTTTTTTTTTTGATCTTGCTCTGTTGCCCAGGCTGGAGTGTAATGGTATGATCTCGGCTCACTGCAACCTCTGCCTCCTGGGTTCAAGCGATTCTCCTGCCTCAGCCTCCTGAGTAACTGGGACTACAGGTGTGCATCACCGCACCTGGGTAATTTTTTTGTATATTAGTAGAGATGTGGTTTTGCCATGTTGGCCAGGCTGATCTCGAACTCGTGAGCTCAGGTAATCCACCCTGGCCTCCCAAAGTGCTGGGATTACAGGCATGAGCCACTGCGCCCGGTCCAGATTCTTGTGTAGAGCCAGCTGATCGGAAACCCACGTGAGGGGTTGAGAAAGTGTCATGGAAACTCTGTTGCTAACAGTGGTGGAATATAACCTTCCAAAAATTGGATTTTATTTAGCAGTAATACAAAAGCAGCCCAAAGGTAGTTTATCGAATCCTATTTATTTTATTGTCATATTTAAGCACAGTTGTGCAGATGTGAGTTTGGTGCTATTTGCCATTTTTATTATTATTAAAACAAATTCTTTTTGAGACAGGGTCTTCTCCGTCACCCGGTCCGGAGTGCAGTGGCCGATCATGACTCACTGCAGCCTCAATCTCCCAGGCTCAAGCTATCCTCCTGCCTCTGCCTCCCGAGTAGCTGGGACCACAGGCATGCACCACCACACCCGGTTAATTTTTAAAACTTTAAAAAATTTTTAAAAGCTGGTCTTGCTGTGTTGCCCAGGCTGGTCTTGAACTCCTGGGCTCAAGTGATCCTCCTGCCTCGGCCTCCCAAAGTGTTAGAATTATGATTGTAATCCACTGCACCCAGCTGCTAATTCCATTAAAATAAAATAAGTTTTCATAATTGGTTGGACTCCAGTATTACCTGGAATTTGGTCACAAAGTTACAGATTTTTAGATTGTTCTGGGATTTATATATTTATCTCTAGAATTTTAGGATGGCAAATTGTTGAGGGGGACCATAATTTGATTTCGTCTCATTCAGATGCTCTTGAAGTTTGAACCACACTGTTAGGGTCAGATGCTGGATAAGTCAAATACATCTGGAGGTTTTCACATCTAATAAGTTACAGAAACTGAGAGTATGACTTTTCTTCACTTTTGGGTATCTTCTGAAATTGTGACTGAACTGCTAAATAGCCCAAAAGTACTTCAGAATCCGGGATTCTGGACAGTAGTGAATGTTCGTAGTCTCCACATGCCATTAGTTAAACTCATTGGGCCGGTTTGAATCTGTACTTCCTTGAACAAATCATGGTACCCTTATGTCTCCCTGCAGGGTTGAATTCAGTGTGTTCAGATATCTTCTGTTTGTAAGAAAGCAGTACATTCTATGAGTTACTGTGGATTTGGTAACCCTAACTCTGAATCTAAGTTCAGAGAGTCATTCTGTGCTAAAGAAGCAACTCTAAATCGCTGCAGTGAGCTTTGGTGACATGGCTCAGGAGATACTGAAATAAACCAAATCTCCTTATGTTTTTTTCCTCCATATATCTTTAACTTTTCCCAAGGTTCCATGAACTGTTACCCTCCTTGCAGAGGTCATGCCACATCTTTCGTTATAGGACACAGCAGTAAAGGGCCCTCTAGCCTGCTCTCTTGACTGGAATAATGGGAACTCATTTCTCCCCATCATAGTGACACAGGAAATAAGCCTTGCCATGTCTAGGTGCAAGGCTGTGGGCAGTTTAGGAGACAGTGTCTCTGTAGGGGGACCAGTTACCCCATGGGTACAGGCCTTGGTGAGCTCCTCCTCAGATCAGGGCTAGGCTAGTTTTCAGGCCCCACTCCCCGGCCTGGGAGCTTTTGTGATTTAGGAGAATGCGTATTTACTGCAAGTCTCACTCACAGATGGGCCTTACTCAGGTGGTCATGTATCCTGGGTAGTAAGTCAAGCACTTTGAGTACCGAACACACAGGGCCTATTTCTCTTCTGCCGTACACTTCCTCCCCTACCTCTGCCTGTTGTATTCAGGGTTCACACACTCAGTTTCGCTTACGGAGTGGGTGGGGGTGTGGGCAGCTGTCTGTGCTGTGGCTCTCTCCCTATGGGGGACTTCGCAGAGCCTCTTTCCTGCCTTGTCACCTTACCCATAGGCTCTGCTCTTTAGTGACTCCCTCCGCGGCCCCAGCCCTTCCTCCTGGCAGCTTCCAATGATGTATTACTGGCAGTGTTGCTTTGTCTTTAGTTCACATTTCCCGTAAGTGGACCAAATTATGTTTTTATGACAGGCCTTGTTGTGGGTCCTGAAGAGAACAGCTGTATTGTACAGGCTGCCCTGTACCCCATGGATTAATTATCCATTCTGAGCCCTGGAGGAGAGGGCAGGTTCTAGAGTACCAGGCAGATGTGGCACCACCTTGCCAGCAGCTCGGAGACTGGTACTTGTTGGCACAGTGAACTTCTGTTTGGTTATGTATAAAAAATTTAGATTTGTACTAGGGTTTTGGAAGTGAATGGCTTCTGAGGTAGAAGTCCTATTTTATTTAAAGATGTCTTTGTGGAAAAGGGTTTTGAGAGGTATGTGTAGAGTGAAATTCTAGAGCAGAACTTTTTTTTTTTTGACACAGAGTTTCGCTCTGTCCTCCAGGCTGGAGTGCAGTGGCATGATCTTGGCTCACTGCAAACTCTGCCTCCTTGGTTCAAGCGATTCTCTCACCTCAGCTTCCCAAGTAGCGGGATTACAGGAGCGTGCCACCAAGCCCAGCTAATTTTTGTATTTTTAGTAGAGACAGAGTTTCGCCATGTTGGCCAGGCTGGTGTTGAACTCCCGACCTCAGGTGATCCACCGGCCTCAGCCTCCCAAAGAGCTGGGATTACAGGTGTGAGCCACAGCGCTCTGCCTAGACCAGAACTTTTTGTTTACTACTTTCTAAATCTTGGTCAAAGGCCAGGCGCTGTGGCTCACGCCTGTAATCCCAGCACTTCGAGAGGCTGAGGCTGGTGGATCATGAGGTCAGGAGATCAAGACCAGCCTGGCCAACATGGTGAAACCCCATCTCTACTAAAGATACAAAAAATTAGCTGGGCATGGTGGCATGTGCCTGTAATCCCAGCTACTTAGGAGGCTGAGGCAGGAGAATCACTTGAACCCAGGAGGCGGAGGTTGCAGTGAGCCGAGATTACACCACTGCAGTCCAGCCTGGGCGACAAGGCCAGCCTCTGTGTCCAAAAAAAAAAAAAAAAAACTGGGTGTGGTTGTGTGTGCCAGTAATCCCAGCTATTGGGGAGGCTGGGGCAGGAGAATCGCTTGAACCTGGCAGGCAGAGGTTGCCGTGAGCCAAGATCGCGCCACTGGACTGCAGCCTAGGCGACAGAGTGAGACTTCATCTCAAAAAAAAAAAAAAAAGTCCAAGGTAACATTTCAAGTTTTCTAATACCGTTTCCCCTGAAATGAGGTTGTGTACGGTGCCTAAATGGAAACCAGATTGTCTGAGGTTGTGGCCCCACAGTGCTCGCTGCAGTGGGGACTTGGGCGTTCTCCAGTCTTCCTAGGGACACTGTATGTCCTCCTGATTTGTAAACTGAGAGATGGAAATGAGATTAAAGGCTGTAGGGTGAGCTGAGGCTGCAGATAGGTTGGAGTTGTCAGTCCCAGGTAAGAGGAGCCCTGTGCCACAGCCTGGTGTGGGAGGCGACATGTTGCTGGTAGCTGGACATAGAAGAAGGGGCCTAGAGGAAGTGGGGGAGCTCACGTGGGACCTGGAGGGCTGGGGCGAGGATTTTGGTCTTTAGATTAAGTGCAGTTGGGAACAGTTGAAGGGCTTTGAGCAGAGGAGGAATTTTTTTTTTTTTTTTTTTTAAAGACCTGGCTGCAGTGAGAATAGTGGTTTGCTGGATAACAACGGAAGGCAGATAGAAGGCTTTTCTGTAATCCAGGTGAGAGGCGACAGTGGCGATGGGGGTGAGAGAGAGAGATGGGTTGAACGTAGCAGGATCAAAGCTAATTCTTAGGATTCTGACTTCAGAAATGATTTCCTCTGCATAGGGAATACTAAAGAAGGGCTAGATTTGAGGAACAGCTTGTACATTTTGTTATGTTTCTTTATTTTGGGTCTCATGCTCTTGAGTTCTTGGTTGACTCAGTGTCAGATAAGCAGGAATCTCCTTTCTTCTTCTTCCTTTTTTTCCCGCCTCACTCTTACTCTTGTGTCTCTCCCTCTCCTGAATGTGCTCTACTCTCAGAGGTTTGTGTATCTGGACATGTGTGAATCTGTGTTTTAAGAAGCCCATGAGGCCAGGTGCAGTGGCTCACACCTGTAATCCCAGCACTTTGGGAGGCTGAGGCTGGCAGATCACCTGAGGTCAGGAGTTCGAGACCAGCCTGGCCACCATGGTGAAACCCGTCTCTACTAAAAATGCAAGAATCAGCCAGTGCGTGGTGACGGGCACCTGTAATCCCAGCTACTCTGGAGGCTGGGGCAGGAGAATCACTTGAACCCAGGAGGCGGAGGTTGCAGTGAGCTGAGATCGTGCCACTGCATTCCAGCCTCAGCGACAGAGTGAAACTCTGTCTTCAAAAAAAAAAAAAAAAGGTCCGTGTGTGGATGTGTGTTTTTATTGCCATGTGTGGGACGTGGGTCCTTCTCTGCTTTCACCACTTTGACTGTCTGCTCCGTGGCTGCGGTCCCTCAGTGCTGCTGCGCCACCCCTCACTTGTGCGTTTGTTCCAGGAGTATCTGCTGGGAGCCTACCTGTCGGGCTCTGTTCTAGACTCCCTACTGCCTGGAGCTGACTTTCCAGCTGGGGAGGCTGATGGACAAAGCCTGTCCCGTGGCGGGAAGAGGTAGGGAGGGGTGGTCAGGAAAGGCCTTGCCAGTGTGGTGATACTTGAACAAGGCCTGAGGGAGATGAGGGGTGCACCCGGCTCTTTGTTTTATCTGGGGGAAGAAGTTTCTAGTCAAAGGGAGACAAACAGTACAAAGGCCTCGTCTGGGAGCACCCTTAGGTGTCCAGGTAACAAGGAGACCTGTGAGGCTGGAGCAGAATGAGTCAGAGAGGCTCAGGGGACAAATATGAAAGATTTTTATTCAACAACTTTGGTTTTTATTGTGTTATGAGGGGATTGTGGGAGGGTTTTTGCAGAAGAGTGGTATTGTGTCAGTTCTGAAAGAGATCCTCCAGATGTCTCGTGGGTGTGGGGTAAAGGCTGGAGCAGGAAGACCAGTTAGAGATGTGGTGTCAGTGTGGGGTGTCTGATGGGGGCATGTGCTGCACTCTCTTGACATGTGCTGTGGAACGTCGGGAGTGGGGCGAGGGGTCTCTTCTGTGGAACATGGGGAGTGGAGCACAGGTAGAGACTGAGAGGGCCGGCCTGTCTCACACCAAGGCTGCTGCATTTGCTCACCTTGTGTTGTCTTTGCAGTAGACAGTGCCCAGGCGTCCTGTGCTCTCGTTCACTGCTGCTGCAGATGCCACCATACATAAATTTGGCTTGGGACATGTTGAGTTCAGAGTGCCTTTGAGATATCCAAGGGGATATGTGAATTAGGCAATTGTACTGTAGACATTTGACCCCTAAATCCAACTTCTGGGAGTCGTGTGTATTGACGGTCATGGATGTGGTTGGCGGAAGAAGAGCATCTAGTGGAAAGTGACTGAGAAGGGAGCCCTGAGGATCTCTAATGCTCAGAAGCAAAACCGTGCTTTCCAGGACTGCAGCCTCTTCTGTAGTATCCACGTTTATGTCTAACCTGCCTTAAATAAATGTGGAGCTGGGGGAGGGTAAATAAATACTTACATGCATGGCATTTTTAAATGACATGAATTAATCATTTTAAATTAATTAAAAAGAAACATTTAAAAATTTTATCTTTTTAGTGTTTCTTCAAAAACAACATTAAGTCATTAATTCTGGCCTTTTGGCGTATTGGAAGCATTGAAAAGCTGAATGAAATCAAGAAAAAGTTCTGGAGAATAGAAGCTTCCAGCCTTTTGGGTTCGTGACCCGCCTGTGGGAAGGAGGCCTGCCATCCCTCCCCTCTGTTGGCTCACACTCCTCTAACTTCTTCCTCTTCCTCTTTCTCCCACACACAAATGCGTGCCATGCTCCTCTGCCCAGGCCTTGGGTTAAAGGCAGCACTAGGCCTTCCACCAAGAGACATGAGTGAATGATCAGGCCAGGCAGCAGAGTGCACAGCAAGCTTCAGGGCGAAGGTGGCCGCGACACTTGCCAAGTGAGATGTCAGAGGCCTATGCCCCAAGAAAGCATAGATCAGGTCAGGTGACGAGACGGTGGAAGAGAATCCCAGGTGGCCGTGGCAGCATGTGCAAAAGTGTGGTACACCAGGGACTTGGACATGGTGATCATGGAAGGTTTGAGAACAGGAATAGTGGCGCTCAGTCAGGGCCAGGCTTGAAGGAGGATCAGGAGCATGGACTTCATAGGGAAATCGTTTTGAAGATGCAGTTTATTAAGCAAACAATAATTTGAGTTTTTAAATGTGTTGGGTATTTGTTAGATACTGGGATTTTTTTTTTTTTTTTTTTGACGCTGAGTCTTGTTCTGTCACCCAGGTTGGAGTGCAGTGGCGCAATCTCGGCTCGCTGCAACCTCTGCTTCCCGGGTTCAAGTGATTCTCCTGCCTTAGCCTCCTGAGTAGCTGGGATTACAGGCGCCCACCACTACACCTAGCTAATTTTTGTATTTTTAGTAGAGACGGGGATTCACCATGTTGGCCAGGCTGGTCTTGAACTCCTGACCTCAGGGGATCTGCCTGCCTCGGCCTCCCAAAGTGTGGGATTACAGACGTGAGCCATCGCGCCCGGCGAGATACTGGGATTGTAACATTTGGAAGAATTATGCTCCCTGCCCTTCACGAGTACACACCATCGTCCATAAAGATGGGCCCTCTGCTCTTCACTGGTGGACACTATCTTCCCTAAATGTTCTTGTGTGTTGCTTGCCATGGTCAGGTTACAAGGACATGTCACATGGAGTGGTCTCTGCCCTCAGGAGGCTTATGTCTCAGGTGAGTTAGACAACAATGAGGGATGCAAGTAGCAGCAGTCCAGGAGGTCAGATTCCTTATAGTTCTTTTGGCACTACTGAATGATTTAAGCAGTAATACCGGGTAGCTGTGCCACATACCCAGTTATTTATTTATTTATTTATTTTTTGAGATGGAGTCCCACATTGTCGCCCGGGCTGCAGTGCAGTGGCACGATCTCGGCTCACTGCAACCTCCACCTCCCAGGTTCAAGTGATTTTCCTTGCCTCAGCCTCCCAAGTAGCTGGGATTACAGGTGCCCCCCACCACGCCTGGCTAATTCTTTTGTAATTTTAGTGGAGACGGGGTTTCACTATGTTGGCCAGGCTGGTCTTGAACTCCTGACCTCGTGATCCGCCTGCCTCGGCCTCCCAGAGTGTGGGGAGTACAGGTGTGAGCCACTGTGCCTGGAACACCCAGTTATTAACATTAGAGCGGGATGCAGTGGCATGTACCTATAGGTCCAGCTTCAGGGGGCTGAGGCAGGAGGATGGCTTGAGCCCAGGGGTTTAAGGCTGTATTGCACAATGATTGTGCCTGTGAATAGCCACTGCACCCCAGTCTGGGTGACATAGTGATACTTGCTCTTGCTCTGCCTCTGTCTCCCAGGCTGGAGAACAATGATGCTATTGTGACAGCCTCTTGAGTAGCTGGGATTACAGGTGTGCACCACCATGCCTGGTGAGACCTTATTTCTTAGAGGCAAACAAAATCTATATATCTAAACACTGGCCAATGCTTATCAGACACTGTTCTAAACATCTATATATGTGTGTGCTTCTAGTCCTCAAAGTGATTTGAAGTAGTAGGTGCTGTTGTTACCCCAATTTTATGCTGTGGTAATAGGCACAGAAAGGCAAAGGCCTTGTTCAGCACTTTGGGCTTAAGGGGCTCATGGAGATACTGTAGCAGATACAGAGGCAGCAGGAATAGAGATGTACCTATTCTCTGACCAGTCTTTGTAGTTTAGAGCCAGTAATTGCTGTAACATATTCACAAAGCAGTTTTTTGAGATTTTCATTTGGTTGCTTGGTTTTCTCACAGGTGTTCGTCTTCTCAATGTTACCTTATCTAAGGTTTTAGTTGATATGAGGACTAAAACACCTGAACTTTTTTGAGAGTATTATGGGGTCCGTGTAATATTTATTCCAGGTAGTTATTGTTATTACTACTTTTTTTCTTTTTTGAGACGAAGCCTCGCTCTGTCACCCAGGTGACATATCATACCTTATAAGATATTTTTGGTGTTAAAGCATTTAATTTTCAACACCATGAAGTAAAAACACATTGTTAGTGCTTGGGACTATTGTGTTCCTTGGAAGACCCACTAAACTTTCTAGACCTGGAAATTTCTTTGTCGTCATTGGTCTAGGTTTAATGTTTCTTGCTAAATCAAGTTTGACAATCTATTCACTCAATTAAAGTGGTTTTTTTTTTGTTTTTTTTTTTTTTGAGACAGAGTCTCAGTCTGTCACTCAAGCTGGAGTGCACTGGCACGATCTCAGCTCACTGCAACCTCTGCCTCCTGGGTTCAAGCGATTCTACTGCCTCAGCCTCCTGAGTAGCTGCAATTACAGGCGCCCGCCACCACACCCGGCTAATTTTTTAATTTTTAGTGGAGGTGGAGTTTTGCCGTGTTGGCCAGGCTGGTCTTGAACTCCTGACCTCAAGTGATCCACCTGCCTGAGCCTCCTGAAGTGCTGGGATTACAGGTGTCAGCCACCACACCTGACCTCTGATTCATTAACTTCTGTTTTAATATTTAGTAACAACTTGTTCCCATTCTGTTTAGGGCCTTTCTGAATTGATTTCTAATCTCAAGCTGTTCATTTTTTTCTTCCCTCAAAATAATACTAGCAATTAGAGCTATGAACTTTAAGTACAACATTGGCCAGACATCTAAAGTTTTGTTATACTGTATAATCGTTTTCAGTTTTGTTGTTTTTCTGAATCTGTTCATTCAACAAACATCCATTAGCACGTATTATGTACTGGTTACTGTGGTAGCTACTGGGAATATAATGACTATCCCCTATTCCTCTCTTCAGATACTAAATATTCTTAGGACTGTAATTGTAGATTTATTACTTCTTCTGTTTTTTGTTTGCTTTTGAGACAGGGTCTTGCTCTATCACCCAGTGATGCAGTGAAGCTCACTGCAGCCTTGACTTCCCGGGCTTAAGCAATTTTCCCACCTCAGCCTCCTTGAGTAGCTGAGACCACAGGCGCATGCCACCCTGCCCATTCCTAATAAAGTACTCTGTTACTTATAATATTTTTCTGATTTTAATTTGCTACCCGTGCATTTTTTTTGCATTGCCTGCTTTATTTTGCTTGTGTTTGAAATTTCATCATTTTAATAATAAATAGCTGCCATTTTGACTAATGATTACTGTGCACTAGACTCTGTATCAAGCACTTGACATACCGTATCTCATTTGATTCTGTGGCAACCTTCTTGGTAGGTTTTTTTTTTCCCCCCTCAATCTTCCATTTACAAAAAAGGCAACTGAGGCTTGGAGGGGTTAATTCTTGCTTAAGGGTAAACAGTGAGTAGTTTTCAGTCATTCTTGTACTGTCTAAGTACAGTTGACCCTTGAACGAAGGGGTTAGGGATGCTGACCCCATTGTGGAGTCAGAAATTCGCTTATACCTTTCAACTCTCCAAAACCTTAACTACTAATAGCCTACTGTTGACCAGAAGTCTTACCAATACTATAAACATTCGATGAACAAATATTTTGCTTCTTATAGATATTATCTACTGTATTCCTACAATAAAGTAAGCTAGAGAAAATAAAATGTTATATTTACTATTTATTAAGTGGAAGTGGATCATGATAAAGGTCTTCATCCTCATTCTCTTTACATTGGCTAGGCTGAGAGAGGAGGAGGAGGAGGAGGAGGCGGAAGAGGAGAGGTTGGTCTTGCTGTTTCAGGGGTGTCAGAGGCAGAGGAGGTAGAGGAAGGCAGGCACACAGTGTAACTTTATTTTTGTTGAGGCAGGGTCTCGCTCTGTCACCCAGGCTGGAATGCAGTGGCGTGATCACAGTAAAAGAGATGGGGGTCTTGCTTTTGTTGCCCAGACTGGTCTTGAACTCCTGGCTTCAAGCAATCCTCCCATCTCAGCCTCCCAAAGTGCTGGGATTACAAGTATGAATCACCACTACGCCTGGCCAGCAGTATACGTTTTAAATTAATCCAGAGCGTACCTTCAAATGATATCATGGCTGGGCGCGGTGGCTCACGCCTGTAATCCCAGCACTTTGGGAGGCCGAGGAGGGTGGATCACTTGAGGTCAGGAGTTCAAGACCAGCCTGGCCAACATGGTGAAACCCCATCTCTACTGAAAAATACAAAAAAAATTAGCCAGGTGTGGTGGTACGCGCCTGTAATCCTAGCAGTTACAAAGTGCAATTAAAAATAAGGCTGGCTGGACGTGGTGGCTCACACCTGTAATCCCAGCACTTTGGGAGGCTGAGGCAGGAGGATCACTTAAACCCAGGCGTTGGAGACCAACCTGGGCAACATAACAAGGTCCTTTCTCTACAAAAAATAAAAAATATTAGCCAGACATAATGGCACTCGCCTGTGGTCCCAGTTACTCGGGAGGCTGAGGTGGAAGGATTGCTTAAGCTTGGGGAGTTGCAGCGGCAGAGACCAGTGATCATGCCACTGTACTCCAGCCTAGGTGACAGAGTGAGGCCCTGTCTCAAAAACAAAACAAAAAAAAACAGTGAAAACATTGATTTTTCAGCAGTGAGAATGGCTGTTATTAAAAAGTTAAAAAATAACAGATGGTGGTGAGGTTGTAGAGAAAAAGGAACGCTTATACACTGTTGGTGCGAGTGTAAATTAGTTTAACCATTGTGGAAGATGATATGGCAATTCCACAAAGACCTAAAGTCAGAAATACCATTCAACCCAGTAATCCCATTACTGGGTATATACTCAAAGGAATATAAATTGTTGTGTTACAAAGACACATGCATGCGTGTGTTCATTGCAGCACTGTTCACAATAGCAGAGACATGGAATCAACCCAAATGCCCATCAATGATAGATAGATTGCATAAAGAAAACATGGTACATATACACCATGGAATACTATGCAGCCATAAAAAAGAATGGGATCCTGTTCAGGGACTTGGATGGAGCTAGAGGCCATTATCCTTAGCAAAGTAACACAGAAACAGAAAACCAGATACTGCTGGTTTTCTGCAGATTCTCCCTTATAAGTGAGAATAAGCAGAACAGAAAACCAGATACCGCATATTCTCGCTTATAGCCGATGAGAACACATGGACACGTAGAGGGGAACAACATACACTGTGGCCTATCAAAGGGTGGAGGGTGGGAGGAGGGAGAGGATCAGGAAAAATAACAAGTGATGGCTACTAAGCTTACTACCTGGGTGAAGAAATAATCGGTACAACAAACGCCTGTGACACATGTTTACCTGTGTAACCTGCACGTGCTGCACATGTACCCCCAAATTTAATAAAAGGAAATGTGACCCCCACCCCCCATTTTGGAGCTAGGGTCTGCTGGGAAGTGTTGGATCATGGAGGTGGGTCTTCATGAATGACTTCATGAATGTCCTCCCCATGGTAATGAATGAGTTCTTGCTCTGTTAGTTCACTTGAAATCTGGTTGTTAAAAAGAGTCTGGGGCCTCCCCCCTCTATCTCTGGCTCCTCACTCTCTTGCCATGTGATACATTTGTTCCTTCTTTGCCTTTTGCCATGAGTAAAAGCTTCCTGTGGCCTCACTAGAAGTGGAGCAGATGCTGGTGCCATGCTTGTATAGCCTACAGAACTGTAAGCCAAATAAACCTCTGTTCTTTATAAGTTTTTTAAAACCCACTGATTTGGCCGGGCTCACGCCTGTAATCCCAGCACTTTGGGAGGCCGAGGCGGGCAGATCACAAGGTCAGGAGATCTAGACCATCCTGGCTAACACGGTGAAACCCCGTCTCTACTAAAAATACAAAAAATTAGCCGGGTGTGGTGGCGGGCACCTGTAGTCCCAGCTACTCGGGAGGCTGAGGCAGGAGAATGGCGTGAACCCGGGAGGCGGAGGTTGCAGTGAGCTGAGATTGCGCCACTGCACTCCACCCTGGGCGATAGAGCAAGACTCCGTCTCAAAAAACAACAACAAAAAAAAAACCACTGATTTATTTTATTCCATTTTTGGGATTGCCATTTCTTTTGTAGATCTAGGTTTTGTTCTGATACCATATTCTCTCTTCCTGAAATATTTTCTTTCTTTCTTTTTTTTTTTTTTTGGAGGTGGAGTCTCACTCTGTAACCCAGGCTGGAATGCAGGGGCACAATCTTGGCTCACTGCAACCTCCGCCTCCCAGGTCCAAGTAATTCTCCTGCCTCAGCCTCCCGAGTAGCTGGGATTACAGGTGCATGCCACCACGCCTGGCTGATTTTTTTGTATTTTAGTACAGATGGGGTTTCACCATGTTGCCCAGGCTGATCTCGACTCCTGAGCTCAGGCAATCCGCCTGTCTGGGCCTCCCAAAGTGCTGAGATTACAGGCGTGAGCCACCATGCCCAGCTTCTGAAATACTTCAACATTTTATGTGGGTTAGGTATGCTGGCAATAAATTTCCTGTTTTTGTTTGAGAAAGTCTTTCTCCTTTATTTTATTTATTTGTTTTTATTTTTTTGAGACGGAGTCTCGCTCTGTCTTGCTCCAGCCCGGGCTGGAGTGCAGTGGCGTGATCTAGGCTCACTGCAGGCTCCGTTTCCTGGGTTCACACCATTCTCCCGCCTCAGCCTCCCAAGTAGCTGGGACTACAGGCCCCCGCCACCATGCACGGCTAATTTTTTGTATTTTTAGTAGAGACAGGGTTTCGCCATGTTAGCCAGGATGGTCTCAGTCTCCTGACCTCGTGATCTGCCTGCCTCGGCCTCCCAAAGTGCTGGGATTACAGGCGTGAGCCACCGCACCTGGCTCTTCTCCTTTACTTTTAAAAGATTCTTTTTCTGGGTATGGAAGTCGTAGTTAAAAGCTGTTTTTTTCTTTCAAGATTTTAGAGAAATTACTCTCTTCTGGTTTTTATGGCTTCTCACAAGAATCCTGCTGTAATTGTTTTTGTTCTTCCATGTGTAATGTTTCTTTTATCACTAGCTGCTTTCAGTCTCTCCTCTCCTCCTCCAGCCCCCTTTCTTTTCGAGACAAGGTCTTGCTCTTTTGCCCAGGCTGAAGTGCAGTGACATGATCACAGCTCACTGCAGCTTCGACCTCCCAGGCTCAAGTGTTCTCCACCTCAGCCTCCCAAGTAGCTGAGACCACAAGTGTGGTCTAATTTTTTAAACTTTTTTGTAGAGATGAGGTCTTGCTATGTTGCCCAGGCTACTCCTGAACTCCTGGGTTCAAGCAATCCTCTCACCCCAACAAGTGCTGGGATTACAGGCACGAGCCCCATCGTACTTGGTCAGTGTTTATTTCCTTCCTTCCTTCTCCTTCCCTCCTCTCTCTCTTTCTTTCTTATTTTCATAGTCTTAGTTGCGCATGACTTTTGTCCTAATTAGTTGTGTATCCAGTTGTCTTTTGTTTTCAGAAGTAAAGAAGTGATAGGACCAGGTGTTTTTTTGTTGTTGTTTTTTAACGTTCTCTGTGCTTCTTGGATCTGCAGTTTGGTGTTTGTCATTAATTTTGGAAAATTCTCAACCGTTATTTCTTCTGCTGTTTAGAGTTGGCCTCAGTTTATTATTTGCTGTGTGTTATGCAGCACAGGCTTTGAATGTTTGTAGAGGCGGCTTGGATCTAGGATGAGGAGTGTTTTACCATGGCAGTGTTTGAAATTCTGTCTTAAGTCTTCTTTCTTTGTTGTATTTCACAGGAGGTTTCTTTGCATATTCTTCTCCCAGTTGTATTCTGCTGTTGGCTGTTGTTTGAAGCTTTTTGACTTGGAAGTGTGTAGCGGTAGTGAGATGCTGCCTCCTTTTCTGGTTAAGGCTCAGTTTTTTGTTGTTGTTATTTTTTGAGACGGAGTTTTGCTCTTGTCTCCCAGGCTGGAGTGCAGTGGCACGATCTCAGCTCACTGCAACCTCCACCTCCCGGGTTCAAGCGATTCTCCTGCCTCAGCCTCCAAAGTAGCTGCAGGCACCTGCCACCATGCCCAGCCAATTATTGTATTTTCAGTAGAGACAGAACCCTGTCTGTCTTTGACCACATTGGCCAAGCTGGTGCCAAACTCCTGACCTCAGGTGATTTGCCTGCCTCGGCCTTCCAAAGTGCTGGGATCATAGGCGTGAGCCACTGCGCCCGGCCAAGTCTCAGTTTTAGACATGTCTGGTAACCCTGGATTTCAGAGGTGCAGCTGTCTCAGTTCTTCTGCCTTTTCCCTGGCTATAATTTTGGACTCAGTGTGTAATCCTGCCCCTTTTGCAGGACTAGGTCTCTCCTGTCCCTCTCTTCCCTTCCCCCTGCTGCCCCCAAATTAGGACTTTTGTTTCTGAGTGGAGATTGAGAGGAAGGATTTGAGTGGAATTTCTTTCCCCTCCTTCCTGGCTTCTGGTCCCCTCCCTGAGTTCTGCGCTACTGTCTTTGCTTCTTCGGGCTCTTTCAGATCTTTTCAGTGATTGCCTCATGAGTGCCACGGAGAAAGAGCCTGCAAAGTAATGCAGGCTTTCCCAGTTTCTGCAGTTGCCAGAAATTGTCCTGACAGCCTGTACTCAGCCTTTCGCAATTTGTCTTTTATTCTTGCTGAACTCTTCTTACTAGTGTGTCTGATTGTGTCTACCCCAGGTGAGTGTATTTGTTTTCTTTCCCTGAAGGCACTTAAGATTATGGGCCAGTGTTTGTTCTGTAACCACAGCTCTCCAGCAGGTTCAGAAACAGTCATGGATATGAAGTTAGTCTGGCTGTTTTGCACTGTAAGGTTGAGCATTATGCTGTCCCAGGTCTCTTCATCCTAGGGCAGAAGACAGAAGCAGCCATGTCTTGAGGAACAGAAGTTTTTTGGTGTAAGTCCAGTTTACCAATTTTTTTAATGATTAGTGCTTTTGGGGTCTCAAGAGATCTTTGTCTACTCCAAGGTTGGGAAAACCTTCTTCTTTGTTTTCTTCTAGAGGTTTTATAATTTTAGCTGTTATATATAGGTCTGTGATCTATTTCAACTTAATTTTGGGTATGGTGTGAGGTGAAGTTGGAGGTGTCCCCCACTCCATATTCATATCCAGTTGTGTACCATTTATTGAGAGATCTCTCCCTATGGAATCACCTTGTTCATTTGTCCTTTAACAATGTTCTTTAAACAACATTTCTTAAAAAAATTAGCGGTGCTTGGTGGCTCGCACCTGTAATCCCAGCTACTCAGGAGGCTAAGCAGGAGAATCGCTTGAACCTGGGAGGCAGAGGTTGCAGTGAGTGAAGATTGTGCCACTGCACTCCAGCCTGGGCGACAGAGTGAGATTCCGTCTCAAAAAAAAAAAAAAAACACCCATCTCTAAAGAATATTTCTTACTGTTAAATACTATAAAAATGCATAAAAGTAATGTACAGGTTTGCAAATTAATTTGACCCCTGGTATAAGCACCATTCAGATAAGGAAATAGAACATTACCAGGACTCCAAAAGCCTGCTAAAGGCTACTACTCGATTACAGTTTCCTTTCTTTTCCTTTCGTTAAACATACTAAATGGCAGGGTGCGGTGGCTCAAGCCTGTAATCCCAGCACTTTGGGAGGCCGAGGTGGGCAGATCATGAGGTCAAGAAATCGAGACCATCCTGGCCAACATAGTGAAACCCCATCTTTACTAAAAATACAAAAATTAGCTGGGCGTGGTGGTGTGTGCCTGTAGTCCCAGCTACTCAGGAGGCTGAGGCAGGAGAATTGCTTCAACCCAGGTGACGGAGGTTGCAGTGAGCCGAGACCGTGCCACTGCACTCCAGCCTGGCGACAGAGCAAGACTCTGTCTCAAAAAAAGGAAAAAAAAAACAAACCAAAACTAAACATCCCAACACTATAGTTTTGCCTGTTTTTGTACCTTATATAAATGGAAGCATCCATACTGAATACGGTATATAACTTGTCTCACCCAACAATATTTGAAAGATTTATTTGTTTTGAACTTAGCTATGGTTTATCCATTTTAATTCCTGTATAGTATTTCACCATATAGATGACTGTTCATTCATTCTACAGTTTATGGGTTATTTCCAGTTTGGGACTGGCATGAATACTCTTGTACATGTATTTTGGTGCATACAGGACTTAATATGAGGAAAGATAGATATCCAGAAAAGGAATTACTGGGTCATAGTCTACATGTATTTTCACAGTCTTCATGTAATGCCTATTTCCCAAAGTGGTTATACCTATTTTCACTCTACCAGCAGTGCTTGAGAGTTCCCATTGTTTCATGTTTTTGGCTGAGCGTGGGTTTTGTCCTAATTTTTTGTTTCAGCCTCTCTGGTGGGTAAATGGTGGTACTATGATTTAATTTATCTGTGATATCTGTGACATATGTTTATGTCTATGGACCATTTGGGTCATCTGTTGTGAAGAACCCGTTCAAGTCTTTTGCCCAATTTTTTCAGTCAAGTTGTATATCTTTTTCCTATTTTTCTCATTTTTCACTTTTTTTTGTCATTTTTTTCATTTTCTTAATGTTTATCAAATAGAAGTTTTAAATTTTAGGCTGGGCATGGTGGTTCATGCCTGTAATCCTAGCCCTTTGGGGAGGCCAAAGTGGGCGGATCACCTGAGGTCAGGCGTTCAAGACGAGCCTGGCCAACATGGCAAAACCCCGTCTTTACTAAAAAATACAGAAATTAGCTGGGTGTGGTGGCGGGCACCTGTAGTCCTAGCTGCTTGGGAGGCTGAGGCAGGGATAATTGCTTGAACCTGGGAGGTGGAGGTTGCAGTGAGCCAAGATTGTGCTACTGCACACCAGCCTGGGTGGCAGAGTGAGACTGCATCTCAAAAAATAAATAATTTTTAAATAGTTGAATCTGGGCTGGGTGGGGTGGCTCATGCCTGTAATCTCAGCACTTTGGGAGGCCGAAGCTGGTGGATCACTTGAGGTTGGGAGTTCATGACAAGCCTGATCAACATAGAGAAACCCCATCTCTACTAAAAAGACAAAATTAGCCAGGCGTGGTGGTGCATGCCAGTAATCCTAGCTACTGGGGAATCTGAGGCAGGAGAATCACTTGAACCCAGGAGGGAGAGGTTGCAGTGACCTGAGATGATGCCATTGCACTCCAGCCTGGGCAACAAGAGCAAAAACTCCGTCTCAAAAAAAAAAATATATATATATATAGTTGAATCTGTTGATCTTTTCCTTTATGCTTTAGTGCTTTTGGTGTCTTGAAAATGTTTCCCTTTACCCAAGGTCATGAGGATATTATCCATCATCTTTCACATTTAGGTCTATAATTAAAGAATTGATTTTTGTGTATGGTGTGAGATAGGGGCCCAGTTTTTTTTTCCCCCCGGTTTGGGTATCTAGTTGTTCTGTATTAACTTCAATTTAAAAGGCCATTCTTTCCATAGTATTGTAGAATGCCATCTTGGTTATAAATTTAGTGTATGTGTTTCATACCTTGGTTATAAATTTAGTGTCCGTGTATCATACCTTGATTCTATATTCCTTCGTCTACTTTTCTATCCTTGAGCGGCCAGTACCACACTCTCTGAATTATTATAGCATTTGTTGTTGTTGAGAACAGGGTCTTGCTCTGTTGCCCAGGCTGGAATGCAGTGGCAGGAGGATGGCTCATTGTAGCCTCAACCTCCTGGGCTCAAGCAATCTTCCCACCTCAGCCTCCTGAGTGGCTGGGACTACAGGTGCATGCCACTATGCCTGGCTTATTTTTAAATTTTTTGTAGAGACGGGGTCTCCCTCTGTTGCTCAGGCGGTCTTGAACTCCTGGGCTCAAGCAACCCTTTCACCCAAGCCTCCCAAAGTGCTGGGATTACAGGAGTCAGCTGCCATGCTCAGCCTAGTATAGCTTTTTAATAAGCCTTAATAGGCGTTCTGTATTGTTCTTCATGAATGTTTTGGTTATTCTTGGCCCTTTATAATTTTATGTGCTTTATGTGAAATTAAACTTCTGTATCTTAGTCCGTTTGTGTTGCTATAAGGAATACCTGAGGCTGGATAATTTTGCTCCTGGTTCTGCAAGCTGTGTAAGAAGCATGGTGCACAGCATTTGCATCTGGTGAGAGCCTCAGGTTTTTTCCACTTACGGCACAAGGTGAAGAGGACCCAGTGTGTCCAGATGACATGATGAGAGAAAAAGCAAGAGAGATGGGAAAGGAGGTGCCAGGCTGTTTTTAACAGCTAGCTCTCAGGGAACTAATGGAATGAGAACTCACTCAGTGCTGGAAAGACAGCACCAAGCCATTCATGAGGGACCTGCCCTCATGACCCATGCACTTCCCATTAGGCCCACCTCCAGCACTGGGTGTGGTGGCACGTGCCTGTGGTCTCAGCTGCTCAGGAGTCTGAGGTGAAAGGATCGCTTGAGCCCAGAAGTTCGAGACTAGCCTGGCGACCTAGCAAAACCTCGTCTCTGCTAAAAATACAAAAATTAGTTGGGCATGGTGGTGCATGCCTGTAGTTCCAGCTACTTGGCAGACTGAGGCAGGAGGATCACTTGATAGCCCGGGTGGTGGAGGTTGCAGCGAGCCAAGATCGTGCTACTGCAGTCCAGCCTAGGCAACAGAGTGACCCTGTCTCAAAATATGTAAATAAAAGAAAAAGAAAAAAATTTTGAAAAGAAAGAGCTGGGGTGGACAACTCTGAAGGAATTCACTGAAAAGGAAGGAAAAGATAGGCAGTGAGAGAAGCTGGGGCAGAAGTGCTACTGAGAGGAGATCGTTGTGTTTCTTCAGAGTGGGAGACAGCATATTTGCATCCTAATGGAAGTGATGCAGGAAAGAAAGAGAAAGTGATGATATGAGAAGAGGACAGAATCAGTGGTCCTCAAGTGGCGACAGGGTGGGGTCTGGTTGTGAAGAGCTAGTTGGAGGACATTGGAGAGGAGGGCACAGGCGCAGGTCTGCGGATGTGTGGGAGCTGTGAAAACTACTGCCAAGTGCTTTTCCAAAAGATTGCTGGTGCTCACACCACCCTCAGCAGTCTGTGAATACCCATCTTCCTTTATACTCCTCAGCACAGAGTCCATGTCCCTGTTCTTCCCTCCTGGGCACCCTGCTCCGCATTGACGGAGCTCGAGATCCCCACATCTACTCCACTGCTCCCCTTCCTCTCAACTTCCATCATTAGGCTCAGGGACCTTGGCCCTTTCCCTGTGTCCTGCCGTGAAAGTTCTGGTGCCTCTTTACCTTAAGTCGTCTCCTCATCTTTTGACTTACATGGACCATAACATTTTTAGTCATCAGCCTGGTGACTTAGCTTTATCAACATTGTATTATGGGAAGGAGAGGATTCTATAAAAAAGCAAGTATTGCCTGTGGGCCCCACTGTTTTAGGTCACTGGCTAGCCTCTGGTTTGGCTGTCCTTGGGTCAGATGCCTCCCTGCTGCCAGGGGAGCACAGGTGATGGTGATGGATGAGGGTCTGATGATGGGGACCTCCCCATCAGCAGAGGTGTGGGTGACTTGGGGCTTGTCGGGTGTGCAAATGGCTACTTTGGATTTGCTTCAGGTCACTTAATTTTGAGATGCTACCTACCTATTCCATGTGTTGTCTCTGAATAAAAGCCACTTTCAGCCTCTGTTCTATTTAAGTAGTTTTATTTTTCTCTCTGGTCATTTCTGGGTATTGCTGTAAAGACTGTTAATACCTTATGCAAAATGACTGGTTACTGTGATTTTTCAGGACCTTCAGAGATTGAAGGGTTACAAACTGCAGTGTGAGAAGTTAGTAGGCCTTTGATACCAACTTTTTATTTGACCTTAGTAGATTAACTTTACTTTAAAGATTGGCAAAGAACGGTATGTTAGAAATACATGTAAGTCTGCTGCTATTAATAAATTCAAGCTGTTTTGCCCTTTTGCTGTATGGAGCCTGAATGTAGAGACTTGAAGTATTTTGTAGATATTTGTGCTGTCCCATGACAGAGCAGGGATATGAAACTTGCCCTGGCATCCAGACATGTTCTGAGGCTGGCTCAGATATTTGTTTTCTTCTGGATAAGTAGCATCAAAACAAATAGTAATTATATTATTTAATAGACTTAAAACACGGCAACTACATTTGTATAGGAAAAACCACATTAGTAACATTACATGGAGAAAAGCATTTTATGTAACTATAGTTCCAGCAAATACCACTATGCCTTCATTAATGCCTTAAAACCATCTTATTTACATCTGTAGAACCACTGGCCATTTAATAGGGCAATTCAGGAGCAATCATTAAAAACAGTTGCAGTTTTCATTAGGTTTTCTCTGTTTATTCTAATATGTAAACTGAAATTAAAAGTAAATCCTTCAGAGTTCATTCTTTAAAAAAAGTAAGTCCTAAGGAAAACTGTTATATTAGCTATTTAAAAGGATGCTGTAATAATGTAGAATCAGTCACTGTTGAATTTTATTGAGTTTCCATGGAACAGCCTTGAAATTATAAATTGCTAGATATTTACTCTGTAAGATTACAGAAATTATTTATCACAGAGCCTTAAATACTTAAGGTAATTTTGTGCCTAACTCATGATATGATTGTTACCAATCTCTTTGTAACCACTGAGAAGGAGGTTTAAGTATTAATGTTAGTAATTGCTCTCCAGGCAATGCCTTTTGCTCAGAGAACCTGCATATGCTTTGGGAAAGCTGAGTTCAGGAAAGAAAGGGTGAAAAGGGCACAGGTATTTTAGTGACTACACATAACAGTGTTCCCTGGACTTGAGTGCAGGTAGCTAATAAAAGATCATGTATAGGCTGGGCTTGGTGGCTTATACCTGTAATCCCAGCACTTTGGGAGGCCGAGGTAGGCAGATCACGAGGTCAGGAATTTGAGATCAGCCTGACCGACGTGATGAAACCGCATCTCTACTAAAAATACAAAAACTAGCCGGGCATGGTGGCGCAGGCATGTAATCCCAGCTACTCAGGAGGCTGAGGCAGGAGAATTGCTTGAATCCAGGAGGCGGAGGTTGCAATGAGCTGAGATCACGCCACTGCACTCCAGCCTGGGCAACAGAGCGAGACTCTGTCTCAAAAAAAAAAAAAAAGAAAGAAAGAAAAGGATCATATATAAAAATGCAGAAAATTGGCTGGGCGCCATGGCTCACGCCTGTAATCCCAGCACTTTGGGAGGCCGAGGCGGGCAGATCACGAGGTCAGGAGATCGAGACCATCCTGGCCAACGTGGTGAAACCCCGTCTCTACTAACAACGCCTGTCTGGGCGTGGTGGCTCCTGCCTGTAGTCCCAGCTACTTGGGAGGCTGAGGCAGGAGGATCATTTGAACTCGGGAGGCAGAGGTTGCAGTGAGCCAAGATGGCGCCACTGCATTCCAGCCTGGTGACAGAGCGAGACTCCATCTCAAAAAAAAAAAACAAAAAAAAACAAAAAAAAACAAAAAAAAACAAAAAAAAAACAAAACAAAATTAAAAAACAGAAAATTGTGATTGAGGTAGGCAAGACAAAGTGTGTATTATTGATTTGGACTAGACATTTCAGTTCCCTTAGCATTTACTGGGCGCCTACTGGTTGCTGGGTGCATTATGGACATTCATAATGTTGAGTGTCTAATGGGAAGATGGACATGTGAAAGATAATTTTGTAGTATAATGAATATATGATAGTCTATAGGAAGTGTAGAAGTTGGCCAGGCGCAGTGGCTCACACCTGTAATCCCAGCATTGTGAGAGGCCGAGGCGGGTGGATCACGAGGTCAGGAGATCGAGACCATCCTGGCTAACATGGTGAAACCCCGTCTCTACTAAAAATACAAAAAATTAACCAGGCGTGGTGGCGCGCGCCTGTAATCCCAGCTACTTGGTAGGCTGAGGCAGGAGAATCACTTGAACCTGGGAGGTGGAGGTTGCACTGAGCCGAGATCGTGCCACTACACCCCAGCCTGGGTCACAGAGCAAGACTCCCTCTCAAAAAAAAAAAAAGAGTGTAGAAGTTGTACAGGAGTTGTAGTAATTAGCTGCGTGTGACACGTATTGATTGAGGGGTAGGGAGCAAAATTCACAGAATAAAAAAGTTACCATAGTGGGGTTTGAAGGGATGCCTCGCAGTTGTCTTGTAAAGGAAAGGCGGGGAGATTGGTGTTTTAGGGAAGCAAGCAGCAAGTATGAAGGCAGGAAGAGATAAAGCCACATAGTTGGTTGGGGCGGGAGTGTGGAACTGTAAGGAGTTTCAAGTGGGTGATTTTGCAAGAACACACTGACCAAGGGCCTGGTGTATCCTGCTTGATCCTTTGCTAAGGACTTGATCTTTTTAGGCAGCAGGAACAATCGAAGGGTTTAAGGCAGAGAATGTTCTGGTCATAGGTACAGTGTGAGGGGGTTTTGACAGGAGATGGAGGGCATGTGGGGAGCAGACAGCCCTGAAGGCCGGTCGGCAGGAGGTGGCAGCGTCACCAGCACGGGGCCTTTGTTGTGTCTCCTGCATTAGCCTTCATAGGGCGGTCTAATCTGGGTTGTGCTGCTGTTACCCGAGAGGATATTGCTTTTACTGTGTTTTTACCCTAAGATGACCTTTTTTCTTCATGTTTATAAGAAGTTTATCTGTAAAGTATTTTTAGTAAATCTGGGTTTTCATGTTTAATTTGGAATTTCATTTTGGAAACAAATTTCAAAACTAGAATATAAGCCTAGCAAGAAAACAAATGCTATTATGATTTAATGTCTTTTATGATACACACACACCTCCCACCCCCATGCACACAGGCCACAGTCACTGGGTGGTAGAAAATCAGTTTATTCAGAAAAGGTAAAATACATCATAGATGGTAGAACTCAGCTGTTAGTAGTGTTCCCAAAGTGTTTTCAGCAATACTGCCATCTTAGCCATATGTCCGTATTCTCCTATGCAAAAATTTCTGGGTTATCTTGGTCCCTTACATGGATATATATACACATTTTATATATTTACATATTTCATCTATGTGTTTGTAGGATTTGGGGGATGATACTAGTAAAATGTTCATTCTGGTACATATATATAATTTTTTTTTTTGAGATGGAGTATTGCTCTGTTTGCCCAGGCTGGAATGCAGTGGCGCGATATCCGCTTGCCGCAACCTCCGCCTCATGGGTTCAAGTGATTCTCCTGCCTCAGCTTGAGTAGCTGGGATTACAGATGTACGCCACCACACCCGGCTAATTTTTTGTATTTTTAGTAGACACGGGGTTTCACCACGTTGGCCAGGCTGGTCTTGAACTCCTGACCTCTTGATCTGCCTGCCTCGGCCTCACAGAGTGTTGGGATTACAGGTGTGAGCCACCGCGCCCAGCCTGCTACATTTATTTTTTAAAAATATCAATGTAACTAGATTTCTGCTTCCAAGCAAGAGGTAGTAACTAGAAGTGGATTTATCTTCCTGTCTCAAACAGTGAAACAAAGGACCAAAAAAATGTACCAAGTAGTAGTTTTCCAACATTGGCCCACAGGCAGGCAGGACAGTGATCCCTGAGAGAAGAAGAATAACCGCGGCAAGCTCCAGCCTTGCCCAGGCTTCCTGCCTGGAGAGAGTCTGAAGGCTAGGACTTGGAGAGCTACCCAGACCGAGTCTGAGGATCTCCTTGATTGAGGAGGCTGAGTTGAGACTTTGGGGAGGCCAAAGTAAATTTGCAGGGCAGAGTACCAGAGAGGAGAGAGCTGCAAAGAGGGGAAGGAAGAGCTCTGCATAGGGTTCTCCCCAAGCCCAGCTGAGGGCGCATAAGCACATGCCTGTGGGGAAGCTCTCTGCGCCTGGGCTAGCACCCTGGAAGTGAGGAGCGGGACAAACCTTGCAGCTCACACAGGGCCAGGAGCAGTGTGTGTTCCCACCAGCCATTGTGGGAAAATCTTACAACCTGCAGGACCCTGGGTGGCAGCTTAGGAGGATATTGCCTCAGTTGTGGGTAAGAGGAAAGGCGTTCTGATGCTGCCTTACAGAGCCTACAAGCCCTGAAAGGACCAGACTCTTCCCAAACAACCCTCCTATGGCCCATGACGAAGCTCAGATACTGAAGGAATGAAAAAATACCCAGCACCTGACGCTTCATACTTGTCCCTAGCTCTTCTCCTCCTCTCACACCTCACAGCTGGCTCCTTCACAGCCTTATCCACTTCCCTTCCTGCAGCCCTGGTCCAAGCTGCTGCTGTCTGGCTCCTGAACTGCAGATAGTCGTTTCTTCCCATTGTCCCATCCCATCTCTCTCTGCACGCAGCCTCAGAGTCACTCCTTGACTTCAGTGGCCCTCAGCTCTCCCCCATCTCTCCTTCTGCTCTTGTCAGCCCCATGCCAGCCACTGGGCTCCCCACAAGGTACAGCCATGTCGGCTTCGGGGGTCTCCTCAAGGAGGCCCTCACTGTCCACCGGGTTAAAGGGTACAGATCTTCTTTGCTGTTATGTTTTTCTCCTTATCACTATTTAATTAGTTAATTTTTTCATGTATTTGTCTTATTTATTGCCTTTGTCTTTGACAGTTTTCTTCACCATTGTGCCCTCAGTGCCTGGACCAGTCCCTGAGCATGTGATGGGCTCAGTAAATCCTGGATGACTGGTGAATGTACAGGAGCTGAGCTGTGCGCTCTCTGGTCATTTCTGGCTCTTAACATTATGATTTTAGGCTTGGGGACCTTTGGGCCTGTAGAGCCCAGCATCTCATTCTGTAATTAAAAGGGCAAGCCAGAAAGGTCTGATGGGTATGGCTGTTCTGCCAGTGATGGGAGCTGTTTTCTAAGACCTGAGGAAAAGAGATGGCTTTATATTGGGGTAAATCAGTGTGCCTTTTTTTTTTTTTAATTGTCGTCATTTAGGCTTTTGGGATTTGTTGGTATGGAAAAATACATGGATTCTCATGGTACTCGGTGGTTTGAGTAGTCTGGCGTTCTCTAGGACACTGTGGGGAGGTAGGACGCAGTTGTCTGCCCCTGTGCCCCAAACATTCAGCTCAGGATGGCTGCTGAGCTGGGTTTGGGAAAACTCACAACCCTGTGGATGTAACAGGAGTCAGCAGTTTTGATCACTGGTTCATGGAAACATGTGAGAATATATATGAACATCTTTTGAGTCTTGCTGGTATTGTCATTCATTCTTTCAATCACTAATTCATTCATTTATACATTCAGCCCCTTGTTTAAATATGTGCTTCCTGCCGGTCAGCAGGAAGTCTTAAGAATGGAGCCTGGGGTCCAAATGAGAGCCCTCAGTGGCTGTTCAGGGGCCAATCCGTTATGTACAGTGGGTCCTTTTGAATACCGGTGGTGGGATGGGGAGACAGCTCGAGGCTGTGGGAAGAGCTACAGGTCTAGCCGGCCTTGGAGAAGCTTCTGGGTGGAGATGGAGACTGAAAAGCCAGAACAGCGTCAGCTGGGTCCACTCTCTTCCCACCTGGCATGTCTTGCAGCAAGGACACCCTACACGGCAGGAGAGACTAGCGGGGGTTCTCTCACCTCCACCCCACTGTGTGCCCTTTTTCTGGCTGCCTCTGGAAGGCCAGGCGAGGCTTCCCTTTGCCCTGCTCCCTGGGAGTGCCTCCCTCCAGCCTCTCCTCAGGGTTCGAAGGGGCTTCCTCCTAAGGTGCAGAGGCAGCCCTGTGTGAAGGACCCGTCTTAGGATTGGGTTGATACGGGTTAAAAATCCTGTGTCTCCCCCGACACACACACACTTGCTGGTCTTGGGACTTTAACCCCATTTCCAGTTGTGTGAGACTCAGTTTCTTTCTTTTTCTTTTCTTTTCCTTTTTTTTTTTTTTTTTTTTTTTTTTGAGACTTAGTCTTGCTCTATTGCCCAGGCTGGAATGCAGTGGCGTGATCTTGGCTCACTGCAACCTCCACCTTCCAGGTTCAAACGATTCTCCTGCGTCAGCCTCCTGAGTAGCTGGGATTACAGGTGCACACCACCACGCCCAGCTAATTTTGTGTTTTTAATAGAAACAGGGTTTCACCATGTTGGCCAGGCTGGATTTTTCTTTCTTTTTTTTTTTTGACACGGGGTCTTGCCCTCTCACCCAGGCTAGAGTGCAGTGGCACGATCACAGCTCACTACAGCCTCGACTTGCTGGGTTTTAGCAATCCTCTCACCTCAGCCTCCCTAGTAGCTGGGACTACAGGCACGCACCACTATGCCTGGCTAATAGTTGGATTTTTTGCAGAGGCGAAGTCTTGCTATGTTACTGAGGCTGGTCTCAAACCTCTGAGCTCAAATGATCATCTCACCTCTGCCTCCCCAGGTGCTGGGATCACAGGCGTAAGCCACTGTGCCCAGCCTTCAGTTTCTTTTTCTGTATTTGTGTTTTAAAGGCTAATTTTATTTTTTTTCTGATAGAGTGGGTGGTTATCTTTTGAGAGGTTTTAAGGTATAACAATCTTGCCTTTTCCTCCTACCTCTAAGGCCTCTTCCCCTTGCCCCACATTGTAGGACCTATTTGAAAATGCAGATGTTTATTTACATCAGGTGATAAGAGATGAGCTCAGCATCATTACTGCTGGGCCTGGAAGGGCGTCTGGGCCTTGGATGTGCAGCTGCCATCAGCTCCCTGTTTATCTTGAATCTGGAATTTGGACAGCCGACCTCAAAGATGGTTTGCATCTGCAGACACACTTAAGCCAGAATTGCCATCTTGAATCTGAGCCCTGGTGTGCAGATGCCTCTAGAATAGTAGTTTCAGACTTCGTTGGTGGTAACCAGTTCTGGTAAACAGTCTGAAAATTGAGGCTGACAGTTTCTAGCATGTGGTGGAAAAGTAATACAGAAGTCAAGGTGAAGGGGTTAATTTTGACAATTTTCTAACTCGTACTAAGATAAGATTTTCTTTATGGCACTATTTAAAGTATTACGAGTTTCTAGAACATTAGGTTTAGTTTTATTCAATACATTTCCTATTTTATGTTTCTGTATATAAACATACACATGCATTTTAGTTTTAGAACTATACATATATTTTAATATTCTTGGCTTTGTAGATGAGGTTTTGAAAATAGAATTTTTTTTTTCTATTCCAGACTCCTTTTAGTTTTGGCATGAATCATAGGACACCACCCTACCCTGCTGGGGATTATTGTCTTCTGTGCAGAAGTGAACGGAAAGACTCATCATTCTTAGAGAGTGGAATTAAGACTGCGAGCAAATTGGCCCTTTCCATGGCTCCCAAGGGCAACAGCGTGCTGCACCTGCCACTGTGGGTGTGCCCGGACTGCCGCAGGACCGTGGAGAAGGAGGAGAGGCATGGCGGCCTTGACCAGCCAGTGGTGAGTGGCTGCCAGCACAGGCAGCGCAGGGCGTTGGCTCCCCCCGCCCAGGTTATGGGGTAACTGGCAGTGAAAGAAATGGATTTGCTTTTGCTTCAGGGGGCACTCCCTCCTGCACCACCTTCTAGTCTGTGTCTCCTGGTACGTTCCTCCTGGTCTTCCCTGGCCACACTGCAGTAGGTGGCAGGACACCTGCCCTCCTTGTCTGGGCACAATTCAGTCATCAAGCTATGTGACCCTGAAGGGTGATTTTTGGCTTTGAGCTTAGTATTTCTTTGGTGGTACAGTTTCTTGAAAAGGGAGTACAATTTTCATGTGTTTAGTTCTCAACAATTCGACATGCAGGTAATTCTTTACGCGATGCTCTTAAGCCTCACCTTCCCTTTTACTTATTTGTGCTGCTTCAGCCTCTTCGAGGCCACAGCAGGCTTGGCTGGGAAGACCGCACCCTTACTCTTATCTTTGACCTGATGGAGTTTTGGTGGGCCCTTGTTCCGGGCAGGCTTTCACATGTACTGTTTGGGTTCTGGAAGGAGTTGGCTTTTGCAACTATTTGAGACCCCACATTCTAGGCCTCTTCTGTGCCCTTTGATTTCTGCTTGAAAGCGGCTAATTATTTTCTGAGCTCTTCTCTTCCTTCTGATACCTTGCTATGTGCAGCCAGGAAACGTGTGCATTCCCTGCTCCTCTGTTTTCTCCTGCAGAACTGCCTTGGGGGAGTCCTGGTGACAATCTGAAGAGCGCATCCCCACTGCCTGGTGTGGGTTTCCATCTTTACTGGCCTTGGAGGCAAGCCCCATCTCCAGGGCCAGTTTCTATCCTTGGGGTCTCATTGTCAGAATTACTTTCTCACTCGGCCCCTCCCGCATGTCCCGCTTTCCTGCTGTAATTCTCTTCCTAGCACTTATTTCTAACATACTATGTATTTTACTTACTCATTTGGTTTGCTTTCTTCTTCATTAGAATATAAACTCTACAAAGACAGCTATTTTTATGGTTTTCTTTGTGTGGTTTTTTTGTTTGTTTTTTTACCAATACCATTTTCTTTGCTTTTTGTGGTGGTTGGTTTGTTTTCTCATTAAACTTTATCAGCTCTTCTTCCGACTCCAGCCCTGCTCTTGTATTTTAGCCTGCCTCTGCCCTTGGGAACAGGCTTCTGCTGTTTGCCCTGGTCCAGAGGCCAGCGGAAGTGCCTATGGTTCCCTGCAGTGCGTCTTGCCTGCGTTGGAGGAGGATCTCATTTCCCAGCCCCCGGCTTGTCTTGGTAATGGATAGTTTGTCAGATGAGCCATTCTCTCCTCACCAGAAACAGTGACCTTGGGAACAGCAGAGGTGTAGTGTTGGCCTGTGTTTGTGGATTCGGACCAGCTGTTGCTTTGTAGGTCAGCCTCTTTGTTGGAGCTGGCCTTTAAAAAAATAACATGATTTACCTTCCATTAAGATTCACTCTTTTTTTACTTAAAAAATGTTCACTACCACAGCTAAGCTACAGAACATTTGCATCACCCCATAAAATCCCCTTGTTCCCCTTGGTAGTCACTTCCCTTCCCCCGTCCTAGCCTCTGGTAACCACTCACCTGAATTTTTTTTTTTGAGACAGAGTCTCGCTCTGTCACCCAGGCTGGAGTGCAGTGGCACAATCTTGGCTCACTGCAACCTCCGCCTCCCGGGTTCAAGCAATTCTTCTGCCTCAGCCTCCCCAGTAGCTGGGACTACAGGCACGCGCCACCATGCCCAGCTAATTTTTGTATTTTTGGTAGAGATGGGGTTTCACCATGTTGGCCATTATGGTCTCGATCGTGATCCGCCCGCCTCTGCCTTCCATAGTGCTGGGATTATAGGCATGAGCCACCGCGCCTGGCCTGACCTGATTTTTGTTCCTACAGTTTTGCTTTTTCCAGAGTGTCACATATACTTCTGTAACTTGCATAATGCTTTTGAGAGTTACCCAAAATGTTGCATGCATCCGTAGTTTCTCTTTTTTATTGAGTAATTTTACAGATAAACCAATTTATGCATTCACCAATTAATTGATGGATGTTTGTGTTGTTCCCACGTTTGGGCTATTTTGAAAAAAGCTGCTATGAACATTATTTTTCTTCTGTGGACATCCTTTTTATGTGTTGCTGGATTGATTTGCTAAAGTTATGTTAATGATTTTTGCATCTGTGCTCATGAAGGCTGTCTGTAGGCCTCTTGTCTTACAGTGGCCTTCGGGGTCTCATAAAATGAGTTAGAATGTGTTCCTGTTTCTTCTCCTTTCTGGAAGACTGTGTTAGAATTGGTATTATCATCTCTTCCTTAAACGTTATTGGTTCTTGCTTTCTGTTTCTCTTGTTCTGTTTGGTCAAATGCCAGACAGTGTGCAGAGAGCATCAGGCTGAGGTTGTTTCCTGTGTCCTGTTGTGCACCTGGGAGGCCAGGTCAGTGCATTTGGCCTCAGCTGGGCTGTCTCTAGCACTGTGCGTGCTCGTGTGGGCCTGTAGAGGGGAGTCTCTCTCTACTTCCTCCTTGGCAAGGTCTCCGATGGTGGCATCTTCTCAGTTCCCCCCTCTAGCCTGACTCTTGGGCAGCTCTGTGCTCACGGCCTTGGGGGCAGCTTTCCCAGCGAGCCCACCTCTGCCCGGTGGCAGCCAGACTCTGCCTTGTATCTGCAGGGGTCTGACCGGCCCCGTGTCTTGTGCTGGTCCTGGCCTGTGTGTGGCACACGCCTTTCTCCAGGACAAGGAGAAAGGCATGTTTCCTTCCTCTCTGCTAGTGGATTAGCTGGAGACTTGGGTGCAGGTCTCCTGGGAATGAGTGGGAACATTCGTTTTGGGGCTTTCCAGGGGTTAGACTCCCACACTTGACACTCTCAACCTTTCAGAATTTGTTTAAAGTTAAACTGTTTTTTTTTTTTCTAACCACTTTTATGGCCTCCTTCCACTTTCCTTCCTCTGTCAAAGGTGAAACAGTAAGTGTGTCCCCTTCTCCCTGGAGGGGCTGCTGCACTTTGTTGTGTAGTTCCCTCCGGCAGCCTGGTCACTTCGGCTCTCTGATGGCCCAGAGATAGGATTTTATCAATTGTCCTGCTCTGTCTCTGGTCAGGGCTCTGGTCAGGGCTCAGAGTGCACGGCTCTCCTGCAGCTTTCTGCATCCAGAGGGGAAGTGGGGCTGAATTGCTGTCTTCTAGATAAGCATTCTGTTATCAGCAGTTGTAGGAGAATATTGGTGGGAATTTATCTTAACATCTTGCCTGACAGTTGCACGTTGCAAATTTCTCTGGAGACCTCTTCTTCCAAGATTGACCCATCCTAGCATCACGTCCTAGACATAGTCGTGCCTGGAAACCTAAGAAATCTCCATTTCAAACTTTCATCTTGATCATTGTCTGTCTTTGTAGCTCACTTGCTTGTCTTCTCTTGCCATAGTTTTTTTTTTTTTTTGAGACAGAGTCTTGCTCTGTTGCCCAGGCTGGAGTGCAGTGGTGCAATCTCAGCTCACTACAACCTCACTTCCTGGGTTCAAGAGACTATCGTGCCTCAGCCTCCCGAGTAGCTGGGACTATAGGCATGCGCCATCACACCTGGCTAATTTTTTTTTTTTTTTAGAGACACAGTCTCGCTCTGTCACCAGGCTGGAATGCAGTGGTGCGATGTTGGCTCACTGCAACCTCTGCCTCCTGGGTTCAGGTGATTCTCATGCCTCAGCCTCCCGAGTACCGGGGACTATAGGCGCGCAACACCACACCTGGCTGATCTTTGTATTTAGTAGAGACAGGGTTTCGTGATGATGGCCAAGCTGGTCTCAAACTCCTGGCCTCAAATGATCTACCTACCTTGGCCTCCCAAAGTGCTGGGATTACAGGCGTGAGCCACTGCGCCTGACCTGCCATAGTTCTTTGACCTCATCCATCCCTATCAGTCCATGGATTCCATTCCTGTTAGGTTTATCACGTCTCCCCGACCTCACTCCTAGGAGCCTGAGTTCCCGGACTTGGCACTGTGGCTCTTCCGTGGCTCTCAGGCAAAGGCCCTGAACTTTTTTTGGTTATGCTGGTCCAGCCCTGTCTCTTCCCTCCATGTGGCAGAATATTCATGGAGAAAATTGCTGGCCTCAGTTTACTGCTTCCTCTTCATAACTTCATGACTGCAAACCATGCATGGGCATCTAGTGCGTTTTTCTGGCTTAAGTACCTCCCCAAACTCCTTGGCAGGAACCCTTCCTTTTCCTTGCTTCTTAGACTACGTGTACCCTCTTTACCCACCCCTTGCTCAGCTCAGCTATTGACCTTCGTGCTTCAGGGAGAAAATCAAAGTTAACACCTCCCCTGTATCACCCCCAAACCCCCATAGCTGAGGGCATTTTCTCCTCTCTTTCCTCTCCAAGGCCCACCCCCACTGGGCTTTCAGGTGCCCATCTGTTTTCATCTTCTTCAAGACTTTGTCGCTTTGATTATTGTTTTCTTCTGCCTTGGCCCATGACCCATGGAATGCAAATACTCTGGGGCTACCCATTCATGAATGACCCGCCTTTGGCCTCACCTCCCCTTCACAGCCATGTATGTCTCTAGGTAGATTTTAAAGTTGTGGTTCAATTTCTTTAATGGTTAAAATCTTGTCAGGTTAGTTTTGGTAAGTTATATTCTTAGAAATTGTCAAAGTTGCCCACCAGCGTGGCACATGCCTGTAGTTGCGGCTACACAGGAGGCTGAGGCAGGAGGGTCGCTTGAGCCCAGGAGTTCTGGGCTGTTGTGCGGTATGATAGTGCCACTGTACTGCAGTCTGGGCAGCACAGTGAGACCCCGTCTCTTTTAAAACAAGAAAAATTGGCAGAGTTACTGGTATAAAGTTCTGTGTAATGGTCTCTTTTCACTTCTTACCTGATTTGTAGATTTGACTTTTTATTTCTTCTTCTTCTTTTTTTTTTTTTTTTTTTTCCTGAGATGGAGTTTCTCTCTGTCGCCCAGGCTGGAGTGCAGTGGTGCGATCTCAGCTTACTGCAACCTCTGCCTCCCGGGTTCAAGCGATTCTGGTGACTCAGCCTCCCGAGTAGCTGGGACTGTAGGCGCGTACCACCACACCCAGCTAATTTTTTTGTATTTTTAGTAGAGATGGGGTTTCGCCATGTTGGCCAGGCTGTTCTCTAACTCCTGACCTCAGGTGATCCGCCCACCTCGGTCTCCCAAAGTGCTGGGATTACAAGCCTGAGCCACCATACCCGGCTACTTTTTTATTTCTCATATTTGTGCCTTCTTTTTTTTCTTTTAAACTAGTTTTGTTAGAAGTCTGTCAGTTTTGGCCCAGCACAGTGGATCACACCTGTAACCGTAGTCTTTGGGAGGCCGAAGCAGGAGGATTGCTTGAGGCCAGGAGTTCAAGACCAACCTGGCTAACATAGAAAGACTCTGTCTCTATAAAAAAAAAAAAATTATAAACCAAAAAAAAGTCTTGTCAGTTTTGTCTTTCCAAAGAAGCAGCTTTTAACTTTTAAAATACTTGTACTTTGTCTGTTTAATTAATTGTTGCTTTTTATTATTATTATTTTTAAGATAGATTCTCGCTCTGTTGCCCAGGCCGGAATGCAGTGGCGTGATCTTGGCTCACTGTAACCTCCACCTCCCAGGTTCAAGGGATTCTCCTGCCTCAGTCTCCTGGGTAGCTGGGACTACAGGCATGTACCACCGTGCCCAGCTAATTTTTGTATTTTTAGTAGAGACAGAGTTTTGCCATGTTGCCCAGGCTGGTTTCGAACTCCTGACCTCAAGTGATCCTCCTGCTGCGGCCTCCCAAAGTACTGGGTTGACAGGCGTGAGCCACTGCACCCAGGCAATTATTGCTATTTTATATACATACATGTGCTATATATTAATATTTGATTGGTTGATGCTATGGTGAATGTGATTTAAAAAAAAAAAATTTAGAGGCCCGAAAGAGAACAGTGCAAAGTTAGTTTCCTCTGGCTCTCTCTCTTTATCCTCTTTGCCTTCCCAGAGGCCTCCACTATTGGCAGATGCTTGAATCTTCCTCTAGAGATGTTCTGTTCTTTTTTTTTTTTTTTTTTGAGACAGAGTTTCGCTGTTGTCTCCCAGGCTGGAGTGCAGTTGTGTGATCTCGGCTCACTGAAACCTCCACCTCATAGGTTCAAACGATAATCCTGCCTTAGCCTCTGAGTAGCTGGGATTACAGGCACGTGCCATCAACCCAGCTAATTTTTGCATTTTTAGTACAGATGGGGTTTCACCATGTTGGCCAGGCTGTTCTTGAACTCCTGACCTCAGGTGATCCACCCACCTTGGCCTCCCAAAGTGCTAGGATTAGAGGCATGAGGCTGGCCATGTTTTTCGTTTTGATGTTTTTGTTTTTGTTTTGTGACGGAATCTCGCTCTGTTGCCCAGGCTGGAGTGCAGTGGCGCGATCTCAGCTCACTGCAAGCTCAGCCTCCCGGGTTCACACCATTCTCCTGCCTCAGCCTCCCAAGTAGCTGGGACTACAGGCGCCCACCACCACGCCCGGCTAATTTTTTGTATTTTTAGTAGAGATTGGGTTTCACCATGTTAGCCAGGATTGTCTGGATCTCCTGACCTTGTGATCCGCCCGCCTCGTCCTCCCAAAGTGCTGGGATTACAAGTGTGAGCCACTGCACCCGGCCTTTTTTTTTTTTTTTTTTTTTTTTTTTGAGACGAAGTCTCGCTCTATTGCCCAGGCTGGAGTGCAGTGGCGCCATCTCAGCTCACTGCAGGCTCCGCCTTCTGGGTTCACGCCATTCTCCTGCCTCAGCCTCCTGAGTAGCTGGGATTACAGGCGCCCACCACCATGCCTGGCTAATTTTGTGTGTATATATATATGTATATATATATATTTTTTAGTAGAGACGGGGTTTCACCGTGTTAGCCAGGATGGTCTCAGTCTCGTGACCTGCCCACCTCGGCCTCCTGATTGCTGGGATTATAGGTGTGAGCCACCGCGCCTGGCTTTTTTTGTTTTTTTTTTTGAGATGGAGTTTCACGCTTGTTGCCCAGGCTGGAGTTCAATGGCGTGATTTCGGCTCAACGCAACCTCCGCCTCTTGGGTTCAAGCCATTCTCCTTCCTCAGCCGCCCTAGTAGCTGGGATTACAGGTATGCACTACCACGCCCAGCTAATTTTTTTTTTTTTTTTTTTTTTTGAGACGGAGTCTTGCTCAGTCACCCAGGCTGGAGTGCAGTGGTGCGATCTCGGCTCACTGCAAGCTCCGCCTCCTGGGTTCACACCATTCTCCTGCCTCAGCCTCCCAAGTAGCTGGGACTACGGGTGCATGCCACCACGCCTGACTAATTTTTTTTTGTATTTTTAGTAGAGACGGGGTTTCACCATGTTAGCCAGGATGGCCTCGATCTCCTGACCTCGTGATCTGCCCACCTTGGCCTCCCAAAGTACAGGTGTGAGTCACTGCACCCGGCCAATTTTCATTATTTTCTAGTTTTTATTATTTCTGTTTTCACCCGTGAATTATTTAGAAGTACGTGTAAGTATCCAAACACATATCTCTTGAATTATTATTATTATTATTTTGAGACGGAATTTCACTCTGTCACCCAGGCTGGAGTGTAGTGGCACGATCTTGGCTCACTGCAACCTCTGCCTTCTGGGTTCAAGTGATTCTCATGCCTCAGCCTTCTGAGCAGCTGGGATTACAGGCGTGTGTCACCATGCCCAGCTAATTTTTGTATTTTTAGTAGAGACGGGGTTTTACCATGTTGGCCAGGCTGGTCTCAAACTCCTGACCTCAGGTGATCCGCCCGCCTCACCCTCCCAACTTGCTGAAATTACAGGGGTGAGCCACCACGGCCAGCCACTTGAATTACTTTTAATCATGTTGACTTTTAATTTAATGCTGTTATAGTTGAAAATCATGGTCTGTATGATAGTGATTCCTTATTAATCACTGTATTTGCTGTATTTGCTAGTTCTAATACATAGTTACTTTTTTAAATTATTCTGTTTGTGCTGGAAAATAATGTTTTCTCTGGGTTTAGGTGGAAGGCTCAGGACCTCATTAATTGTGTTCTTAAATCCTTCTGTGTTTCCGTGGTTTTATTGCTTTTTTGGTGCTTAATCTGTCAATTTCTGAGTGTTATTTAAAATGTCCTACTATGAATGTGTCTTTTTCCTGTCTTCCTTAAAAAGTTTGTTTTGCTTTACATATTTCAAGAGTGCTGGGTAGAATACAGGTTGAAATTATTATTAAGTCTTTAAGTCTTGGCGTATCATTCCTGTTACTGCACGGACCCCATCTGTGGTCGTGCCTTTCTCCTGAAGGGCGTTGTTTTCTGTTTGTTTAGCTATGGGAGCTCCCTCCCATTCTTTTTTTTGCACATCTGCACATCCTTTTAATTTTGATTTCTTTGTGTTAGTCTGTTTAGGTGTTCTTATGCAGTATATATAGAGGTAGACTTTACGTGGTTTTAATTGAGAGTCTGCTTTTTTTCTTTTTTCTTTTTCCTTTTTTTTTTTTTTTTTTTTTTTGGTGGCAAGGCCTCTCTCTGTCACTCAGGCTGGAGTGCAGTGGTGCGAAAACAGCTCACTGCAGCCTCGACCTCCTGGGCTCAAGTGATTCTCCCAGCTTAGCCTCCTGAGTAGCTGGGATTACAGCTGCACGCCAACAGTCCTGGATGATTTTTTTTTTTTTTTTAAATTTTTTGTAGGGATGGGTCCCTACTGTGTTGCCCAGGCTGATCTTGAACTCCGGCGCCCAAGCAATCCTACCACCTTGGCCTCTCCAAGTGCTGGCATTACAGGTGTGAGCCACCATGCCCAGGCGAGAGTCTGCATCTTAATGGTGAAATCAATCCTCATCACTTACTGTAATGGTTAATATATGTGGGGTAATTTCTGCTACCATGCAGGTCAAAAATCAAGCGTTGCTGTTAACCCAGATCCCTTCTTGAACCCCTTCTAGTCATTACCCTCTTGCAGCAAGTTCACACTTGCCGGCTGCTCCTAGTCCTCACTCTTACTGTTCTTTGTTAGTTATATCACCTAAGCATCTACCCACAAATACTGTAGTACAGTTTTCCTGGTGTTTTGAATTTTACAGAAATGTAATCGTACTGTGTGTTATTTTATGTCTTACTTATTTTGCTCAGCATTATGTTTGAGAGTCATAAATCTTGTTTCTCTATTTTCATTGCTAGATGCCATCCTCCTTTGTGAACATGTTGCATTTTAGTTGTTTCCAAATCTTGCTGATTGTGGAGCACACATGACATTCTGTTGTCTATAAATAGAAGGAATTGCTGAGCCATAGGTGGTTTATATACTTGACTGATTCCATGTTAAGATCAGTAGCATGTTTTTAAATGAAAACTATTTTCCAAAAACAAGAATGGTTTAGTAAGTAGGGCCGGACACGGTGGCTCACGCCTGTAATCCCAGCACTTTGGGAGGCCAAGATGGGCGGATCACCTGAGGTCAGGAGTTCGAGACCAGCCTGGCCAACATGGCGAAACCTCGTCTCTACTGAAAATACAAAATTAGCCCGTCATGGTGGCACATGCCTGTAATCCCAGCTACTGGGGAGGCTGAGGCAGGAGAATCACTTGAACCTAGGAGGTGGAGGTTGCAGTGAGCTGAGATTGCACCACTGCACTCCAGCCTAGGCGACAGAGTGAGACTCTGTCTCAAAAAAAAAAAAAAAAAAAAAAAAAAAATGGTTTAGTAAGTAGAGTGGCCGTGTTTTGTATATTTTGCAAACCTCTTTTTTTTTTTTTTTTTTTTTTTGAGACAGTGTCTCACTCTGTCACCCAGGCTGGAGTACAGTGGCATAATCTCAGCTCACTGCAACCTCTGCTGCCTGGGTTCAAGTGATTCTCCTGCCTCAACCTCCCATGTTGCTGGGATTACAGGCGTTTGCCACTGCGCCCGGCTAATTTTTGTATTTTTGGTAGAGATGGGGGTTTCACCATCTTGGTCAGGCCGGTCTTGAAATACTGACCTCGTGATCCACCCACCTCTGTCTCCCAAAGTGTTGGGATTATAGGCGTGAGCCACCGCATCCGGCCTAACAAACCTCTTTAATATCTGAATGATAGAACAAAGCTGGTTTCTTATATCTGCCTCTGTGTGGAACCTGTTGTGATAGGTTGTTCTGATTGAAGTATTTGAAGAAATATTTTATTGGCTTTTTTAGAGAATTGTGGATATTTTTCTTTGATGCTGTACCAAACCATGACAAGTTAGTTTCTCAAGGGTTAGGTGTAGTGTAGAAGCTAAAACCAATCAGTGGCTTTTCCCTACACTGTTATGTGAAAGTCCATTGGTCTGTCTTGTCCTCTGAATGGATATCTTGCCCATGCGTGGCTTGTAACATCACATGTTGGTTATTTGTAAAGTATTGGTTTACTAAGGTAGACAGATTTTCCTGATATTAATACTTTTCATCATTATTTTTAAAAAATCATATTTGTTACAAAAAAATCATATTTGTTAATACCACCACTGATCTCATCAGAAAGTTCTTTAAATGTTGAGTTTTCAAGCCCACAGTGGCAGGTGAAAGTTTTCCAGAGTTCTAATTTTTGCTCAGAAAAATTATGATTATGAGAAAAGCTCAGATTTTATTGGTCACAAATAGTGCCAAATTGCCTTGAAGTGACGGACTCATTTTGTTCATTTTGGAAAATATCTGACAAATATCCAAGTCCAAATAACCATAGTTTGGCCCATCAGTCACTTTTTGAAGTAAAATTGACATTTCACAGGTGAAGGGCCATTCATCTCACAATGCACAGTGAGATTCCTCGAGGCGGACTCTTCCTGGGGCGTGCCGGAGAAATAAATGCTCTGTGTATACTTCCCACTTCGTCACGCAGAATATTCAGAAGACTTGTGCTCAGGGGTTGAGATTTATGCAAAATAATTATTTTTATTGCATCAAGGACATTCTTAAGTGGAACTGGCTTTTTTCCCGCCTCACAGCTCTGAAGTGTGTGGCAGTGAAGAATGCAGCAGCCACTAGCATGCTTTGCTCCTGCTGTCTTCGTCCTTGCATTGGTGTTTCACTCTTTTCCCCACCATTGTTTTTTTCCCTGTCAGTGTGAATGTCAGCACAGTGAAAAAGGCAGAGGACATTTTGGTACAAATTTGAAAATAGTTTTGACTCGTGGGCCTGCTGAAGGGTGTTAGGGTGAAAATCCTATTTTGCTAGCCATTAGTAGTTAACCACAGATTTCTTGAAACTTGCTCAACTTTTTAATATCTGTCTGCTGATACATATTTAACATAGGTGTCAACCAGATTTGTTTTTAGTATTTGGAAAATAATGCTTTCCCTTCTAATTCTTCATTATAGCTTTAACACTGAAATTTGTCAGAGAACTTAGTTAATTATCAATGATATGTTCAGGTTGGCAACTAGGCTTATAGCATGGCCTTACCCTCGCTGCGGCTCTAGGCTATGCTGGACCATCTGAATGGGGTCCTCGGACCACACTTTGAGAACCACAGCTCTGTTGGGTTGTCTTTTTCTTATTGACTTGTGGGATTTCTTTATATACACTCAGTAGCAGCTCTTTATTGGTTGTATGTGTTGCAGATATTGCCTGTTTCTTTTTTGTCTGTTTTTCACTATGTGATGGTGTCGCTTTATGAACACAGATTCTTTTCTTTTTTTAACCTTGAGATGCTACCAGGGCAGCCACTCACCACAGCCCCTGCTGGGGTGTGAATGTGCACCACGCACTTCACGTCCGGGTGTGCAGCATAAATTGCAGAGTGTAAGGTGAAGCCGGCCTGATTCACTCCCAGATTAGTGCTTCCACGATCTACTATATCTCCTTGTAGATTGATCTTAACCTGAAAATAAAAAAATAAAAATTTAAAATACCAAGAGGACTTCATTTTTCTTTTCTGTTTTCGAGACGGTCGGTCTCGCCCAGTATGGAGTGCAGTGGTGCAATCCTGATTCTCTGCAGCCTTCACCTCCTGTGTTCAAGCAACCCTTCTGCCTCAGTCTCCTGAGTAGCTGGGACTACAGGTGCGCACCACCATGCCTGGCTAATTTTTTTATTTTTAATATAGACGGGGTTTTGCCATGTTGCTCAGGCTGGTCTCAAACTCCTGGGCTCAATCAGTCTCCCTCTGTCGCCCTGGCTGGACCTCAGATGATCTGCCTGCCACGGCCTCCCAAAGTGCTGGGATTACAGGAGTGAGCCACTGCACCCAGCCAAATATGATAATGAGCCAGGGGTAGTGGGAAGCATATTTAGATCATGGGCGGGTCAGCAATATGCCCATGGGCTTTGCCACCAGAGTCCTGTGTCCTGGTGTGCCTCGGCACACTGTTTGCCATAGGCTTTGAGGAGAGTGTTGGTTGGTCTTAATAACATTCTATCTCGGGCCCAGAGGTAGCCCACTGAAGGAGAAATTCAGAGAAGAGAGGTGGGATGGCTGAGACATTTTTGCATAGACCTGCAAGGGGACAGGCCTGACTAAACAAATCTTGCTCCTTAATAGTCAGGACCAAGCCTGTGTTGAACTTAGCAATTTGGTTTCAGCTAATCATCGATCTCTCTCTTTAAAATAATGTTGTTAATTTGAATTTCACCTTTTTTTTTTTTTTTTGAGACAGAGTCTCACTCTGTCGCCCAGGCTGGAGTGCAGTGGTGCCATCTTGGCTCACTGCAAGCTCTGCCTCCCGGGTTCACGCCATTCTCCTGCCTCAGCCTCCCGAGTAGCTGGGACTACAGGCATCCACCACCACGGCTGGCTAATTTTTTTTGTATTTTTCATAGAGGTGGGGTTTCATCGTGTTAGCCAGAACGGTCCCAGTCTTGTGACCTTGTGATCCACCCGCCTCGGCCTTCCAAAGTGCTGGGATTACAGATCTGAGCCACCGTGCCTGGCTGAATTTCACCATTTTAAAAATATTTCACTTTAAACCACCTTGAGTTTTTACATTATATGAAGGCTAAAAGACATATTATGTTGCATTTTAACATTTGCATATGTTTAACAAAAATAGTTTTAGTCTGGTGGGAGATACGGTGAGGGGATGGCACTTTGGGGTAATTGTTTTTTCTTTAAAGGGCCCTGAACTCAAGCATCCTGTCATAAAGAAGACTACTCGGCAAGTAGTCTTAAGTTTCTATCTATTTTTCTGTTTTCAAGGCTGTTTTAGACTCCATTTTGATTATGGGCATTAGCAGTTGTCTTTATTCTCATATATCATATTATTAAAATGTAAGTTGCATTTTACACTAAGGAACTGGGTTCTCCAATAGTTATTATGCCCATAGATTAATCAAGGCATATAGTCCCAACTTAAGCCATTTAAGAGTTTGCTGGCGTAGGCCACCGTGCACGGCGGCCTAGGCCGATCACGCCTGTAATCCCGGCACTTTGGGAGGCCGAGGCGGGTGGATCATGAGGTCAGGAGATCGAGACCATCCTGGCTAACACGGTGAAACCCCGTCTCTACTAAAAATATAAAAAATCAGCTGGGTGTGGTGTTGTGCATCTGTAGTCCCAGCTACTCAGGAGGCTGAGGCAGGAGAATCCCTCTAACCCGGGAGGCTGAGGTTTCAGTGAGCTGAGATGGCGCTACAGCACTCCAGCCTAATGACAGAGCGAGACTCCGTCTTAAAAAAAAAAAAAGAGTTTGCTGGCTGGGCGCAGTGGCTCACTCCTGTAATCCCAGCATTTTGGGAGGCCGAGGCAGATGGGTCACCTGAGGTCAGGAGATTGAGACCAGCCTGGCCAACATGATGAAACCCCATCTCTACTAAAAATACAAAAATTAGTTGGGCTTGGTTGCGGGTGCCTGTAATCCCAGCTACTCAGGAGGCTGAGGCAGGAGAATCGCTTGAACCAGAGAGTTGGAGGTTGCAGTGAGCCGAGATCACGCCACTAAACTCCAGCCTGGCGACAGAGCGAGACTCTGTCTCAAAAACAAAACAAAACAAAAAAAACTCGCTAGTATTTGTCATTATCTTGAATTGTTACCCAATGGTTACTACGCCCATAGATCAATCAAGGCATATAGTCCCAACTTAAACCAGCCATTTAAGAGTTTGCTAGTATTGGTCCTTACCTTGAATGCTTGCCCTGTTGGGTTTTAGGTCATATTAGAAACGTACAGATTTCTTTGCAGTGAACTTCATGAAAGTAGTTGCTAATGTAATTTGTTGGAACTACTCAAAATTGCCAGATTGACTTGAGTTAGCCTTACAGAAAGATAAGCTGAGTGGTGATCTTTGGCTTTTTTCCTTTAGCATAATGCTTTTGAGAGTCATCTCTGTTGTTGCATGTAGCAATAGTTAATTCCTTTTATTTCTGGGTAATAATCCATTGTATGGATAAACCACAATTTGTTTATCCATTCATCAATAGAGAGACGTTTGTATTTTCCAGTTTGGGCTGTTATGAGTAGAGCTACTAGGAACATTTGAGTATCAGTCTTTTTTTTTTTGAGATGGAGTTTCGCTCTTGTCACCCAGGCTGGAGTGCAATGGCGCGATCTCGGCTCACCGCAGCCTCCGCCTCCCAAGTTCAAGCGATTCTCCTGCCTCAGTCTCCCAAGTAGCTGAGATTACAGGCATGCACCACCACGCCCAGCTAGTTGTGTATTTTTAGTAGAGACAGGGTTTCTCCATGTTGGTCAGGCTGGTCTCAAACTTACAACCTCAGGTGATCCACTCGCCTCCGCCTCCCAAAGTGCTGGGATTACAGGCATGAGCCACCGTGCCCGGCCGAGTATCAGTCTTTTAAGTGGATGCAATTTACTTCTCTTTGATAAACACCTGGGAGTGGAATTGCTGAGTCCTATAGGGTAAGTGCTTATACTGTTCTGCAGCCACGTATGAGAGGTCCAGTTGATCTTTATCTTTGCCAAGTGCTGGATATTGGCAGTCTTTACTTACAGCCATTCTAGTGGTTTGTAGTGTTATCCTTCATTATGGTTTTAATCTGCATTTTCTATTTATTTATTTATTTATTTATTTGAGACAGAGTCTCACTGTGTCACCCAGGCTGGAGTGCAGTGGCTCAATCTCGGCTCACTGCAGCCTCCACCTCCCAGGTTCAAGCAGTTCTCTTGTCTCAGCCTCCCATGTAGCTGGGACTACAGGCGCCAGCCACCATGCATAGTTAATTTTTTTTTTGTATTTTTAGTGGAAACGGGGTTTCACCATGTTGGTCAGTCTGGTCTTGAACTCCCGACCTCAGGTGATCCACCCGCCTCAGCCTACCAAAGTGCTGGGATTACAGGCGTGAGCCACCACGCCCGGCTTAATCTGCATTTTCTTAACGACTTGTTGAGCATCTTTTCATGTACCTATTTTCCATTTGTATCTCTTTGGAAAAGTGGCTGTTCAGATCTTCTGCTCATTTTTATTGAGTTGTCTTAATGAGTTGTGAGATATTTTTATATAATCTCAATACAAGCCCTTTATTAGACAGGCTTCACAAACATTTTCTCTCAGCGTGTGACTGGCATTTTCATTATACAGCACTGTCCTCTGAAGAGCAAAAGATTTATATTTTGATCAAATCCATTTTTTTTTTTTTTTTGAGACAGTCTCTCGCTCTTTTGTCCAGGCCGGAGTGCAGTGGCACTATCTCGGCTCACTGCAAGCTCCGCCTCCCGGGTTCACACCATTCTCCTGCCTCAGCCTCCCAAGTAGCTGGGACTACAGGCGCCCACCACCATGCCCGGCTAATTTTTTGTATTTTTAGTAGAGACAGGATTTCACCGTGTTAGCCAGGATGGTCTCGTTCTCCTGACCTCGTGTTCCGTCTGTCTCGGCCTCCCAAAGTGCTGGGATTACAGGCGTGAGCCACCGCGCCCGGCTCCAATTTGTGTTTCTAAATGATTTTGTGCCTTTGTGTTCCATGTAAGAAATCTTTGCTACTCAAGGTTATAAAGATTTTTTGCCCTGGCCGGGCCGTGGCTCACGCCTGTAATCCTAGCACTTTGGGAGGCTGAGACGGGTGGGTCACGAGGTCAGGAATTTGAGACCAGCCTGACCAACATGGAGTAACCCTGTCTTTACTAAAAATACAAAAATTAGCCGAGACGGTGGCGTGCACCTGTAATCCTAGCTACTCGGGAGGCTGAGGCAGGAGAATCACTTGAACCCAGGAGGTGGAGGTTGCAGTGAGCCGAGATTGCACCACTGTACTCCAGCCTGGGTGACAGAGTGAGACTCCATCTCAAAACAACAAACAAACAAAAAAGTTTTTTTTGCTTGTTTGTTTTTTTCTGTCTTAATAGTTTTAGCATATACATTTAGGTCTATGAGCCACCTTGAATGAAGCTTTTATCTGTTGTAAGGGTTAAGAGTCATCTTTTTTTGCATACTGATATCCAGTTGTTCAGAACTATTTATTGAAAAGACAATTTTATCTCATTGAATTACCTTGGGACCTTTGTCAAAAATCAGTTGGTTCTGTATGTATGGATCTATTATTGGATGCTGTGTCCCACTTTACATATATTCCTATTCCTTTGCCAGTACCATACTATCCTGATTCTTGAAGCTATTTATAGTAAGTCATGAAATTACATAGATGTCTACCAACTTTCTTCTTTTTCAAAAGTGGTTTGGATATATTAGATCCTTTGCATTGCTATGTAAACTTTAGAGCCAACTTGTCAGTTTCTACAGAAAAGCCTGTTGGGATTTTAACTGGCATTGTGTTGACTCTATAGATCAGTTTGGGGGAGAATTGAAACCTTAACAATATTGAGTCTTCAAGTCTATGAATATGGTATAACTCTTCATTTATTTAGATCATTTAAGTTTATTTTCAGCATTGTTTTGTAGTCAGTATATTAAAAACTTTAGTAGTCAGTATATTAAAAACTTTCCAGACAGGCACAGTGGCTCATACCTGTAATCCAGCACTTTGGGAGTTCTACGCAGGTGGATTGCTTGAGGCCAGGAGTTTAAGACCAGTTTGGGCAACATAGTGAGATCCTGGTTTTACAAAAAATAAATACATTTTCCCAAAGTATTTTATATTTTCTTGCTATTTTAAATATACTCTAAAAAGTTTCAATATTTGTTTATTGCTAGTACATAGAAATTCAGCTTTTTTTTTTTTTTTTTGGATATTGGCCATGTGTACTGTAAAAACTCATTTATTAGTTCTATGGGCCTTTTGGTAGGTTTCTTTTTTTTTTTTTGAGACAGAGTTTTGCTCTTTGCCCAGGCCGGAGTGCAGTGGCGCGATGTCGGCTCACCACAACCTCTGCCTCCTGGGTTCAAGCAATTATCCTGCCTCAGCCTCCCGAGTAGCTGGGATTACAGTCATGTGCCCCCATGCCTGGCTAATTTTGTATTTTTAGTATAGAGACGGGTTTCTCCATGTTGGTCAGGCTGGTCTCGAACTCCCGACCTCGGGTGATCCGCATGCCTTGGCCTCCCAAAGTGCTGGGATTACAGGCATGAGCCACCATACCTGGCCTTTTTTTTTTTTTTCTTTTTCTTTTTTTTTTGAGACAGAGTCTCGCTTTGTAGCCCAGGCTGGAGTGTAGTGGCACAATCTTGGCTCACTGCAACCTCTGTCTCCTGGGTCCCGGTTCAAGCAATTCTCTTGCCTCTCAGCTTCCCGAGTAGCTGGGATTACAGGTGCGTACCACCATGCCCAGCTAATTTTTGTATTTTTAGTAGAGACGGGGTTTCACCATGTTGACCAGGCTGGTGTTGAACTCCTGGCCTCGTGATCCATGTGCGTCGGCCTCCCAAAGTGCTGGGATTACAGGCCTGAGCCACCGCACCCGGCCTTCCTTAAAATTTTCTATGTAGATGATCATGTCGTCTACAAATAATGTGTTTCTTCCTTTGCAATCTGTGTATCTTCATTTTTTCTTGCCCAATTCCACTGACTAGTTTTTCCAATGTGAGATTGAATAGGAGTGGTGTGAGTAAGCATCCTCTTGCTCATGATCTTAGGGGAAAGCATTTGGTCTTTCTTCATGTAGTATAGATCAGATTGAGGAAATTTACTTATATTTTTAGTTTGCTAAGAATTATCATTATGAATAGATACTGAATTTTGTCATACTCTCTACATCTGTTAAGATGATAACAGAGTTTTCCTTTTTTAGTTAATGAAATAAATTTTGGTGATTTTCAAAATGTTGGAAAACCTTGCATTCCTGGGATAACTCACATTTGGTTGTGATGTATTATCCTTTTGCTAGGTTGCTGGATTGGATTTACTAATGTTTTGTTAAGGATTTTTGTGTCTATGTTCATGAAGGATATTAGTCTATAAATTTCTTGTCTCACATCTTTGTGTGGTTTTGATGTTAGGCTAATACTTCATTATAAAATGAGCTAGGATGTATTTTCTCTTTGATTTTCCGGAAAGGAAAAGTTTGTGTAAAATTGGCATTATTTCTACCTTAAGTGTTTGGCAGAATTCACCAGTAAAGCTGTCTTGGTCTGAAGTTGCCTTATTGGGAAGATTTTGAACTACAAGTTCAATTCATTTGATGGAGGTTATCTGTTTCTTTGTTAGTGAACTGTGCTAGTTTTTGTCTTTAAGGAAATTTGCCCATTTTATATTAAATGTTGTGACATAAAGTTGTTCAGAATATTTATTACCTTTTTAATTTCCATAGGATCTCTAGTGATTGCTTCCCTCCTCTTTTTATTCCTGATACCAGTTTTTTGAGTTTTGTCTTTTTTTCCCCTAAGACTGGCTAGATAATTTAACTGATCTTTTCAAAGAACCACATTTTGTTTTAATTGCTTTTCCATTTTCTTTTTTGTTAATTTTTCTCTTTATTAATTTCATTCCTCTACTTATTTTGTATTTATTTATTTTTTTTAAGAGCAGTCAAACAAAGCAGTGGGAGTCAAGAAGGAACAAAGAAATCTGTACTGGTTGTGAACAGTTAGTTATCAACAGCACTGCATTTGTACCAGCCTGTTTGTTATCAACAGCCTTGCATTTGTACCAGCTTGTTTTGGTTTCTTAAGGTGGAAGTTTACATCATTTTATTTGAGACCTTTCTTCTTTTCTAATTTGTTTAATTCTATACATTTCTTTTAAAATTTGCACCAATCACACAGGATCTATAAATCTCTGTCTAAGCATTCCTTTAGCTGCATCCCACAAATTCTGGTATGTTTTTCATTCTACTCAAAATATTTTATAATTGCCTTTATTATGATTTGTTCATTGACCCATGTTTTGTTCAGAAGTATGTTTTTATTTTATTTTATTTTATTTTTATTTTTGAGACGGAGCCTCACTCTGTCACCAGGCTGGAGTGCAGTGGTGCGATCTCGGCTCACTGCAACCTCTGCCTCCCGGGTTCAAGCAATTCTCCTGCCTCAGTCTCCCAAGTAGCTGGGACTACAGGCGTGCGCCACCACGCCCAGGTAATTTTTGTATTTTTTGTAGAGACAGGGTTTCACCATGTTGGCCAGGATGGTCTTGATCTCCTGACCTCGTGATCTGCCGTCCTCGGCCTCCGAAAGTGCTGGGATTACAGGCAAGAGCCACCATGCCCGGCCTATTTTATTTTTTTAGACAGAGTCTCAGTCTGTGCCCAGGCTGGAATGTAGTGGCGCGATCTCAGCTCACTGCAACCTCTGCCCGCTCTGGTTCAAGCGATTCTCCTGCCTCAGCCTTCTGAGTAGCTGGGATTACACATGCACGCCACCATGCCCGGCTAATGTTTGTATTTTAGTAGAGACAGTGTTGCCCAGGCTGGTCTCGAACTCCTGAGCTTGCGCAATCCGCCCGCCTCAGCCTCCCAAAGTGCTTGGGTTAAGGCTTGAGCCACCGCGCCCGGCCGAAACTTCTAAATGTAACTATGGATTGGTATATTTATTTCAATTTCTACTTTAGGTATTTTGAGCTCTGTTGTTATTTACCATTTAGCACTGTTATTTCTAATTGTTGAATTAATGCCACCACCATCATCATCAGCATCAGCATCTCCCTCTTTGTTGTTACTAATCCTTGTTGTGAAGCAAACTTTGTCTTATACTGAGAGCCACCTAGCCTTTTTTCATTAGTGTGTACATGGAATATGGCTTCCCAACCTTTCTTTTTAACCTGTCTTTATCATCTCTTGTAGCTTAGGAGCTCTTGCCTTTTTAAAGTCTAGTCTGACCTTCTCTGCTAATAATTGTAGTATTTACACTCTTTCCATTTAATGTAATTAGTGATCTGTTTGGGTTTAAACATACCATCTTGCATTTTTTCTCCTGTTTTTCCCATCTGTTATTTGTTACTCTTCTTTTAAATGAATTGAATTTTTTTTTTTTGAAACAGGGTCTCACTCTGTTGCCCAGGCTGGAGTGCAGTGGCGAGTGATCTCTGCTCACTGCAAGCTCCACCTTCCAGGTTCACGCCATTCTCCCACCTCAGCCTCCCAAGTAGCTGGGACCACAGGCACCCACCACCACACCCAGCTAATTTTGTTTTTGTATTTTTAGTAGAGACGGGGTTTCACCATGTTATTAGCCAGGATGGTCTTGATCTCCTGACCTCATGATCTGCCCGCCCTGGCCTCCCAAAGTGCTGGGGTTACAGGTGTGAGCCACCACGCCTGCCCAGTGAATTGAATATTTTAAGTGGCTGGGCGTGGTGGCTCTCGCCTGTAACCCCAGCACTTTGGGAGGCTGAGGCGGGCGGATTACCCAAGCTCAGGAGTTCGAGACCAGCTTGAGCAACACGAAGAAACCCCGTCTCTACTAAAATACAAACATTAGCCGGGTGTGGTGGCACATGCCTGTCATCCCAGCTACTCAGGAGGCTGAGGCTGGAGAATTGCTTGAACTCAGGAGGCGGAGGTTTCAGTGAGCTGAGATCGTGCCACTGCACTCGAGCCTGGGCGACAGAGCGAGACTCCATCTCCAAAAAAAAAAAAATTAAAAAAAAAAAAAAGAATATTTTTTGACCCATGTATTGGTCAGAAGTATGTTTTTATTATATATATATATATATATATATTTTTTTTTTTTTTTTTTTTTTGAGATGGAGTCTCACTCTGCTCCCAGGCTGGAGTGCAGTGGTGCCATCTCAGCTCACTGCAACCTCTGCCTCCCGAGTTCAAGCAATTCTCCTGCCTCAGCCTCCCAAGTAGCTGGGATTACAGGTGCCCACCACCGCACCTGGCTAATTTTTGTATTTTTAGTAGAGGCGGGGTTTCACCATCTTGGCCAGGCTGATCTCGATCTCCTGACCTCGTGATCCACCTGCCTCGCCTTCCCAAAGTGCTGGGATTACAGGCATGAGCCACCGCGTCTGGCCTATGAATATTTTAAACTCTTTCATTTTGTCTCCTGTTGACCTTACTACCTGTATTTCTTTTTCTTTGTTTTATAATTTTTTAGCTATAGCTTCCACTTTTCAGCCTCTACTCTCAAAGAATAGTATACCACTTCACATGTAGTGTAAGTACCTTACAGTAGTATACTTGGAGCGCCACCATTTCTGGTGCTAATGTAGTCGTGTGTTTTTCTTACATGTATTATACACCTCAGCATACATTGTCATTTTTTCCCTTTCTTTAAATAGCGAATTATCTTTTAAAAAGACCTTATAAATAAGTTCTTGACCCACATCTTTATCATGTGTGGTGCTCTCCATTCCTTTGTGTAGATCCACATTTTCATTTGGTATTATTTTCCCTGTCTCAAGAACTGCCTTTAACATTTCCTGTAGGCCAGGGTAGCTTCTGTTTGAAATCTTTTTTGCCTTTGTTTTAAAAAGATATTTCTGTTTGGAATTTGAGGTTGTTGGTCATTTCTTTCGTGGCCTCTCCAGTTTGTGATGAGAAACACGTTGTCGTCCTTATCTTTGCTCCTGCATATGTAAGGTGACTCGTTTTCCTCTCTGTGCTTCTGAGATTTGCACTTTGTCACTGGTTTTCAGCAGTTTGACTGTGATGGGCCTCAGCGTGCTTTGCTTTGTGTTTAGTGTGCTTTGGGTTAATTGAGCTTGCAGTGAGTGTGGGCTTACATAGTGTGAATTTATAGTTTCCTCAAATTTAGAAATATTTCAAGTATTTCTTCACGTAGTCCCCTTTTTTTCTGGGATGTTAGACATCTTGAGTTTGTCCTACAAATGCTTTGTCCATTTTTTCAGTCTTCTCTGTGCTTCATTTTGGATTTATTTATTTATTTATTTATTTAGAGACAGTCTTGCCCTGTCGCCCAGGCTGGAGTGCGATGGTGCGATCTCGGCTCACTACAACCTCTGCCTCCTGGGTTCAAGTGATTCTCCTGCCTCAGCATCCTGAGTAGCGGGGATTATAGGTGCCCGCCACCATGCCCGGCTTTTTTTTTTTTTTTTTTTTTGAGACGAAGTTTTGCTCTTGTTGCCCAGGCTGAAGTGCAATGGTGTGATCTCGTCTCACTGCAACCTCCTCCTCCTGGGTTCAAGTGATTCTCCTGCCCCAGCCTCCTGAGTAGCTGGGATTACAGGCGTGTGCCATCACACCTGGCTAATTTTGTATTTTTAGAAGGGACAAGGTTGCTCCATGTTGGTCAGGCTGGTCTCGAGCTCCTGACCTCAGGTGATCTGCCCACCCTCGGCCTCCCAAAGTGTTGCGATTACAGGTGTGAGCCACTGCGCCTGGCCAATTTTTGTATTTTTTTGTAGAGGTGGGGTTTCACCATGTTGGTCAGACTGGTCTCGAACTCCTGACCTCAGGTGATCCACCTGCCTTGGCCTCCCAAAATGCTGGGATTATAGGCGTGAGCCATCGCGTCTGGGCTGGATTATTTTTATTGCCTGTGTTCAGGTTTATTGGTATTCTGATCTGCTTAATCTGCCAAGTGTGTTTAGTGTATTTTTTTCTTTTATGTCTTATTTCTCAGCTCTGGAAGTTTCATTTGGTTTATTTATTTATTGACATCTTCAGTTTCTCTTCCCATCGTGTTTATTTTTCCTCTGTTTCTTGAACATATGGAGTTTCTTTATAATTGCCAATTTCAGATTCTTGACAGTTGTATCATCTCTATTTTTGGGGAGATCTGTTTCTTTTTTTCTTTTTTATTTTTTTGAGACGGAGTCCTCAGTGTGTCACCCAGGCTGGACTGCAGTGGTGTAATCTCGGCTCACTGCAACCTCCGCCTCCTGGGTTCAAACGATTCTCCTGCTTCAGCCTCCTGAGTAGCTGGGATTACAGGCACGTGCCACCATGCTAATTTTTGTATTTTTGTATTTTTAGTAGAGCTAAAAATACTAATTTTTGTATTTTTAGTAGAGGTGGGGTAATTTTTGTATTTTTAGTAGAGATGGGGTTTCCTCATGTTGGCCAGGCTGCTCTCGAATTCCTGACCTCAGGTGGTCCCGCCCGCCTCTGCCTCCCAAAGTGCTGGGATAATAGGCGTGAGCCACCGTGGCTGGACTGGGGAATTTCTTTCTTTCTTTCTTTTATTGTTTTGAGACAATGTCTCTCTCTGTCACCCAGGCTGGAGTGCAGTGGCACGATCTAGTCTCACTGCAACCTCCCCTCCCCTTCCTCGGTTCAAACAATTCTCCTGCCTCAACCTCTCGAGTGGCTGGGATTGCAGGCTTGTGCCTCCATGCCTGGCTACATTTTGTATTTTTAGTAGAGTTGGGATTTTGCCATCTTGGTGAGGCTGGTCTCGAACACCTGACCTCAAGTGATCCACTCGCCTCATCCTCTGAAAGTGCTGGGATTACAAGCGTGAGCCACTGCACCTGGCCTGGGGGATCTGTTTCTATTGATTGGCTTTTCCTCCTTCTTAGGAGTCATTGTCCTGCTTTTGGTTTCGTTACTGGATGCTGGACATTGTGAATTTTACATTGTTAATTGCTGGATTTTGTTATTTTTCTTTTAAATTGTGTTAGACTTGGGTGAAACATGACTGAGGTTAAATCTGTATATGATGAGTGCTATAATGGGACACATTTAAGGATTTAATATGTAGTCATCATGTACCCTATTTTAAGACTTACTTTCATGTCTTGTCTCCAGGAAATGTTGCTTTCCCAAGTTCTTGATTGCTTTTCTGAGTGTACTGCGTTCCAGCCATGATGATAGGCACTGATGTACCATAGTGAGCAAGTAGATAGGTTCTGGCTCTCATGAACCATGAATTCCAGTGTTGAAGACACATAAAAAAACAAGAACACAGTAGAACACCAGGATTTCAGATAGCAGTTTAATAGAGGAGATTAACTGGGGTGTTTAGGTTGATGGGTAAGCTAGAGCTCAGGAGATGGGCACCGCGCTCATAATCAGAACAAACACATTTTTAACATAAAGAATAATTAGCAAGTGGCAGGGTGTGTGGCTCATGCCTGTAATCCAGCACTCTGGGAGGCTGAGGCAGGCGGGATCGCCTGAGGTCAGGAGTTGGGAGACCAGCCTTGTCAACGTGGTGTAACCCCGTCTCTACTAAAAATACAAAAATTAGCCAGGGGTGGTGGTGGGCTCCCGTAATCCCAGCTACTCAGGAGAATCGTTTGAACCCAGGAGGCGGAGTTTGCAGTGAGCCGATATCACAGCATTGCACTCCAGCCTGGGCAAGAAGACTGCAACTCCGTCTCAAAAAAAAAAAAAAAAAAAAAAGTAATTAACAAGTAGCGACAGGTCAGCCACCCAGATCCGTGAAGTGAATGCTAAAGAATATGGCCGGGGCAGATTTAGGGAGCAGCCACTAACGGGAGCTTAGGGAGGGGACTCAAGAAAGGAACAAACTTGGAAGAGGCCCTGACATGGAGGGGGTGTCATTATGCCCCACTGGGTAGCAGAGAGGCTCCCTGAGGTCCTGCAGGCTGGGACTGAGTGCTGGAGAGTGCGTGCCTCTCAGTCCCCCACACACCACTGATGAGGAGCTGCCTCAGGGTAAGAGCAAGATGAGAAAAGCACAGGAACCTGGAGGGAGACCCCTTCTTCTTCACCGTCCCTGTAGTACCCTCCACCCATAGGACCACACATTGTACCTACCTGCTGGCAGAGGAGAAATGTTTACAGGGTGCAGCTCCTTCATTGTAAGTGTGGCGAAGAAGGGTGGATTTGGAGTTGAGAGGCAAAAAAATTAATTGACTCAACCAGCCTCCCTCAGTAGGTGATCTTTTTGCTGAGGCCTGATGGGACAGTATTCTACAGTCTACCAGAAGCCAATCAGAGGCTCACTGACTAAGGGTACGAGGCAAAGGGAGCAAGGGCAGTGACTTAAAAGCAGAACTTTGACCTGAGCAACCTTGAAAGCTGTGGTAAGAAATACGGTGTTTGCTCCTAAGTGAAGTGGAGGAGAACAGAGGTTTTATGTAGGGAGCTCTGTGATCTCACTCTGCTGCTGCTTGGAGAATGGATGATTAGTACATACGGAAATAGGTGTGCCACTAGAGAGAGCCAGTGCAGCTGTGCAGGCAAGAGGTAGGTGATGATGGCTTAGACTGGGTTGGAAGCAGCGGAGGAAGAATGGGTGGATTGTGGAGGTGCTTAGGATTGAGGTGGAGTGGACAACTTTGCTGTTAGATGGGCGTGGGATGGAGGAGAGCGTGAACCTCGCTTGTTGAAGGGAACGGACTCGCTTAGGGAACAGCCTCTTCTACCACTGCCCTCTCCTTGCCCTACCATGCCTCTTCAGTCAGAACTCCATGGCCTTCCAGCCACTTTTGGTATTGGAATAACCACATTTTCAGGTACTCAGGTCCAGTCTACATAAAAACCTAAATGTGGCTTAGTGTGGTGGCTCACGCCTGTAATCCCAGCACTTTGGGAAATGAAGGTGGGCGGATCACTTGAGCTCAGGAGTTTGAGACCAGCCTGAGCAACATGGCGAAGCCCTGTGTCTACCAAAAATACGAAAAATTAAGCCAGGTGTGGTGGCGCATGCCTTTGGTCCCAGCTACTCAGGAGGCTGAGGTGAGACGATTGCTTGAGCCTGGGAGGCGGAGGTTGCAGTGAGCTGAGATTGCACCACTGCACTCCAGCCTGGGTGATAGAGCGAGACCCTGTCTCCAAAAAAAAAAAAAAAAAAAAAAAAAACCTAAATGTCTCATCTAATTAATTCAAAGCCTCTTCCCCTCATGTTAAGTGATGGCAGGAGTCCCCAAGGGCAGAGGGCGGTGGTGTATGTCCTGCTTCCTTATGCCTGTCCTGTTCCTCCAGGATGGAGAAGGGGCACTGGAGCGGAGACTTGGGGGTCTTTGTTCTCTGCTGGGTTGTCTAGGTTCTTTTTGGCCCACTAGCGCTAGGCCTGTGGTCCTAATGGGTGGCCCAGTGGTTGCTGGCTCTTTCTTGTTGGTGGCGGGGGTGCTGCTTTAGCATGCTCAGGCTGCTGCAACAAAATGCCATGGGCTAAGCTGCTTGTAAACAGCGGACATTTATATCTTATAGTCTGGAGGGCTGGAAGGTCTAAGATCAAGGTGCTGGCAGATTGGTGCCTGGGAAGGGCCAAGCTTTGGTTCATAGCTGGTGCCCTCTCTCTGTCCTCGTGCGGTGGAAGGATGTGGCAGCTCTCTGGGGCCTTCTTTATAAAAGGACACTAATTCCATTCACGAAGACTCCGACCTCATGACCTAATCACCACCTAAAGGCCCTACTTCCTGATACATTACCTTAGGGGTTAAAATTTCAACTTATGAACGGGGGCGGGCGGGGGCACAAACATTCAGAACAGAGCAAAACATTCAGACCTTTGGGCACTTCTGAGACCTTGGTAGGGACTTCGTGCTGGACTGTCTAGTGGAAACTGTGTGACACAACCAGCCTGCCCCCAACCCCCTACCACTGCTGTCCCGCACTCTGCCCCCCTTCCCTCATGGTGTAATTCTGGGGTCTGCTTCCCCAGCAGGACCTATTTGGGGTGGGATTCTTTCAGGATGACACAAGCTCTTACCCTCCTGTGTGCTGGCGGCAGCTGAGCTGGGTCCCCTGCTGTCTTTTTTTTTTGAGACGGAGTCTTGCTTTGTCACCAGGCTGGAGTGCGGTGGCGCGATCTCGGCTCACTGCAAGCTCTGCCTTCGGGTTCAAGCAATTCTCCTGCCTCAGCCTCCCGAGTAGCTGGGACTACAGGCGAGCGCCACCACACCCAGCTAATTTTTGTGCTTTTTTAGTAGAGACAGGGTTTCACCATGTTGGCCAGAAGGGTCTCGATCTCTTGACCTCGTGATCTGCCCGCCTTGGCCTCCCAAAGTGCTGGGATTACAGGCGTGAGCCACCGCGCCTGGCCGGTCCCCTGCTGTCTTAATCCTCTGCCCACTTAGCAACGCTCAGGCTTTTCTGCTGCAGGGTCTTACCTGCAAGGCCTGCACCAGTGTCTGTGTGACCCAACTCCACAGCACCTGCCACAGGCCCTTGGGAGTTTCCTTGTGCTTGGCTCAGCAGCAGACTGGGGTAGTGCAAGCATCTGAACAGACCTTGCCAAGTCCAGCCCAGGGTGAGCCCCAGGCTCCTTGCCACAGGCCACCACCCGTCTCTCTGGGGGCTTGTCTCAGTGGCTTCATGCTTGACTGGGGGAGGGGTTGGTGAGGAGAGCACACTTTTCCTTGTGGGGACCAGAGTGGGAATAGTGCAATACTCAAGACTTAGGTGAATTCCTTTCTGGAAGTCTCTCTTGTGACTGTATTTCTTTTCCTCATGCTGTGGGGGTCAGGGGGATGCAATGATTATGGAGCTGGCAGCCCCTGTCATGAGCCTGGGGAAGGCTCTCTAGCACCCTGCATCACCCTGTGGGCACCCTCAGCTCTGAGACCTGAGCCCTGAGCCCCTGTTCCCAAGGAGCAGAGTCCTTCTCAGGGCCTCTTCTAGAAGGAGCCTTGGTGCCGATGGAAGGGTAACTGAGCGGGAGGAGGAACCTAGGGTTGTGTTGTGTTCTCTAGTTGTTGTTGGTGAAATCCTTTTGGCGTGGGACATAGGAAGGTCTTTGCCCAATGTTCTCTCTCTCTTTTTTTTTTTGAGACAAAGTCTCGGTCTGTTTCTCAGGCTGGAGTGCGGTGGCGCGATCTCGGCTCACTGCAACCTCAGCCTCCCGAGTAGTTGAGATTACAGGCGTGCCCCACCATGCCTGGCTAATTTTTGTGTATTTAGAAGAGACGGATTTCACCGTGTGGGTCAGGCTGGTCTTGAACTCCTGACCTCAGGTGATCCGCCTGCCTCGGCCTCCCAAAGTGCTGGGATTATAGGCGTGAGCCACTGCCCCCGGCCAAGTGTTCTCTTTCTTAAGCCTCCTTGTTCCTCAGAGCAGGCAGTGCAGGCTATGGGATTCCCCAGGACGGAGAGGCCTCTGCCCCGGCTGCTTGATGCAAGGCTCAGAGAGGCCACTAGGTTTCTACCATGTGCTGTCTCAGGCAACCGTGGGCATATCACTTTCCAGAGGTGCCCACTGAGGTGGTCATTGTGTGTGCTGATTAGGACAGTGGGAGTAAAACTGTTCCTTTTTAAATTTAATATAAATTAATTTTTAAACTTTTTAAAAAAATTTATATAGAGATGAGGTCTTGCTGTGTTACCCAGGCTGGTCTCAAACGTCTGGGCTCAAGTGGTCCTCCCATCTCGGCTTCCCAAAATGGTGGGATTACAGGCGTGAACCGCCATGCCCAGCCGAATTGTTTCCTTTTTGTATGTATGTGTGTGTCTGTGTGACAATGTCTCTGTCACCCAGACAGGAGTGCAGTGGGGCATGATCACGGCTGACTATAGCCTCAACTTCCCAGGCTCAAGTGATCCTGTCACCTCAGCCTCCTGGGTAGCTGGGACTACAGGCGGGCACCAACACGCCCGGCCTATTTTTTGTATTTCTTGTAGCAGTGGTGTTTCACCATGTTGCCCAGCGATCCACCCACCTCAGACTCCCAAAGTGCTGAGATTACAAGTGTGAGCCACTGTATCTGGCCAAGATAGTTTCTTTTCAATGTTTAGGTTTTACAGTTTTTTAAAAGGCATTTTTCCTGAACAGTTAATAAAAAATTGATGCCGTGAACATTTTAACATAACTGGTCTATTCTGTTCTCTTTTTAAAACAGAGCCAAGATTTTCTTCTTCACTCCTCGCTTGGTGGCTCCCAGCCAGAGGCCGGCAGTGGTGGGAGGCTCGCTCTGGGTGCACAGACGCTGCCTTCAGACACCGCATGCTCGTGCGAGGCCTGCAGTGAGCGCAGGTATGTGACGTGTGTGCCACGTTGCTCACACCTGTCCACAATGACATGCAGACCTGCATATTGGAGCTGGACGGAGAAACTGGGCTAATGTGACAGACAGCAACAAGAGTAAGGCAGTTGCTTCGCTATTGAGAGAAAGAACCATATGAGTAAGACAAAAACTGTTGCTCTTGAGGAACTGGCACTAGGAAGCATCCTCAGAACAAGAGAAGGAGTCCTTAAATAATCAGAATCTAAGAGCAGCCTCAGTGAATGAGAGGAGCGATGGGGGAGAGCCTGACTGGCTGCTTCTCAGTGGCTGAGGGGAGAGCCCTGGAGCTCATCTTTTTTTTTTTTTTTTTTTTTTTTTGAGACAGGGTCTGGCTCTGTCCCCCAGGCCGGAGGGCAGTGGCGTGATCTCCGCTCACCACAACCTCCGCCTTCCAGGCTCAAGTGATCCTCCCACCTCAGTCCCGGTATCTGGGACTACAGGCGCGCACCACCATGTCGGGCTAATTTTTGTATATTTTATAGAGATGGGGCTTCGCCATGTTGCCCAGGCTGGTCTCAAACTCCTGGACTCAAACGATTAGCCCGTCTTCACCTCCCAGAGTGCTGGGATTACAGGCATGAGCCACCATGCCCAGCCCAGGAGCACATCTAAAAATGCTCTGTGCTCTGGCTCAGGAAGGAATGCATGTAGCCAAGTGGGGGCCAAAGGGTGGGGGCAAAGCTGCCCATTAAGTACCTTGGAGGTGAAGGCCAGGTCAGCAGTGGGGATGTGGGTACCCTAATTGTGGACATTAGCCACAGATGCTCCTGTCATCTGTGCAGTGGCTAAGATCTTACGCAGAGTGCACCCTAGGAGCTGTGCTGGGGATGCCATCACCCCCCTGCACTGACAGCAGCCTGATTGCCGGCTCCTGGGAGCTGGGCAAGGTGCAAGAGCCTGGGAGGTCCTCTGAGGACAGTGTGCTAGGTGAGGAAGGGCAGCAGATTGTGGTGACTTTCTAACCTTCCTGTGTTGTCTCACAGAGAAATTTCGGCAGAGGCGGACCGGGAACCTCAGCAGCTGCAGAACTACTGGTCAGAAGTGCGCTACACGGTGCGCTGCATCTACCGCCAGGCAGGAACCCCGCTGGCAGATGACCAGGACCAGTCTCTGGTGCCTGACAAGGAGGGAGTGAAGGAGCTCGTGGATAGGTACATACTGCCCTTTCCTGTTGTGGCCCCATGCAAACCCCTGCCCTCCCTGCTGCACTTGGAGCCACTCCTTTCAGGATGGGCTTTCCTTACAGTGCTCAGCTGGGTTTGCTTAGCCTTTGGTGCCTGTCAAGACTGCAGCAGATGAACTGGCAAAAGTGAGCCCCCTAGGTCAAACGTCTTGAATTTTTCTGATTTTGATGAAACGCTATTGCCTGTATAATTACACAAGAAATGTTTCTGTCACTTGTTTGTGTGAAGACTGATAATAATACCTTCCTTTTTGAGTCCCCCTGTGCCAGGGATGATGCAGAGTACTTTTACAAGCACTCTTGCCTTTATCAACCCAAGGAGAAAGGCCGAGTTAGCCCATTTATGAAGTGAAAAAATGGGGGCTCTGTGAGGTTGGGTAGCTTGTGTATGTGCCTGTGGTTCATGAGGCCAAGACAGCTGAGGCGTGCCTGGCCGTGTGGCTGTTTCTCATGATGCCGCAGCCGTTCTTCAGCAGATACCTTATGCTCAGTAACCACACAGAATTTGAGGTGGCCATAATTTTTATTCTTCCTTATAGTTTGATGTAACTTTTTTTTTTTTTTTTTTTGAGATGGAGTCTTGCTCTGTCAGCCAGGCTGTAGTCCAATGGCGTGATCTTGGCTCACTGCAACCCCTGCCTCCCGCATTCAAGCTGTTCTTATGTCTCAGCCTCCAGAGTAGCTGGGATTACAGGTGCCCACCACTGTGCCCGGCTAATTTTTGTATTTTTAATAGAGATGGGGTTTCACCATGTTGGTCAGGTTGGTCTCTAACATAATCCACCTGCCTTGACCTCCCAAAGTGCTGGGATTACAGGCGTGAGCCACTGCGTCCGGCAACATAACATATTTTTATGTTTTTTGAAATGTTTCAAATGAAAGCAACTTATTTGAGATGGCCATTTCATGGGTTGATTCTCATTTGGGTTTCTTTCTCACATTTTGAATGCAGCACATTTGGGAGGCTTTTTTTTTTTTTTTTTTTTCAGATGGAGTCTCACTCTGTCGCCCAGGCTGATGTGCAGTGGTGTAATCTCAGCTCACTGCAACCTCTGCTGCCTGAGTTCAAGTGATTCTCCTGCCTCAGCCTCCTGAGTAGCTGGGATTACAGGCGCCTGCCACTGTGCCCAGCTAATTTTTTTTTTTTTTTTGAGACGATGTCTCGCTCTGTCGCCCAGGCTGGAGTGCAGTGGCGCAATCTGGGCTCACTGCAAGCTCTGCCTCCTGGGTTCACGCCGTTCTCCTGCCTCAGCCTGCCGAGTAGCTGGGACTACAGGCACCCACTACCACGCCCAGCTAATTTTTTGTATTTTTAGTAGAGATGGGGTTTCACCATGTTAGCCAGGATGGTCTTGATCTCCTGACGTTGTGATCTGCCCGCCTCGGCCTCCCAAAGTGCTGAGATTACAGGTGTGAGCCACCACACCCGGCTGCGCCCAGCTAATTTTTGTATTTTTAGTAGAGACAGGGTTCATCATCTTGGCCAGGCTGGCCTTGAACTCCTGACCTTGTGATCCACCTGCCTCAGCCTCCCAAAGTGTTGGGATTACAGGCGTGAGCCACCGCGCCCCGCCGGGAGTTTTATAAACTGATGTTTGCTGTGCAGTAGATTCTTTCCTGGAGGCAGGGATAGTGATTAGCCATAGATTAGGTTAACTCATTGAATTCAGCCAAGTATTTTCAGGGTTTGACCTGTGAGCCACTGGTATTGCATGAGGTCCCTCTCTGTGGTATGTGCTTTTATTAGAAGTTAGGTTTCCAGCCAAGCGTGGTGGCTCACACCTGTAATCCCAGCACTTCGGGAGGATTGCTTGGGCCCAAGAGTTCAAGACTAGCCTGGGCAACATAGTGACTTGTCTCTACACAAAATAAAAAAAATTAGCCAGGTGTGATGAAGCACACTTGTGGTCCCGGTTGCTTGGGAGGCTGAGGCAGGAGGAGCTCTTAAGCCCAGGAGTTCGGTGCTGCACTGAGCTAGGATCGCTCCACTGCACACCAGCCTGGGCAACAGAGTAAAATCCAAAGAAAAACACAAAAAAACAACAAAGTTAGGTTTCCTAGTGAGTATTAGGAAAAAATGTATAACCTTCACGTCAAACCCATGACTTCACAGCTTATTAACATTGCAACTTCAGTACTTTAGAGTAGCAGCCAGTGTGTAGTTGATGTGCCCGCATCTGTTGAATGTGTGTGTGAGTTAGCGAATGAGCTTCCTAGCTTCTTCAGCATATTGCTGTCTCTCTCTTTTTTTTTTTTTTTTTGAGACGGAGTCTCGCTCTGTCACCCAGGGTGGAGTGCAGTGGCGCAGTCTTGGCTCACTGCAAGCTCCGCCTGGCGGGTTCATGCCATTCTCCTGCCTCAGCCTCGCGAGTAGCTGGGACTACAGGCGCCTGACACCATGCCCGGCTAATTTTTTGTATTTTTAGTAGAGACAGGGTTTCACCGTGTTAGCCAGGATGGTCTCAATCTCGCCTCCCAAAGTGCTGGGATTATAGGCGTGAGCCACTGCACCCTGCCCCGCTGCCTTCTTTTTATATAACTTAAAAAAAAATCTGTTTGCAAAAGTATCACATGGTTATTTCCTTAAATTTATAAAATACAGAAATAGACAAAAAAAAAAAAGAGATCTAAGTCCGACATGCTAAGAGAACAGTGACGTGGGTGTCCAGTCTGCTTCTAAGTTTGGTTGTCTCTGTCAAAATTTGACCTTCTGTGGCTTTATTTTAATAGATGAAATGCATTCTGTTTCAGAGGACAGTTTTTTATACTAGTAGTTGAAATGACAGTTGTCATGCTCAAAAAATTAATGTCTGTCTGAAATATACTAACCATAATAGGAATCCCATCCATCTACACTATTTTTTTAATCCACATTTTCCATAAGGCTTCACATGTTCCATTGCAAGATTTTACTTGGCACTTGTCTTTTATAGCCTAGGTAATATGGCAATTTAAAAATAGAACAGGTGACAACTTTCTTTTCTTTTGACATAATATGGTATGTAGGTGAAAGGATTTACTATGTAAAATCCAGGAGCTGTAGTTTAATACATTTTACAACTCATTTCTGTTAGAGTGATGAACTCAAACTGGTTTCTCCTGGTGATGGGTTATGGACGAATTTTTATTATTACATCAGTGGTTTTAGGTTTCCATCTAGAGGCTCCTGGATTAAAATACAATTAAATTTAACCATAGCAATGCCAGTACTGTAGAATACGTTTTAAAATGTGCATTATCGGCCGGGTGCGGTGGCTCACGCCTGTAAGTCCCAGTACTTTGAGAGGCCAAGGCGGGCGGATCACAAGGTCAGGAGATCGGGACCATCCTGGCTAACATGGTGAAACCCCGTCTCTACTAAAAATACAAAAAATTAGCCGGGCGTGGTGGCGGGCACCTGTAGTCCCAGCTATTCGGGAGGCTGAGGCAGGAGAACTGTGTGAACCCAGGAGGTGGAGCTTGCAGTGAGCCGAGATCACACCATTGCACTCCAGCCTGGGCGACAGAGTGAGACTCCATCTCAAAAAAAAAAAAAAAATGTGGATTATCATACACATTTGTGTCAAAAATAATGGATTATCCCAAAGTTTGGCCTGAAATTCATGAAAATGCTCATTGCATTTGTGGCTTAGTCATGTTGCATGTATTTTTTTTTTCCTACTCTTCAGCCTACAAATTTTATTTTACACACCTTTATTGCTTTTTTGGTGGGATAATTGTTAAAAAAAAAAGATAAACTGTGTCTAAAGTTTCCTCTTTTGATAAGCCTAATACAAACCCATTTGGATTGTACACTGAACTTCTAGAAAGAAGGAAAGAGCAGGCTGCCGCAGATCTGCAGCCAGGTGGCACCTCTCCTGGGATCAGTGCTTTTTACTTGTTAACATATAAGCCTTTAAAAGAGTTGTCCCCAGCCTCGTGTCTGAGCATGTTGTCTGGGGCCAGCTGCTGAGAAGTGGTAGCGTGCTCTTCCAGCTGTGTGAGTTTACGCAAGTCACCCAACCTGTGTGGGCCAAAATGTCCCCTCTGTAAAGCAGGCACTGAACCCACACACAGCGAACTGAATTAGTGCACGTGCACGGACAGTGCTGTACAGAGAAAGCTCAATAAATGTCACTTGCTGTTCCCTAGTGACACTCTGTGCCCCGGATTCCCCATCCATTAGGTGGGGTGATTGTGCTTCTCACAGGTGGTTATGAGGAAGGTGACTGTGTGGTCATCTAGAGGTGGCCACCTGTGGAAGGGCTTCAGAAAAGATGCTCACTGACATCAGAGCACCCATGGGCCCTGGTGGGCAGGCCCTGGTGACCCTCTTCTCTGTGCAGGCTCTGCGAGAGGGACCCCTACCAGCTGTACCAGCGTCTGGAACAGCAAGCTCGAGAGTATGTGCTGGAGATGAAGGTCCGCCTGCTCCGGCAGCTGTCGGCTGCGGCCAAGGTGAAGGCACCATCTGGCCTGCAGGGCCCGCCGCAAGCGCACCAGTTCATCTCCCTCCTGCTTGAGGAGTACGGCGCCCTCTGCCAGGCCGCACGCTCCATCAGCACCTTCCTTGGCACTCTGGTAAGAGAGAAAACGTGTTTTTCTTTCTGTTTGGATGAGCTGAAGAGAAGCATGTGGCAAGAGGAAGCTTCTCACGCATGTGTGCCGACCTCGCTGTCACACCCCCACACACTGTGATAGGCCCCTCTTCTCTACGGGAGAGGACCTGTTTCCTCTCCTCTTTGTCTTTCCTCTGGACTTTGCCACTGGATAAAAGCATTGGGTGGATTGATAAGCAGGTGACACCTCATGGTAGTACTGTTTGGAGGACCTTGAGGCCCAGGGAACGAGGCATGGGGGCAGTGTGAGGGGAGCACTGATGTGTGCCTTTATAAGGAGACAGAGAAATCTCCGGTGTCTTACTTAGGTTGTTCATTCTTTCGTTGCTGTAGACAGAGCTGGTATTAGGTGAAATGCCCATGAAGAGCATGAAGGCTGTAGAGAACAGCTTGTTTACCGCCCAGTGGCGTTCATTCATTCATGCAGGCATGCATGCACTCAGCAAGCCAGCACTGAGTTAAGGATCTGCTTGCAGTCTCAAGACAGGCCCTATCACCATCCTTGCCAATGGGGATCTGACAGTCCTAACAAAAGAGACACACAGATGGGTCCGGTTGCCTCAAAAGAGGAATCACTACATTGGGTGGAAGGAGCATGGTATAGAAATATGGTTACAAGTAGGCTGCGGTCAATCCTCAACAGCCTCAGTGCCCCCACGCTTTGGAAGGAGACCAGAGACAAGCCCTCAAAGCTTCCTTGACTGTTACTAATAGTCTATGGAGTTTTTCATCACTTAAACTTTATTATTAAATAATACTTAACTGTATTTGGGTGCTAGTTTTGGGTGCTTTCTTTCTTTTAATAAAGAAAAGGAATTTATTTCTCATGGTTAGGAAGGCTGAGAAGTCTAAGTTTGAGGGGCCACATCTGGTGAGAGCTTTCTTGCAGGTGGGGACTTGGACTCTGAACAGAGTCCAAAGGTGGTACAGGGCATCACATGGCGAGAGGGCTGAGCATCAGTTTTGGGTGCTTTCTTAGTGGTAAACCTACATTTTGAAACAAATACAGTAAGCATTGGCCTTGGTCTTTATCTGATTCTCAAGTTGATGGACCCTCTTAGAAAAATTTACATACAGCCCGGGTGTGGTGGCTCATACCTGTAATCCTCGCACTTTGGGAAGCCAAAGTGGGAGGATCACTTGAGCCCAGGAGCTTGAGACTAGCCTAGGCAACATGGGGAGACCCCACCTATACCAAAAAAATTTAAAATTAAATTAACCAGGCGTGATGACGCATGCTACTCAAGAGGCTGTGAGGCAAGAGGATCATTTGAGCTCAGGGTTGAGGCTGTGGTGAGCCAGTGTACTCCAGCTTGGGAATAGAGTGAGATCCTATCTCAAAAAGAAAAGAAAAAATTACATACATGTAATTGTAAGTCATTTCAGGGGGTTCACAGACTTCCTCAAGCTTCACTGCGCCAAGCCATGGGGAGGTATCTATTCTGAGAAGAGGTAGCGAGGTGAATGGGTAGGGTGAGGGGTGGGGGTGGGGCAGGGGGGCAGTTATCCTGTTTCAAGGTCTGAGTCCACTGGGTAGTGCCACCAGGCTTCCTTCTGGTACCTCGTCCTTCCTCTGGCATCTCTCGCAGCACAGCCTCCCCGTCTCTACCTGAGAGTCTGCCTGCCCTTCAGAGGTTCAAATCCAGAGCCCCTCCTCTGTCTTCTACAAGAACACTGGCTCAGGTTAAGAAGGATGCTCTCCAGCCCACCTAAACCTGGTGCCCAGAGAGACTCTGGTAGTGAAGACAGCAGCTGTTGCTGCTCTCCAGAAAATGCTGGCGAGGTCTGCACCTCCTCAGATAGTTACTGTAGGATACTGTTTTATGAAGCTGACAAAAATTAATTTGAACCATATTTATTAGAGCAAATTCCTAGCAGTTGACATAGAAATAATTTCTTGTGGCTTGAGGCCGGGTGCGGTGGCTCACGCCTGTAATTCCAGCACTTTGGGAGGCCGAGGCAGGCAGATCACCTGAGGTCAGGAGTTCAAGACCAGCCTGGCCAATATGATGAAACCCCGTCTCTACTAAAAATAACAAAAATTAGCCGGGCATGGTGGCGGGCGCCTGTAGTCCCAGCTACTCGGGAGGCTGAGGCAGGAGAATCACTTGAACCCGGGAGGCAGAGGTTGCATTGAGCCAAGATTGTGCCAGTGCACTCCAGTCTGGGCAACAGAGCGAGACTCTGTCTCACACACAAAACAAAACAAAATAAAAAAGAAATAATTTCTTGTGGCTTGAAAAAAATGCATACACCCAGAAGCTGTTTGATTAGTGTCTTTTTTCACTTCCTTTACACATAGAAATACCCACATTGATTTCTAGGGGTCCAGCAGACTAGATACCCTTAACTATTCCTTCCTCCAAGGGAAACAACTGAATTTACTAGATAATAAAAAAATAAGCCAGGCGTGGTGGCTTACGGCTATAATCCCAGCACTTTGGGAGGCCGAGGTGGTTGGATCACCTGAGGTCAGGAGTTAGAGACCAGCCTGGCCAACGTGATGAAACCCCGTCTCTACTAAAAATGCAAAAAATTAGCCTGGCGTGGTGGCACGCGCCTATAATCCCAGCTACTTGGGAGGCTGAGGCAGGAGAATTGCTTGAACCTGGGAGGTGGAGGTTGCAGTGAGCCGAGATGGGGCCGCTGCACTCCAGCCTGGGCAACAAGAGCAAAACTCCGTCTCAAAAAAAAGATGAAATCTTTTAAAGTGTATGGCTGAGATGGCATGAAAGGGAGTAAGTCGTAGTGGTGAAAAACCAATTGAAAGCTGGAATCCTGAGAAATACATGGGCTTGAAAGTCAGCATTTGCTGTGGGTATTTCTTCTGATCCTGGGAGACAAGAGACAACCTAGCCCAGGATGGGGTCTGCACATAATGCTGGGACTGTAAGTGACGACACTAGTAAGGTTGAAGTGGAAACTCCGAGCACCGAAAGGGACAGCAGGGATCTGCAGCTCTCGTGGCCTTGGGGTGGAGATGCAGGGAGTACAGCTTCCCAGAGACTTGGTAGCTGTCAGCCAGCTGCCACATGAGCTGGAGTGTGAATAAATGTTGGTGTGGTATGAACAGCCCAAGCCTGGAAGTTACTTTACAGTGGTCCAGGATTGCTGGTAAAGTCAGGCAGCATGCAGATCACCTCTGGAAACCTTCAATCTGACCTCAGAGAATTCGAATAGATAAAATCCCCCCAAATGAGCAGCTCACAGTAAAAAAAGTCATAAAACACAAGGTTCATGACAGCACAGTTAAAAGCCAGCAGAAGCAGTAGACAGAATCACATAACAAAGATATTTAAATTTTCAAAAAAGAATATAGAGTAACTTTGTTAACTGTGCTTAAAGAAGCTTTGTAAAAGTTTGAAATTGGGAGTTAAGGATTAATACTCTAAAGAATGATAATTCAGATTTGAAAAAATATCAAAACTAGAAACAAAAACTTTTTTTAGAGATGATAGCTGAGAAATTCTCAGAATTACTGAAAAATACTAGTGTTCAGCAAGGAAACGTATCAGATTTCCCAAGTAAGATGTTGAAAAATCCTTCTCTGGTTATAGTATAATGACAGCTACAGAACATCAAAGAAAAAGTGATCTCAAACACAAAACACAGGACTTTGTTGAAAATGGTCTGTGAGATGTTATAATGTGTAATTCTGGATTCTGGGTAGAGACTACAATGAATCTATGTACTCCTTACCCAGATGCGCAGTTAATCAGCATTTTGCCACTCTGACTTCATTATGCCTTCTTTTTCTTCCACTTTCTCTTCCCTCTTTTTGATGCAGTATTTTAGTATGGGTCCCAGACAATGTGCTTTTTGTCTTAGAATATTCCAATAAGTGTCTCTAAAAATAGTCATCCATTATCTTCTGTAGCCACAGTTCCATTGTCACATCCATGAAGACTGACGGTAATAGTAATTTCTTACCGACTAATGCCAGCCAATCTCTTTTTATGGTTGGGTTATTCCAATCAGGACCCAAAAATCTTCACAAATTCATAGCCACATTATTACACTGCCATCCAGTGATCTATGCAGCACCAGCTTAAGATAAACTCGGTGTCTCAGGGCAGTAATTCTCAACAGTTTTGGACTTAGGCCCCTTTATACTTAAAAATTTAGGACCCCGAAGTGTGCTTTTTTATGCAGACTTACATCAGTACTTGCTGTATTGAAATTCAAACTGAGAAAATTTTTTAAATGCTTATTGTCATTTTAAAAATGTAAACTCTCATTAGATTACATAAATTGCATATTTTAACATATATTAGAGAATGTAACAAATAATACACTTTTACATTAGATAATGTAACATAAATTACATATGTAAAAATAACTATTTTCCAAAATAAAACATTGTTGCCCAGGCTGGAGTGCAGTGGTGAGATCTTGGCTCACTGAAACCTCTGCCTCCCCAGTTCAAGCGATTCTCCTGCCCCAGCCTCCCAAATAACTGGGATTACAGGTGCCTGCCACCACATCTGGCTAATTTTTTTGTATTTCTTTTAGTAGAGATGGGGTTTCACCATGTTGGCCAGGCTGGTCTCGAACTCCTGACCTCAGGTGATCTGCCCGCCTCGGCCTCCCAAAGTTTTGGGATTATGGGCGTGAGCCAGCGCACCCGGCCAACATATTTCTTAAGAAGAGTGGGTCACTCACACCTCTCCAGATCTCTCTGTAAAAGCAGTGGGAGTCTCATCTGCATTCAGTCTGTTGTCATAGGTTGTCTGGTTGAAGTTATTGAAGAAAATTCAACTTTTTACAGATAATGTAGTTGGAAAAAGGACGAATTTTTTTTTTTTTGAGACGGAGTCTTAGTTGGAAAAAGGAATAATTTGTCTTTTTGTGTTTTTTTTGAGACAGAGTCTCACTCTGTCTCAAAAAAAAATCTCGCTCTGTCTCGCTGTGTCCCTCATGATCTCGGCTCACTGCAACCTCTGCTTCCTGGGTTCAAGTGATTCTCCTGCCTCAGCCTCCCGAGTAGCTGGAACTACAGGTGGGTGCCACCACGCCAGGCTAATTTTTTGTATTTTTAGTAGAGTCGGGGTTTCACTGTGTTAGCCAGGATGGTCTCGATCTCCTGACCTCGTGATTCGCCTGCCTTAGCCTCCCAAAGTGCTGGAATTACAGCCGTGAGCCACCGTGCCCTGCCAGGAAGAATATTTTAATAGCCTCTTCAAATCCTGATAGATCTTCTCTGAGAGTACACCAACGCGGGAGAGTTTCTTAATGGTTAGTTGCGATGTAGAGTCTGAAACTGTATCACTGAACTTACCCTACTCTGTTCCGTTAAAATCCACAGGCTCCAGCTCACCCCATGAATGGATTCTCTACTTATACATGGTTTGCTAGTGTCATTCATAGGTCATTTTGCAAATATTGATTCACTGAGTATCTTCTGGATGTTGACAGTTTTATTAATATAAAAAATGATATTTGTTTATATCAGCACTGATCTCATCAGAAAGCTCTTTAAATGTGTAGGATCTTTCAAGCCAACAGCAGCAAATGCAAATTTTCTAAAGTTTTCTTTTTTGCTTGAAAGCTTAGATTTTATGATTAGCCACAGATTGTGTCACTTGTTTTCTTTGAAGCAACATGTTAATTTGCTGTGCAAACTCTGCCAGCTAGTTAGCTCTTCTGAACAGCACCCCCATTCTACTTGTTTTTGCTGAACTCACTGGATACTCTTGGACATAGAAAGGTATTCTCAGAAATGCAACTTTACTGGAGAATGCCCTCACGTGAGGTTTATTCCACACTGCCTGGGGGATCAAACAGGATAATGAGTCATATTTTTTGTATTTACTTTAAATATTAAAGTAAAATTGGGGGAGTGGGCATGGTGGCCCACACCTGTAATCCCAGCACTTTGGGAGGCCAAGGTGGGTGGATTACTTGAGCCCAGGAGTTCAAGACCAGCCTGGGCAACATGGTGAGATCCCGTCTCTACAGAAGATACAAAAATTAGCTGAGCGTGATAGTGTACACCTGTAGTCCCAGCCACTCCGGAGGCTGAGGCAAGAGGATTGCTTGAGCCTGGGAGGCGGAGGTTGCAGTGAGCCAAGATTACACCACTGCACTCCAGCCTGGGCGACAGAGTGAGACCCTGTCTCAGTCAATTGACCAATCACTCAATATTTTTTTAAAAGAAATCTAAAAAATAAAATAAAATTGTCACTAGGCTTAAGTTATGCTTCTAGTCATCTAGGAAACACCTCACCAGGCTATAATAGTGAAGTCTAAATTTTCATCGACAAAGACAGAAAGATCTCAAATGTCCCGTTATTTCAGTCTATTGTAGGAACTACATTCTAAACATCTTCTCTTCCTTCTTTCAAACCCCCAAACCTTTTTTGTAGTGGGAAGTGAGAACAGTTTGCAGAGCCTGCCCTTAGGTCACTGACAAGCCTTTCTGCCTCTAGCTCAGCAGTTCTTCCATAGGCCTCACCTCTCGTAGGAGCTGTGAGGACACATCCTGCAGAGCCCACCCCTGCATGCCCCGGTCCAGTTATTTGAGCCCCTCTATGCTGGTTCCACGCCTGTCGATGGGGCATGGGCAGGGCACTACCAGGTTCACAGGGAACTTACTGGAGGCATTGAATTCAGCGCTAAGGACAGTGCCTGGCCATGCTAGGCACTCAGGTGTTAACATGTGTTCCTTAAGTAAACTCCAAGTTGATTTCCGGTTGTGAAGTGAGTCTGATATCTGTTTGTCTTGCATGCCTCACCTAGAGGTGTAATTTTAGGTTTTATTAAAAATGCCAAATATCTTCATAAATTAGCCTTCACCCAGTGACCATTAGCAACTGGCCCAGAAAGCCAGACTTGTGATTCCACTCATAGACAGGCAGGTGGAAATGGCTATCCCAGAGGTTTCCAAGGGAGGCCAGGCAAAGCCTCAGCTCTTCCAGGAGGCCCCTCCCTCAGCTAGTTGCCAACCTGGTCTGATCCAGGTGCTGCATTCACTCTCATGTACTCTTTGTCTTGTAGCTGAATCGTAAGTCAGGTCACTGCCTACTCTTCTGTTCCCCGGGAACTCCTGGAGAGCAGCGGACTATTGTAGCAGGAGGTAGTCTTCGTGTCCTCGTACCTGGCACAGGGCCTGGGCAGCATGGGCTTGGCATTTCACCTGCTTATTATTACAAGCACATTTGTGGGTTCCAGCCTGGGGCTGGGTATCAGTTACCTGGCCCTGGTCTCCTGCCACGTGCATTTTTCCTGTACCGAGTGTGCTTGCTCTGAGATAATGCTTGGTGTGAAACAGGAGTGATGATGTTTCAATCTGGGAGGCACTGGTGAAAACACGATGAGGAAAAGTACTGGAAATGTTAACAAAACGGAAGGTTTTAGATTTTCTGCAGATGGCATAGATTCATTGCTGAATCTCTCAATTCTTGTGTTTCCAGGTATGAAAACAGAGCTGTATCCAGCAAGGCTGGCACACAGTGGTCTAGCAGTATCACTGGTGTGCTCTCTCCAAATGTGTTTATAGGTGTTTACTTTCAATCATTATAATCATTATAATTTGTTCTCTCAGCCCCCATACCAACTAGGGTTATTAGGTGACATAACAGTGAAATCTTTGTGTCGTTCATTTGCTAAGGTCTCCATCAACTCAGCTTGGCTATATTGTAAACAGGAGCAGACCTCTAAACCCAGTCCCTGTGAGTGACCCGACTCAGGAGACGTGGAGTAGCCAAGCATGATGAAGTGCAGCTTCCAGAGCTGGCGGTTGTTGAAGTCAGGAACATTCACCCAAAGATGTAACGTGATCTGAACACAAGTAGTGTCCGTGTAGTTGACAGAGGGAAGCATGGATTCACACACGCATGGTTGTAGCAAGACTTATTAAATGTGAACATTACATTTAGGAAAGGTAATAATGGCATCAACCTCAGTGATCTTGTGTTGGGGGCTTGCTGTACATCTCTGCTGACATCACTCTCTATGATGACTGGGACACTTCTAGGTTTTCGTGGTATTATCTAAAGTAATTGACAAGTTTGCCTACATTTATTAGGAAGACAAAAAACCTTAACTCTGATAGGGTCTTGCAAGTGGAGAAATTGTGTGTATTAATTAGAATGGAAGGTTTCTCCAAATAGGTAAGAAAATTGTTATCCTTTAGCATCGAGGGACTTGATGTATCTAAACTGTTTGAACTGTAAGGGCTTTCATTACATTTTAAAAGTATAATTGTGAGAAATGACTCTCAAACGTGCAGTTACTGCTTTGTCTCTGTGCACACCTGTCACCCTGTCTTTGCAGCCCTTCTAAACTTGCCATTTTAGAGGGGAGATGTGCTGAAATCCATGTCCGTGTAGTCAGAGTTCTGATGCACTGTGTGCCTTGAGACATACAGGGAGCAGCACTTCTCATAAGCTGAACACTCTGGGCCTGTGAAGAGGGATGTGTGCGTGGTGGGGGGAAATGGGGAGGGGGGAGGGAATCCCTCTGGGAATTTTCTAGTCTTTAGCAATTCACTACATCTTCTGTTTATCTTTTACTTTTTCTTAACCAGGAAAATGAACACTTGAAAAAGTTCCAAGTGACGTGGGAACTGCATAATAAACACCTGTTTGAAAATCTGGTCTTTTCGGAGCCACTTCTTCAGAGCAACTTGCCCGCACTGGTGTCACAGATCAGGTATTTTGCCTTAACCCGTATGTGTCTTTGTGGTGTGACAGCACAGTCTTTTCTCCTGACTGGTGTGCGTGTACCCGAGTACCACTGAGTATGAAAGTTCTTGCAGGAAAAATAACAGGGCTTAAAGAAAAAGATAGTTTGGGCCAAAAGCTCAAAACCTGAGAAGCAATACAATTAAACTTTTAAATGATAAGTCAATATAAATGCTACTAAGATTTAACACCACAAATTCCTCATACAGAAAAGCTACAGTAAATATAGCACTTTTCCTTGACAAGACCTATCCTTGGCCGGGCAGCTGTGGTGTGGTTCATGCTATGGCTCTTGGACATGTAGGGGAAATGGAGGAGGGAAGAGGCCCAGGTCTGAGGGTGCCCAAGGCCCTCCGGATACAGCTTGGTGTTTCCCACACATTCCGTTGCTACCCGAGGCTCTGTTGCTCTGTCTCCTGGTGTAGCGCATCCATGTGGCTTCTTCACGCTTGGGAAGCTGGCTGGGTTCTATGCTTTCACTGAGAAAAAGGGGTGCAGAGTGCAGCAGTCACTCACTGAGTATTTGCTCGGGGTCAGAGTGAGAAGATTTAGGCTGGGCATGTGTTTGCCCTGTGGTACCATGTTCAGTTAGAAGGCATGTTCCTCCTGATGTGACGTTACTCAGCAGAACGCTGTTCCCTGCACTGAGTCATGCATGAGCTACCACAGGTCTGCAGTTTGGTGATTTTGTTCTTTGGTGTTTTATTCTATTTACCACATGTGAGCACATTCCCATAATACAGACCCATCGTGACAGCAGCCATCTACATTTGACCACGTTAACCTATACTTAGGGGTGTGGTGGCTCACGCCTGTAATTCCAACACTTTGGGAGGCCTTAAGCAGGCGGATCACCTGAGGTCAGGAGTTTGAGACCAGCCTTGCCAACATGGTAAAACCCCGTCTCTACTAAAAATATAAAAATTAGCCGGGCTTGGTGGCACATACCTGTGATCCTGGCTACTTGGGAGTCTGAGGCAAGAGAATTGCTTGAACCCCAGAGGCAGAGGTTGCAGTGAGCCAAGAGTGCACCACTGCACTCTAGCCTGGGTGATAGAGCGAGATGCTGTCTCGGGGGAAAAAAAGTCGTTAGCTTCACAAAGCAAGGGAATAAATTGTTGTTCTGTTGACTACACCAGTTATTGCTATTTTATTTATTTTATTTTTGAGACAGTGTCTTGCTCTGTCACCCAGGCTGGAGTGCAGTGGCACAATCTCAGCTCACTGCAACCTCCACCTCCCAGGTTCAAGCGATTCTCCTGCCTCAGCCTTCTGAGTAGCTGGGATTGGGATTACAGGCTTGCACCACCACGCCTGGCTAATTTTTGTATTTTTAGTAGAGACGGGGTTTCACCATGTTGGCCAGGGTGGTCTTGAACTCCTGACGTCAAGTGATCCACCTGCCTCAGCCTCCCAAAGTGCTAGGATTACAGGCATGACCCACCATGCCCAATCTGCTTTTTTTCTCTTAAAATCCGTATATTAGGACTGGTACGGTGGCTCACACCTGTAATCCCAGCACTTTGGGAGGCCGAGGCGGGCAGATCACGAGGTCAGATCAAGACCATCCTGGCTAACACGGTGAAACCTCGTCTCTACTAAAAATACAAAAAATTAGCCGGGCGTAGTGGCGCATGCCTGTAGTCCCAGCTACTTGGGAGGCTGAGGCAGAAGAATGGCGTGAACCCAGGAGGCGGAGTTTGCAGTGAGCTGAAATCGTGCCACTGCACTCCATCCTGGACCACAGAGCGAGACTCCATCTGAAAACAAAATACAAAAACAAACAAACAAAAAGAATACGTGTATTGACCCAGTCTTTGTTTCCTGTATTCCCAAATTTTATTTGAGGGGTCCTGACCATCTCCACTTCATAACCTTACCTCTAGAGAAAGCAATTAGGTAAAAGAGAATTGAGGACAAAAAGATCAGAAGCTACACGTGCTGGCTCATGCCTCTAGCCCCGGCTACTTGGGAGGCTGAGGCAGGAGGATTGCTTAAGCCTAGGAGCTGGAGACCAGACTGGGTAACAGCGAGACCCCATCTCTTAAAAAAGAAAAAAAAAGGGCCAGGTGCGGTGGCTCATGCCTGTAATGCCAGCACTTTGGGAGGTCGAGGCGGGCCAGGTGCAGTGGCTCATGCCTGTAATGCCAGCACTTTGGGAGGTCGAGGCGGGCAGATCATGAGGTCAGGAGATCGAAACCATCCTGGCTAACATGGTGAAACCCCGTCTCTACTAAAAATACAAAAAAAAAAAAAAAAAAAATTAGCTGGGCATGGTGGCGGGCACCTGAAGTCCCAGCTACCCGGGAGGCTGAGGCAGGAGAATGGCGTGAACCTGGGAGCGGAGGTTGCAGTGAGCCGAGATCACGCCACTACACTCCAGCCTGGGGGACAGAGCGAGACTCCATCTCAAAAAAACACACAAAAAAATCAGAACAAGGTGTTACGGGGCGTGTGGCCAGCTGGCAGGTGGGCTGCAGACCCTTCCAGTGTTCCCTGTGCCCTGGCCTGCTCCTTAGCCATTCCTTCCCTTCTGTGGCCACTGTGTATCAAGATTGGAAAGTCCTTACTCTGACCCTTGCAGAAGAAAAGGCATCGGAAGAGAATTCACAGTGGTGAATCTGGAATGTGGAGTAGGCTTTGTCCCTGGTTATGACGTTCAGATTCATCAAAAGCACTTTTCATGAGAAGATATGCATCTTGGGAGAGGGGCTCTGAAAACAAGATTCCAGGGAATCTACCTTAAAAAAAAATATTTTACTGGTAAGCCAGTGAGTTCCGTCAGCCTGTCAGACTGTGGGTGGGTGACTGAAACCGGAAGTGCATCATAAAACTCCCATCTTTTTTTTTTTTTTTTTGGAGACAGAGTCTTGTTCTGTCGCCCAGGCTGGAGTGCAGTGGTGAGATCTTGGCTCACTGCAAGCTCTGCCTCTCAGGTTCATGCCATTCTCCTGCCTCAGCCTCCCGAGTAGCTGGGACTACAGGCGCCCGCCACCACACCCGGCTAATTTTTTTTTGTATTTTTAGTAGAGACGGGGTTTCACCGTGAAAACTCCCATCTTTTTCTGTGCCCTAGTTCTGGATTTTCCGTTTGCTCATTGGGTATGATGGTCAGACTCCAACCATGAGCCACGTCTCTAGTGTGGATGCTGGATCTCAAGCTGCAGTCTCACTTCTCACTTTTGGGACCCACAGGCAGTTGAGGGAGAAGGATAAACACAGACAGGGACAGAATGAGGCCAACCAGCACGTTCCCTGAGCAGCACTGACGACGCCAGGACACGCCATGCCTTTGTGCTCTGCAGCTGACTCCCTTGTCAGCCTGAGACTAATTCAAGATAATTCAGATTTGCATTGCTAATGTACAGATACGCATTTAACAATTCATAAAAATTTTGCTACTGATTACATACAAACACCCCTTAAAGCTTCTGCATCCTATGAAATACATATGGTACAATTCACCCACTTAAAATGTACAATTCAATGACTTTTGATATATTTCATTTTTTAAAAATTATGGTAAAGTATATATAACATAAAGCTTACCATTTTAACTAGTGTATATTTCAATAACATTAATTATATTCATAGTGTTTATAACCATTACCACCATGTACTTTAAAATTTTTTCCTCACCCGAAACAGTAACTCTACCATTAAACAGTAACTCTCCATTGTCCCCTTCTTTTTTCCCCATAGCCTTTGAAAGTCTGTAATGGGCAGTTTCCTTCCCTTGACTCCCCACCATTTTTTGTCTTAAAATGTATCTATGAAAGAACTAGGCCATCTGTCCTGGGGGTGCTTTGGTCTGGATCCTGCGTGGGCGTGTTCACAGAGCAGTTTGGCCACCTCCATCCTCTGTCCTGCCTGAGAATTGGTGGTAGGATCTGAAGGTTCTGGACGGCTCTGCTCAGATCCCCTGGCAGGCCAAGGCGTAGGCGGGGGGTGTTTCTATCAGGGGGTGCATCCCTCAGGCCTGCTTCTCTTTGTTGTGGGTATCAGTAGCCCAATGTGGGCTTCACTTTAAATATGTATTAATTAGGCTAATAAAACTTACCCAAACCAATGTTATTTCATTCTCTTTATCAATAATAATGTTTCACATACACATTGGTAACATTACAGTAAGCATATTTTCATGCTGCTGTCTTGTATTTGCAAGCTCAATATTTAGATGGAAACCTGTTTGCTGAGCCATTGATTTAATTCAACCCTGTGGATAGTCCCTGTGACTCTTTTGATCCTAGCACAGCTTTGCTTGCAGGGAAGCCCTGTGCCTGCAGATTGCTTTTCAATTATACCAACAAAGATATCCACAAACCCCCTCCCCCACCCACTTTGCTCTCCCTTGGCTCAAAATAATCTGAATTCTATAACTTGGAAGAGATAAATTCTTACTTCCAGGAGGAGCGGGACAAGGAACACATGACAGGGTATAATGCCGCATCCCAACGTTCCAGGTGGAGCAAGTAGGGGCAGGATGGAATTGGGTAGAAGCTGGATTCTGTGTGAAGAATGGAAACCAGTCACGGAAGAGCAAGGCTGGCAGAGAAGAAGTGGGAGAAAAACTACTTCACGGGCTGCAGTGTGGCAGATCCCTGGCGCCACTGGAGTCCATGTCTTAAGGAGTTTTGTCTCCTGAGGGGCAGAAACAGCCTTAGGAGAACAGCTTTGATGTTTTGAAGTAGCCTCAATCCATGTGCGTCAGTATTGTTTCTTTCCTTTGGGCTTCCCTAAATGACTGCCCAGTTACACCTAACCTCTGCTGCCTTCCCTGGAGAGACTGCAATAGGTGAGTGCACAGATGGCTTCAGTAGCTGCAAGGTTCCCAGGTGCGATTTACCTGAGGGTGGAGATAGGTCAGAGGAGAAGAGGGAGTCATTCCTGCCCATTTCACCCATGAAAAGATCCTAATTTCCACATAGCTTGTTTATTATAAAATCATTAGATTGTCATTACAAATAAAATTATGAAAATATAGAAAATCGTAAACAAAGTTAGGTTTTATAAATAATTTAGTATTTCTTATACATTTTTTCCCTATGTCCACTATACGTATTTTTAAACATGCTGTAGTCATATCTTTAGTTACCATGAGCATATTTCCATTTCAAAATATATATGTGTATATATACATGAATGTGTGTGTGTGTGTGTGTGTGTGTGTGAATGGGTAGACATAATTATAAAATTGGTAACAAGTATCTGGTTACCAAGTACTGATTCTCCTAGATGTGCCATGATGCATTTGGTAGCTTCTAGTGTTTTTATGTAAATAGTGCTGATCCTTAACCTTGCGCAGAATCTTTGTGCTCTTGATATATTATAAACATGGTATTTGATTCTAAGCCATCCTTGTCAAGATGTCTTTATTCCACTTATTTTGGCTCACACTGATAGACTTAGGTATTAGGAACATGAATTTTTTCTGGTAATAATCTACATGTGTCTCCACACCACTCCCCGTCCTCCTCCTGACCCCAGCCCCCAGCCTTCTGTCTCCCAATCGCCATCTTGCTCAGTCTTTTCAGAAATCGAGGTGTTTTTTCTCACTGTCCACCTGCATGTGTGTCTTTTGTTTCCCATTTATTTTCTCATTTTCCATCTTGCCATCTTTCTTTTTTTTTCTTTCTTTTTTTCTTTTTTTATTGAGGCATAGTTTCACCCTGTCTCCCAGGCTGGAGTGCAGTGGCGCGATCTCGGCTCACCCCAACCTCTGCCTCCCAGGTTCAAGCGATTCTTCTGTCTCAGCCTCCTGAGTAGCTGGGATTACAGGCATGTGCCACCACACCCAGCTAATTTTTGTATTTTTTGTAGAGACAGGGTTTCTCCATGTTGGCCAGGCTGGTCTTGAACTCCCGACCTCAGGTGATCCCCTCGCCTAGGCCTCCCAAAGTGCTGGGATTACAGGCGTGAGCCACTGCACCTGACCGCCGTCTTTCTTAATACAATATAATATAGTAGACAGAAAACTGTAACTATATTTCTTCAAGTAAATCAGATTTTGTTTTGCTTTATTTGAAAACCAGATCTAAATTTTATGTCTCATTAAGTGTTTTGTTTTCTCTGAGCCAGTTGTATTTTCAAGAGTAAAATAACTTTGTATTCCCATATTTATTTTTTTATCATTTTTATTTTTATCTATTTTAATTTTTTCTTTGCAATTCCATATTTGGTAAACTGAATTGTTAAGTCATAGTCTTTAGAGACATGTTGTTCAGTGCTCATTTTTTTCTTAGAAGCTGTTGTTTCTTTGAGCATCTCCTTTTTTTTTTTTTTTTTTTTTTTTTTTTGAGACAGATTCTCGCTCTGTTGCCCAGGCTGGAGTGCAATGGTGTGATTTCGGCTCACTGCAACCTCCGCCTCCCGGGTTCAAGCGATTCTCCTGTCTCAGCCTCCTGAGTAGCTGGGGCTATGAGTGCCTGCCACCACACCCGGCTAATTTTTTTGTATTTTTAGTAGAGATGGGGTTTCACCATATTGGTCATGCTGGTCTCGATCTCCCGACCTCAGGTGATCCACCCACCTCAGTCTCCCAAAGTGCTAGGATTACAGGTGTGAGCCACTGTGCCCAGCTGAGCATCTCCTTTTTACAAGTCTGTCCTGGGTGCCTTGCATGGGGATCTGTTGATCCCTCACAGCTCCCTGCTGTGGTGCAGAGTGGCACCCTGTTTTCCACGTTGGGAGGCGAGATGACAAAGCAGGATAGTATCAGCAGGAAGCACATTTCTGATCTCTGCTTCAGAGCCTTTGGGTTCTTTCCTTTGTTACAAGGCCTTCTCTCTCCTAGGCTAGGAACCACCACACACGACACCTGCAGTGAGGACACATACAGTACCTTGCTGCAGAGGTACCAGCGTTCCGAGGAGGAGCTGCGCAGAGTCGCCGAGGAGTGGCTGGAGTGCCAGAAGAGGATCGACGCCTATGTCGACGAGCAGGTGAGTGCCACCCGGGACCACCGCACCCCGCGCACATCCTCAGACGGCCCTGTTGAAGGCAGCACCAAGTCACTAGCTTTGTCCTGAGCTGCAAGCCAGGAATTCCCGACTGAGGCCCAGAGGCGCATGTGGGTAGCCCCTGTGTGTTAGCTGCTGGTTTTCCGGAAGGGATGGGAAACCTGTTGGCATCACAGATGGCTTGGGCCTCCTGGGCCTGAGGTGTGGTGGCAGCAGTTGGTCAAGTTTTCCTTGGCCTGGGCACACCTGCTGTCACTCACACGGGCTGTCACCAGGCTCTGCACCCCAGGTAGGAGGTTTTTCTTTTTTTTTGAGATGGAGTTTTGCTCTTGTTGCCCAGGCTGGAGTGCAATGGTGAGATCTGGGCTCACCCCAACCTCCGCCTCCCGGGTTCAAGTGATTCTCCTGCCTCAGCCTCCCGAGTAGCTGGGATTACAGGCATGCACCAACCATGCCTGGCTAGTTTTGTATTTTTAGTAGAGACAGGGTTTCTCCATGTTGGTCAGGCTGGTCTCGAACTCCCGACCTCAGGTGGTTTCCCTGCCTCAGCCTCCCAAAGTGTTGGGATTACAGGAGTGAGCCACCACGCCTGGTCCAGGTAGGAGGTTTTTTAAGTCCAGGAGCTGTTTACTGAGCACTCTGCTGTTGAGAGCTCATTGTCCATCTGTCCTAGTCTAGAAGGGAGTGCAGACACATGCACAGGTGGCAGGTGGCTCACCAGGTGGAAGACAGAAGAGGGAGGGCACCTGCTGGAGGTGGATCTGAAGGGAGGGCACTCAGGCAGCCCAAGCCTGTCAGACAGAGCAGGGCTTTGAGACGGCGCCCCCTCCCCCCGCTTCCCACCCCTGGCCTGCCTGCTCTCCTAAAGCAGGGTTGGGCCAGGAAGGAATTGAGAGCGGCCCTGGTTTAAAGATGACACTAGTGTGAGCAAGGGTAAAGAAGGAATGACTGAGTTTCTCTTTTGCACTTCGGAGACTCTCTGTAGGAAAATGGAACCTGGGCTCTAGCCTAAGACATGTGCTGGTTCCATGTCTGCCCTGGCATGGTGAGTGCCATGTGGATGCCACCTGTGGCTCCTTGTCAGTGTTCCTTGTCAGTGCTGTGAGGGACTGGGAAGAAGGAAGGGACTAGCATGTGCTTGCTCCCTCCGAGAATTGTGTCATTGATTTCACAGCTACAGGCCGTGTTTTCTGTTGCTGTTCTCTACTGCAGCCACAGGGACTAGAGCTACAAATGGTCTGTTGTTTGGATTTTCGCGGGTTTTCTCTTACTCCATTCTTCTGCATTCTCAGCCTCCCAAAGTACTGGGATTACATTTGTGAGCCACTGCGCCTGGCCTGCTGGCTTTTTTTGAACCTGCATCAGCTTCAGTGGAGTAAGTTCCAACTTCGTCACATGCGGAATTCTGTGCTGTTGAGCTTGTCTTAGGGCAGGTGGCCCTGAGACTCTCCCATGACTCTGCGCCTCTTCCTTGGCTGCTGTACGCACAGCACGTCAGGGTGAGGAGGGGCCTCAGAGATCACTTTGGTCCTGGGAGACTCCCTCTGTGTCCTGTGCCTCATGGTGGGGCCTGAGAGAGCAGTTGCTGTTTTGTGTTTTCTTCAAAGTGGGTGTATTCCTAATTCATGTTTTTGTCTGTTTTTGCAACCAGAGACTTTCCTGCTGTGGCTTGTCACTGACCAGCGACTTCTTAGCCTGGACTACTGTGAGAGCAGGGTCTGGATGCCAGGTGGGGAGGGCAGAGTCTCCTGCTGCAGCAGCACCTCAGCAGCCTTCATCTCGTGAGGCCTGGAGCATCCCAGGGGCTGCAGCTGTGCCATGTGGGGGCAGCACAGCAGAGAGGGCGCTGAAAGCTGCATTCCCCTCTGCCATCTGTGGGTGCACCAGCCCATTTTCACAAGTTTGCTGTTCTGGTAGAGGGAGCAGGAGTTGGGGGAAGCTAGGACAGTGGGCATTAACCTTCTCCAGGAAGTGGGCATCTTCGGCAGAGGCTCTTCAGGGCTGTGGCCGTGCAGGAGGGCCAGTAGTGTGTCCAGGTCACCACTCCCTGGGATGTTCTTGACTTGGGTCCCAGGGAGAACCCTGCACGGCAGTCAACACCAGAATGTCCCGGATCTGCCCCATGAGTCTTTTCCCTCCCTACCTGCAAAATGAGATAATTATGTTAGGTGATGTTTTAGTGTTGTGTGAGCTTTTAATTCCAAATAAGTTTTTTCTGTGTTATTTTTAAAAAGTAAAACTGGCCAGGTGCAGTGGCTCACACCTATAATTTCAGCACTTTGGGAGGCTAAGGTGGGAGGATCACTTGAGCCCAGGAGTTTGAGACCAGCCTGGGCAACATAGTGAGACCTTGTCTCTACAAAAAATTAAAAAATTAGCCAGGCTGGGTGCCGTGTGTTTGTGGTTCCGGCCACTCCAGAGAGTGAGTGGGGGAGGATCACTTAAGACCAAGAGTTAGAGGCTGCAGTGATCTATGATGGTGCCACTGCACTGCAGCCTGGGTGACAGAGTGAGACCCTGTCTGAAAAAAAAAAAAAAAAAGCCAGGCTTAGTGGCTCACACCTGTATTCCTAGCACTTTGGGAGGCTGAGGCAGGTGGATTACTTGAGCCCAGAAGTTTGAGATCAGCCTGGGTGACATAGATAGACCTTGTCTCTACAAAAATACAAAAATTAGCCTGCCATGGTAGTGTGCACTTGTGGTTTCAGCTACTCGGGAGGCTGAGATGGGAGGATCACTTGAGCCTAGGAGGTTGAGGCTGTGGTGAGCTATGATCATGCCACCACACTCCATCCTGGGCAACAGTGAGACCCTATCTCAAAAAATGAAAAAAATATATAGGCATAGGGACAGTAAATAGTCCCTGTGTTGGTATTGCACTGTGGGCTGCTGGTTACTGGGTGCCCCACAGAGCAGGGGTCCCTAACCCTTGGGTCACAGACCAGTACTAGTCCATGGCCTGTTAGGAACCAGGCTGCACAGCAGGAGGTGAGTGGCCGGTGAGCCAGTGAAGCCTGTCAGTGTTTATAGCCACTCCCTATTGCTTGCATTACCGCCTGAACTTCTCATGTCCGATCAGCAGAGACATTAGATCCTCACAGAAGCATGAACCCTATTGTGAACTGCGTGTGCAAGGGATCTAGATTGTACGCTCCTCATGAGAATCTAATGCCTGATGATCTGTCACTGTCTCCCATCACCCCTAGATGGGACCATCTAGTTGAAGGAAAACAAGCTCAGGGCTCCCACTAATTGTGCATTGTGGTGAGTTGTATAATTATTTCATTCTATATGACAGTGTAATAATAATAGAAACAAAGTGCACAATAAATGTGATGAGCTTGAATCATCCCAGAACCATCCCCTTGCCTCACCTGGTCTGTGGAAAAGTTGTCTTCCATGAAATCGGTCCCTGGTCCTAAAAAGGTTGGGGACCACTGCTCTAGAGCACATCCCATGGCACCCACGCAGGGTGGTTTATTGAGAGCACAGAAGGAGGGAGGAGCATGAGATCTCAGGCCATCAGTAGACACTGTGAAGGAAAGACCTTGAGAAGGAAAACAGAAGGCGAGGGGCCGGCTTTCCTGCCCGGCTCACTCTCGTCACCGGGGCTCAAGGGAACGAAGCGCACCTGCTCTGGCCTCACGGGTGCGGTAGGGGAAGCCAAGACCACCCTGGCTGGGGGCAGAGATGGGAGCTCAGGGCTCTGAAGCCCAGGGAGAGGCTGCTGTGCAGGGCGGGGTTTCAAGACTCCCAGAGAGGCTGCTTGTGGGAAGCACGTGAAAGGCTCCTTAATCCAAGAGTGTCTCTGTTGACGACATAGTGCCACCTGCTAAGTCTCTGTCTTGCCAACATGAGCTGCAGTCAAGTTGTATTGCATTAGGTCATTGAAACCTCCCAAGTGCATAGGACCCTGCCTACCTTTACCAAGGACCGCATAAAAAAAGAGGAGCCCCAAGCACCTTCTGGGTAGGCATGGATAGCCGCCCACGGTACACTCTAATGGCAGCAACGGTATTTGCCTTTGGCCCAGAGAACGCTGTCTCAGGGCCCTCCTCCACAGTCTTGTTAGTGTTTGTAGCAGTAACAGACGTGCAGATGGAGAAGCTGAGTGTTGGTGAATCCACTGGAGGGTGGCATCAGACCTGGAGGGGTGTGTGTATCAGTCCATTTTCACACTGCTATAAAGAACTACCTGAGACCGGGCTTGATACTCACCCCTGTAATCCCAGCACTTAGGGAGGCCAAGGTGGGCGGATCACCTGAGGTCGGGAGTTCAAGACCAGCCTGGCCAGCATGGAGAAACCCCGTCTCTACTAAAAATACAAAATTAGCCGAGCGTGGTGGCACATGCCTGTAATCTCACCTACTCAGGAGGCTGAGGCAGGAGAGTCACTTGAACCTGGGAGGCAGAGGTTGGGGTGAGCTGAGATCATGCCATTGCACTCCAGCCTAGGCAACAAGAGTGAAACTCTGTCTCAAAAAAAAACCAATAAAACAAAAAACCTACCTGATTCTGGGTAATTTATAAAGAACAGAGATTTCATTGATTCACAGTTCCGCATGGCTGGGGAGGCCTTAGGAAACTTATAATCATGGCGGAAGGAGAAGAAGAGGCAAGGCACGTCTTACACAGTGGCAGGAGAGAGAGAGCAAGAGGGGAAATGCCACACTTCTGAGCCATCACATCTTGTGAGAACTCGCTATCATGAGAACAGCATGGGGGAAATCCGCCCCCATGATCCCATCACCTCCCACCAGGTTCCTCCCCTGACATGTGGGGATTACAGTTTGACATGAGATTTGGGTGGGGACAAAGGTGAACCATATCAATGTGACAGGTTGACATGACGTCACGGCAGACGTGGAAGGTCCTGTAATCAGGGTGTGGTAGCAGCCTCGCTGCCTGTCCTCAGGACAGCTCTGACCAGACTGGATCCCCCTGGCAGGGAAGCATAAGAGGTTGCTGGCCTGAGTCGTCAAGAAGTGACCATTGTGAAGCAGACATTCAGCTCGTCCCAGACAGCCCCCAGGAGGAGAGTCCAGACCCCGTGTAGATGTGTGTGATCAGAAAGAGTCCCTTGCAAGGGTCGTTCGAAGGCAGAGTGGGCTGTAGTGTGGAGATGAGTTCCCCATGATAGGGAATGTGGAGAATAGTTGGAGAGGTATTTGGACTAGGTGACCATGAGGTCTCATCTCAGATTTCATTTCAGGGACACATCTGTCCCTGACTGGGGCTGGTGGCCTCTGTGCCTGGTATTCATTGTTTACCAGGGATTTGCAGAGTACCCTTCATGGGAGGCACTTGTCTGCAAGTCTAAGTGCAAATCAGCCTTGCCTGTCAACAAAGATGACTTGGGTGTGTCGGTGCTTCCTGTCCTGGTGTTGAACAGGAGACGCTGGCCTATTGCAGAGAAGCTTTGAGTCTGGAAGCTTTTCTGAATGGAACTCCCACCTCCCTTTCTCCTGCATTTGGTGTTTTTCTTCTGTAGGATTGATGCTGTTCACTTGATTTATCCCTGGTGTATTAGTCCATTCTTGCATTGCTATAAAGAAATACCTGAGACTGGATAATTTATAAAGAAAAGCAGTTTAATTGGCTCACGGTTCTGTGGCTGTGTAGGAAGCATGGCTGGGAGGCCTCGGGAAACTTACAATCATGGTGGAAGGTGAAGGGGAAGCCAGCACATCTTACGTGGCTGGAGTAGGAGGAAGGGGGGTGGGGAGGTGCTACACACTTTTAAACAACCAGATCTTCTGAGCACTCGCTATCACGAGAACAGCACCTTCGGGGAAATCTGCCCCCATGATCTGATCACCTCCCACCAGGCCCCATCTCCAACAATGGGGATTACAGTTTGACATGAGATTTGGGCGGGGACACAAATCTAAGCCATATCACCTGGCTTTCCCTTCATGTATCGATATAAGTTTCTGAGGTTGTGAATAACTTGTAACCTTCAGGTGACTTCAGAAAAATAGTATAGTTAGTGATAACATAGGGAAAAAGATGAAAGAGAAGGAAGATGAACCGTTACCGAGTGCTGTGCCAAACCCCGTGTGGCTAGAGCCTCACTACTGCTTCCTGGTGTTACCACATCTGCAGATGACAGGAGGCTCCCGAGGGTCTCAGCCAGGCAGGCCTGTTGGGGTTTAGGTCAGCGGTGTCCTACGTAGCATAACATCCTGCCCCTAAGAGCCTGGGGTGCTGTCCTTAGTTCCACATGTGATGGAAATGGCAGATAAAGTTCTAGTTTCAGAGATTCATTTCTCCAATTGAACTGTAACTAAACACAAAAATGCCCTTAGGGAAATTCTTTTACTAAGACTGAAAAATCCTTTGGGAATAGTAATTTCTTCAGGTATCTGTTTCTTGAAGGTAAACATTTATTTTGAAATATTATATATGGTATTATTGCTGTTGTTCTAGGGAAAATGGTATATATGTAAAAATAACACATACATGTTCTCTCTAGGGAGAAAATAACAGTGTCACTTAAAAAGTAAAGTGTATTTCTTTAAAATTGCATGTTACATTGCTTTTACAAAGAGAAAACCAGTCTCTTCACTAAAGCAACCAGAAGATGCTTTTTATTTTTATTTATTTTTTTTTAGACAGAGTCTCTCTCTGTCACCAGGCTGGAGTGCAGTGGTGTGATCTTGGCTCACTGCAACCTCTGCCTCCTGGGTTCAAGCAATTCTCCTGCCTCAGCCTCCCGAGTAGTAGGGACTACAGGCGCCCGCCACCACGCCCGGCTAATTTTTGTATTTGTAGTAGAGACAAGGTTTCACCCTGTTGGCCAGGATGGTCTAGATCTCTTGACCTCATCATCCACCCACCTCAGCCTCCCAAAGTGCTGGGATTACAGGCGTGAGCCACCATGCCCAGCCAGGAGATGCATTTTTATTTTCACTGTCTTGTGAAGAAACCATGAGAAACAATCTGCCACTAATACAATTGAGGGAAATTGAGCCACTTTAGTAACATCCAGAGAATAATAGTCATTCTGGAACCATGTATGCATGGGTGGGAGGTTGTGGGGAGCTGAAAACAACAGAAATTTATGCTCACAGTTCTTGAGGCCAGAAGTTCAGAATCAGTATGTCAGCAGGGCTATGTTCCCCTGAAGGCTTTGGGGGCAACTGCAGTGACCCCTGGAGTTCTTGGTTTGTGGCCACTCCACTCTCCACTGGAGCTGTTTTAATGCACTATTTAATTTAAAACCTTTGAATGAACATTGGTTGCTTCTAATCAATAACATTTTAGAAATTTTATACTGATTCAAAGGCTTTAAAATGTTGAATACGTGTAAAATAATTGAGTCTCTGTTCACAAATAAGTATGTATGTATGTGGCAAGAGAGTTGGTAGGTTTTGTTTGTTTGTTTGAGATGGAGTCTTACTCTCTCAACTAGGCGGTGGTGTCATCTCAGCTCACTGCAACCTCTGCCTGCTGGGCTCAAGCAGCCCTCCCACCTCAGCCTCCAGAGTAGCTGGGATCACAGCGCACACCACCATGCCTGGCTAATTTTTTTTTTTTTTTTTTTTTTTGTATTTTTGGTAGAGACGGGGTTTCACCGTGTTGCCCAGGCTGGAAGTTTGAAATCAATTATTTTTATGTTTGCTGTCTGAAATTCATTCTTTCTCTGTTGTTTGACACATACATAAGCCTGCAGGTACCCAAATTTGTTCCAAAAAAAAAAAAATTTCCCTGAGGCTGTGAGGAGAGAGTCAAGGAAGAGGTTTTTATTGATGTTATTTATCAAACAACTCTTACACTGTACACTAAGATTTTATAATAACTGCAGACATATACAATGAAAAGGGAGAATTGGCACCAATATTGAATCTTCCCATCCAAGAATATGGTATGTCACTCTTTTTTAAGGTTTTTAAAAATATATTGTATTATGGTTTTATAGTTTGTAAATCTTGACCCATTTTGTGCCTCCATAGTCTGTAGTTTGAGGGGCTGCTATGACCGGCATCTTGAGTGGGGAATGTGTGTTTAAAGCATTCATGCTGGAAACTGGGAAAATGGAGATGCCCTGTGACCAGTCATCTCGCCAGATGCCGGCATTAACTCTTGTAGTTTTTGAGTTGAGTCTTGAATCTGGGAGTCTAGGAAATCACGGTATCTTCTACAAATAATGATAGGTTTATCTCATCTTTTCCAGCATTTGTCCCCTTTTTTTGGCTTCCACTAGGACCTTCAGACCAGTGTGAATAAGAGCATTGATACTGGCACCCTTGTCCAGTCCTGGCTTCGAGGGGCTGCTGTGAGTGTTTCACCATGAAGTTTGATGCTTGCCATACAGACTTTTGATACTTTCTAGCAAATTAAAGAAGTTTACCTTTATTTCTAGTTGATTTAGGCTATCATTTAAAAAATAAAACAGGAAGATGTCAAAATTGATGGTATGATTTTTCTTATATCAATTTCTGTATGAGTTAAGAGTTTAGGTTACCTAATTTTGAGACATTCTTGCGTTCCTGGGATGAAACCCTAGTAGATCATGATATGTCATTCTTTATTCCATTATTAAATTTATTAGCTGATATTTGATTTAGGACGTGTGTGTGTGTGCGTGTGCGCCTGTGTGTGTGTGTGTGTGTATTCGGACAGCTATATAAAATTATTTTTAGAGACAGGGTTTCACACTGCTGGCCAGGCTGGAGTGCAATGACAAGATATTAGTTCTCTGCAGCCTCGAACTCCTGGGCTCAAGCTCTCCTCCCACTTCAGCCTCCTGAGTAGCTAGGACCATAGGCACATGCCAGTGTGCCAGCTAAGTTTTGGCTTGGTGCAGTGGCTCACAGCTGTAATCCCAGCACTTTGGGAGGCCAAAGCAGAAGGATCGCTTGAGCCCAGGAGTTTGAGGCCAACCTGGGCAACATAGGGAGAACCCCATCTCTACAAGGAAAAAAAAATTAGCCAGGTGTGGTGGTGTGTGCCTGTGGTCCTAGCTACTTGGGAGGCTGAGGTGGGAGGATCATAGGCCCAGGAGGTTGAGGCTACAGTAAGTTGTGATCATACCACTGTAGTCCAGCCTTGGTGACAGAGCAAGAGACCTTGTCTCAAAGATAATTTTATTTACAAACAAATGAAATTTTTTGTAGCGGTGGGGGTCTTGCCTTGTTACCTAGACTGTTCTCAAATTCCTGGCCTCAAGTGATCCTCCTGCTTTGGCCTACCAAAGTGCTGGGATTACAGGTGTGAGCCACTGCATCCAGCCAGGACTTTTATATCTATATTCTGAGGTATAATTGAGTTGTCTTGGTCTTTGAGGTCTTACTTGTTTTGTATAAAGGTTGTGCTAGCTTCATAGAATGAATTGAGAAACTCTGTGTTTTTGCAATTTTCAGGAATAGTTTAAATTTTCTGTCCCATGAAGGGTTTGATAGAACCTACCGTAAAACTTTGGGGCCTAATTCATTTTTACAGGGAAGAAGAACAAGAACTATAGATCTTGTCTGCCTTTTTCATTTATATGACATTTATTAGTGTATTTCAGGTTTCCTTCTCCCTCGAGTCAGTTTTACAAATAGAATTTGGCTCAAGAAGTTATCCATATCGTTTAGTAAAGGGTTGTAAACTCACACCTGCAGGGCTAGGGAAAGTCACGGAAATGGATGATACAGGGTAGAGCGGCCCCAGCGTTCCTGTGGTGCTCATGGCCGTCACCACCCTCACCTTGAAAGTGCCCTCAGTTGGGATAGGCCCTAGTGGAGCCTGGGGCATGGGTAGCGAAGGCCACACCTGTGTGTGCGTGCGTGTGTCCTCCTGTTCTCTGTTAGGGGCAGTCCCCACTTGGGTCCAACAGTCTTCACAGGGCCACCAGAGCTGCCAGGTTGTCAAGAGAAGCCAGAAATCTGGATTATTAGGTGAAATCTCGAACACTTTTAAAAAGAGGTGAAGTGCAAGTCGGACAAAATAGCCCATGAGCCCCTTGTTTGTAACTCTTCTTTAGATGTTACAAAGTATCAACTTATAAAGAGACTTTGTCTCACAGTTTAAAAACAATCTTCTGGCCAGGCGGGCACAGTGGCTCACGCTTATAATCCCAGCACTTTGGGAGGCCGAGGCAGGTGGATCACTTGAGGCCAGGAGTTCCAGACCAGCCTGGCCAACATGGTGAAACACCGTCTCTAGTAAAAATAGAAAAATGAGCTGGGCGTGGTGGCGGGCACCTATAATCCCAGCTAACTCAGGAGGCTGAAGCACAAGAATCGCTTGAACCCAGGAGGCAGAGGTTGCATTGAGCCGAGATTGTGCCACTGCACTCCAGCTTGGGTGATATAGCGAGACTCAGTCTCAAAAACAAAACAAAACAATCTTCATATGTACCCATATCCTTTCTCAATCCTGATTTTTTTTTAATGTTACCTTTTTCCCCCTTTTTCAGCCTTGACAGAAGCTTACAGAACCGACTTTCGGTTTTATTAATCACATATGCTTCTCTGTTTCCTCAGTAATTTCTCTTTTTGCCTTTAACTCCTAACTTCTTTGTTAGTTTTGTTTTGCTTTGCTTTTTAAGTCTCATATGCCTGTTAATAGCTCTTCCTTTCCTGTAGTCTGAGCTCTTCGTGTGGCAGGACCGAGTTGCCATCATCTTGCTTATTTCTAACACATTCAGGGCACATAATGGGCATTCAGTAAATAGTGAATGTTCATCCACTGTATTGACAGATTTAGTCAGAATATCTTGATTTCTCTTTTTACTGTTTATTCATCTCTGTCTTTCATGTGAGAAAAGTACTTGTGATGAGTTTGAGTAAAATAAAGAAATACCTGTTAACATATTTGTAGTATTGTATCTTTATTCTGTTTGCAGATGATGTTTCTCTCATATATATCATTTTAAGAAAGTCTCCTCTTGAAAATGTCTTGTATAATTGTCGCAGGTATTAAAGTTTTTCTTTTTTTTCTGTTTTTTACATCCCCTTACTAGATGACAATGAAAACCAAGCAGCGCATGTTAACAGAAGACTGGGAGCTTTTTAAACAAAGAAGATTCATTGAAGAACAGGTAAGCTTGTCAATAAGAGAGGCAATTAAAGGAAGTAGAAATCTGTCCTGACAGCAAATGACTTCTCTGCATGTTGATGTGCTTTGTTAGAACAGCATTGGAGGACCACATTGGCATGTTTTGCCAGCGTTAAAAACTGTTCAAGATGGTGTTTTTAATCTCAAGATAAACTAATTTTCACCTATTTCCTTATCTTCCATATACGCCTCAAGAAAAACCCATGTGTATTGAGTGGCCTCTCTATCCCACAGCAGCTCTGGGTATTTTGCAAAGGATATTACCTGAGTCCCCACAGTCCCCTATGAGGCAGATGGTGCCATCTGCAGTTTACATATGAAGGAGGGTGTTAGGGTGAGGTTAAGGATGTTGCCTGATGTCCCAGAGCTGGAATGGGGGCCCAGCATCCCCAGACAGAGCGCTCAGATCTCCAGACATTGCCAGGTGCCATGCCTTCAACATGGCAGCTGGCAGATCTGGACTCTCCCTTCCTCATCTTCCTGGCGGTGCCTCCTCCAGGCAGGCTTGTGCTCCACCTTTGCTGGAGCTGTTGGGCAGAGCTTGCTAGTGATGTCCTGTATCTGGTCTGGGGGCCCTTGGCTTCATCTGGAAACTTGGCTTCCCCTGATCTCCCATCCACGTGCCACATCGACTCTCTTCCTGTTCTCTGACACTTCTCTCCATCTCCTTTACGAACTCCAACTTCATTGGTCTTTCTGCAAATATTGGTGGTTCCCTGGCCTTGACCCCATGCCTGTCTCCACATTTGCATGCCCGTGGTCTCCTCTGGGCACCACAGGTATACAGATGGCACCAGTGTTGTGGCATGCTTACCTCTTCCCTTTCCCCATTCTGCATGTGTCCCTGTGCTTTTGTTGTTGTTGTTGTTTTGAGACAAAGTCTCACTCTGTCGTCCAGGCTGAAGTGCAGTGGCGTGAACTCGGCTCACTGCAACCTCTGCCTCCCGGGTTCAAGCGGTACTCGTGTCTCAGCCTCCTGAGTAGCTGGGATTACAGGTGCCAGCCACCACGCCTGGCTAATTTTTGTATTTTTAGTAGAGATGGGGTTTCACCATGTTGGCCAGGCTGGTCTCAAACTCCTGACCTCAGGTGATCCGCCTGCCTCTGCCTCCCAAGGTGCTGGGATTACAGGCGTGAGCCACCTTTCCCGGCCATCCCGTCCTTTTGAGTGGCCCTTCCAGCTGCCACCTGTCCCATTGCCAGAGTGGGTCCAGAGTTCCTTCTCCTTTGAAATGCAGATGCTCACCTTGTCTGTTAGAAGTTGAGGTGCCATTTCCTCAATAGCTCCGAGGCCGACCCCTTGCCCTCCACGTGCCACTTTTCATTCCTACAGCTCTGTTCTCAGTACCTTGCAAGTACCAAGCACATGGCAGACAGGGTAAAGGCCGGGTTTCTGCATCAGGTGTGTGCTGTGAGGGCGCACTGCAGCATGTTTGCTGAAGACAAAAGCGATTAGGGTCTCCTGGTACCCGAGCCCTTTGCAGCTCAGCCCCCAGCTTGCTGCCGACTCCAGGTCTGCTGCCCCTGTATTCCTGGTCCTGTCCCGCTGAGGAAGCAGTGCCCGTGAACATGATACATGTCAGCAGAATTACTGAAAAATAATGAGCCATGTCTCGGGGAAGGGTCTTGCAAGATTAAAGCATTTTAAAATTTCCTCTAGTTAACCAATAAGAAAGCAGTTACTGGCGAGAACAACTTCACAGACACCATGAGGCACATGTTATCGTCCCGGCTGAGCATGCCCGACTGCCCCAACTGCAACTACAGGAGAAGGTAAGGCTGGGTTGTGGTGTCAGCACGACTGGCCCATTGGACCTTCACTGGGCTGAGTGGAGGCCTAGAACCGACCCTTAGAGAGCATGGTCTAGTCTTGTGCATTGGTTGGCTTGGTAACTGTCCTTAATTCCTGATCAGATGTGCTTGCGATGACTGCAGTCTCTCACACATCCTCACGTGTGGTATCATGGACCCCCCCGTCACTGATGACATCCACATTCACCAGCTCCCACTTCAAGTGGATCCTGCTCCTGACTATCTTGCTGAGAGGAGCCCGCCCAGTGTGTCATCTGCAAGCTCGGGGTCCGGCTCCAGCTCTCCCATCACAATTCAGCAGCACCCCAGGCTCATCCTCACAGACAGTGGCTCGGCACCAACTTTGTAAGTTGTGACTTTGTAATAAAGTTTCCGAAATTTAAGTCGCCCCAGTAATGAGAAATACATACAGTAATGTCCACAGAAGTATGAACATCATTATTGTGCTTTTCATGACAAGGGACCCTGAGGTTTTTAATGCAGCTTTTAAAACATGAAATCAGTAAACCCAAACTTTTAACACTGTTTATCTGGGAAAAAAAAAACATGGTAAATTAATAAAGGCCAGTAAAGAAAAAACATGTTGGTATGCAGAGAAGAAGTGTCTCTAATTCCGGCCTCACATCTCCTCATTCTCCTAAAGGGTGACCAGTCCGCCGTCTGTCCTGTCTCCCTGTCAGCCCAGCACTCATGCTTGTTTCATGTCTTGCTAAGAACTCAGGTGATCGCTTTAGCAAGCAGTTGAAGGTTTCTGTTTTTCATGTTCCCGCATGATTAGAAGTACATTGTTGTGCAGCTGTCACCAATTCACATTGTAGTTGGCTGTTCCCAGATTTCTTCAGAGTTGTGACCCTGTCATTTGGGGAGGCTTCACATGCTAATTTCCAAAAGGGTTGCACTTGATCATATGTAGTTGCCAAAGTCAGCTTAGGTTTAGTTTACGTGTATCGTAGAGCACACAGGCATCATGTTCCATGTGGAAGTGTGCAGTGGGAGAGATTGTTGTTCCTGACCTTGGCTATGCAGCGTTTCTGGGATTTCTCTGACCAACTGACTTGTGTTCATTCCTTCTGTCTGGATTTCTCATGGTGACTGACGTTTTCCTTCAGTCTTTCCATTTTCAATTTGGGCTTGTTCTCAGACAAAATAATTCTGAAAGGACTGGTTTAAACTCACTGACTCTCTTCATACAAAGATTGCAGGCTGCTGTTTATTGCCTTAGAGACACTGTGTACTCTCCAGGGCACAAGAAAGAGTGTTGACATTTTTGCAGCTGGCTGTTATCCAACTTCTTACTGAAACATAAAAATTAAACATATATAGCCTAATGAAAATTTAAGATGGAAAATTTCATCCCTGTTCATTTGTCACAGCTGCTGATGTCAGTTATGGTCTCTTGTGTCACGTGTGGTAGTGGAAGAAATTGGCTGTGGGAGCCTTTCTCCTTGGGCCGGAACTGCCCATCACCAGTTACGGGGAGCCTAGGTTCTCGGGACATCTGGGCCTTCAGCAGCTTGTGATCAATGTCTTCCAAATGTAAACTATGATTTGAAAATCTCCAGTGTTATCTTTTCATTTGTATTGTCTCTTTCTTGGTGCCTTTTCTAAGTTGGTTAAAAAGAACAATGTGATTGTAGTCAGTGTACCACACAGTACTTCCTGGATCTTATGGGTTGGATCTTTACGGAGCTAGGGCTGGTGAAGCCTCCTGCTGTCACATGGAGCAAATGGCTGAGTTACTTCACTAGAACCTCAGTTTTCTCATCTGTAAATTGTGCCTATGGTCATCCTCAGGAGTGTGTATGAGCATTGGCCCAGGCAGCGTCCCAGGTGCAGTGGGCCTGCAGGAAGCCCTAGGACTCTGCACCTTGTGGGTGCTGTTTGTACTTACCTCTGGTGAGCTCCAGACTCTAGCACGTTACTTGTAATGTGTTGAAAAGACACCGGAATTTGGTAGTCCTGGACACTCTTCACTCATTCTAGGAAGTGAGATCACGACGAGTTCCTAGGGTTTTGCCTTCTGGAGGTTGCTGTGTGCCCAGGCTGAAGATGGACTCAGTGCATGTTTTTGTGGACCTTGGAGCATCTTATTGCACTGAGCTTAAATGTGCCAGCTCTTTTAATGCACCAGAGCTGCATCTTAAGTGGTCTCTGTAGGCTAAAGCCTTGAAATCTGTTTAAAATTAATTTCAGGCCGGGTGCAGTGGCTGATGCCTGTAATCCCAGCACTTTGGGAGGCCGAGGCGGGCGGATCACGAGGTCAGGGGATTGAGACTATCCTGGCTAACACAGTGAAACCCCATCTCTACTAAAAATACAAAAAATCAGCCGGGCGTGGTGGCGGGTGCTTGTAGTCCCAGCTACTCGGGAGGCTGAGGCAGGGGAATGGCGTGAACCTGGGGGGTGGAGCTTGCAGTGAGCCGAGATTGTGCCACTGTACTCCAGCCTGGGAGACAGAGCAAGACACTGCCTCAAAAAAATAATAAAATAAAATAAAATTAATTTCAGTAAATTTTTCATTTGCCTGTTGCTTAGATGTCTTGCTAAAGCTGATATTTAATTACGATCATGAGTGACCAGGCCATGACTGGCCTTAAAGCAAAAAAAATTAGTCTTCTGTTACATAAGTGCCTTTAAAGTTTTGTTCAACTGACTATTTCTGAAAATTTCAGCCCTAAGTTGAAAAAGCAAACACTAAACAGCTAAGGTTTAAAAAGCAAACACTAAACACCTAAGGTTGCCATCGGTACCCCTTTAATTTTAATCACAAATTGTGTTGTCTTGGGAGTAGCAGAGAGACTAGTTTTATACCAGCGCTCTTCAGGTCAAATGGAAACGTTAATCAGTCTGGTTAAATTTTTGTAGTTTCCTTAATATTTCTACTTTTGGAGGTTTTTCTGTTTGTTTTTTGTTTTTTACTCTTCCAAATGGCACAAATGTTAATCTTCCAAGCATTTTTCTCATGTTGAGGTTACTAAGAAATGTTAGTGGTAGGAATGATACTTAACTAATACTCTTTGTAAATGAAAGCCGTGATCTGTCCAGGAAATATCTGTGCTTAGTGGCTGGTTTACTCATTGTCTTTCACAATTGAATGACCTCACAGTGACCATCTCTGCTTGTGTCAGTTGTAGTGATGATGAAGATGTTGCACCATTGTCAGCCAAATTTGCTGATATTTATCCATTGAGTAATTATGATGATACCGAGGTGGTGGCCAACATGAATGGAATCCACAGCGAATTGAATGGTGGCGGGGAAAACATGGCCCTGAAGGATGAGGTATGGACATGGCTTCTTCGTAGCAACAATAAATGACATAAAATGATGGTCTGACATTTTAATATTTTATATTACTCTGTTTTGAAAAGTGCAAATTACAAAAGATTGTCTTTAAAGTCTCCTCAGATAAGCAGTACCAGCAGTAGTTCCTCAGAAGCTGATGATGAAGAAGCGGACGGCGAGAGTAGTGGGGAGCCCCCAGGGGCCCCGAAGGAAGATGGAGTGCTGGGAAGCAGGAGCCCCAGGACAGAGGAGAGCAAAGCAGACAGTCCACCCCCATCCTACCCAACACAGCAGGTAGGACTTTGCTTGCTGTTTTGCCAAGGATCTCTTTTTCTGTGTGTATTTTCTCTAAACATGAGCATTACTGAATACAAAATTATTTTGTTTCCCATAATTTCTGAAGGTTAGAACTGAAGAGAGTCAAGGCATACTTACAATCTCCATTTGAATCTTGTTTTTCTTGCTCGAATATCAATCTTGATTTCGCAACACCCCATAGCAGCTCTGTGGAGGCCTTTTTTGTCTGTATAGAAGCAAAGAGAGGAGTTAAAAAAAAATAGTGGAATATTAAAATTTCAGGAAAGGTTTGTTTTTCCTGTTCATTATCTGTTCTTCTGTTAGCCAAAGGTGAGGGTACCTTATTAGCTTTTTTTCTCAGAATTTCATAAATAGATGCTTAAACAAGTTTTTGGCCGGGCGCAGTGGCTCACGCCTGTAATCCCAGCACTTTGGGAGGCCAAGGTGGGTGGATCAGTTGAGGCCAGGAATCCAAGACCAGGCTGGCCAACATGGCAAAACCCCGTCTCTACTAAAAATACAAAAATTAGCTGGGCATGGTGGTGGGCACCTATAATCCCAGCTACTTGGGAGGCTGAGGCACAAGAATTGCTTGAACCTGGGAGGCAGAGGTTGCAGTGAGCCAAGATTGCGCCACTGCACTTCAGCCTGGGCGACAAAGCAAGACTCTGTTTAAAAAATAATAATAACAACAATAATAATAAGCAGTCTTTAAATGAAAGAACAAATGAAGGTCAAAGTGCTTGGCTGATTTATTTTATTAGGTAATATAAATGTAACACTCAGATGGTAAAGGTGATGTTGAAAGGTCTATCTGGGAAGTCTGACCACATCTCCTTACCAGTTTTTTCTTCTACGTATAATGTTTTTGATGTCTTATCCAAGAAAACTTTGCCTAACACAAAACTGTTTTCTTTTAGAAGATTTATAATTTTAGTTCTTAGATTCTGTTTGACTCAGCATTTAGTTATTGTGAGGTGAGGATATAAATTCACCTTTTCTGCATATATAGATATCCAATTGTTTCAGTACGGTTTGTCAGAAGTACCCTATTGAATTGCCTTGGCCATTTATTGAAAATTTATTGAAAATCAATGGACTGTAAATGTAAGAGTTTATATTTGGACATTCCATTCTGTTCATTTGATCTCTGTGTCTGTCCTTACACCCATAGTGCATTTGACAATTGCTTTATGGTAAGTTTAGGAAAATGGGATAGGGTCTTCCCTCCAGCTTGGTACACCTTTCTCTCTCTCTATTTTCTTTCTTTTTTTTTTTTTTTTTTTTTTTTTTGAGATGGAGTCTCCCTCTGTCACCCAGGCTGGAGTGCAGTGGCGCGATCTCGCCTCACTGCAACCTCTCCCTTTCGGGTTCAAGCAATTCTGCCTCAGCCTCCCAAGTATCTGGGACTACAGGTGCACGCCACCACGCCCGGCTAATTTTTTGTATTTTTAGTAGAGACGGGGTTTCACTATATTGGCCAGGCTGGTCTCGAACTCCTGACCTTGTGATCCGCCCGTGTTGGCCTCCCAAAGTCCTGGGATTACAAGCGTGAGCCACTGCACCCGGCTGGTACACCCTTTTCAAAATCGTTTATGCTGCTCAAAGTTCTTTGCATTCCCATATAAATTTTAGGATCTACTTGTCAACTACAAAACGCCTCCTTGGATCTTGAGGGATTGCATCGAATTCTTGAATATATATTTAGAATTCTCCAGTGAAATCCTCTGGATGTGGTTGTGGTCTTTTATTTGTGGGATGATATAGATCAATTTAGGGAGAATGCAATCCTAACAAAATTGAGTCTTCTAATCTGTGAATATGCTTTATCTTTCCATTTATTTAAGTCATCTTTAATTTTTCTCAGTAGTTCTAAAAAAATTCCAGTCTTTGTGTCTGGAATATATAAGTATTATGTGTTTTCATTCACAGTAAAAGGTATTTTCTAATTTTGATTTCCAATTGATCATTGGTAATACATAGAAATACAATTGATTTTTTTATATTGGTCTTGTGTTCTGCAGCTTTACTAAACTTGTTTATTCTAGTAGGGTTGGTTCTAGTAGGTCCTTTTGCTGTTGTTTTGGTAGATTACTTTGGATTTTCTATATACAAGATCATGTTGTCTGCAAATAAAGTTTTAGTTCTTCCTTTCCAATCTGGATGCAATGCTTTTAATCTTCCCTTCCCTTTCCCTTCTCTTTTCTTTTTCTTTCCTTCCTTTCTTCTTTTTAAGAAACAGAATCTCACTCTGTCACCCAGGCTGGAGTGCACTGCTGCAGTCATGGCTCACTGCAGCCTCAAACAGCTGGGCTCAAGCAGTCTTGCTGCCTCAGCCTCCCAGGTAGCTAGGACTACAGGTGTATTACAACTACAGGCATGCGCCACCACGCCCAGCTTTAAAAAAAAACTTTCTGTAGAGAGAGGGTCTCACTATGTTGCCCAGGCTGGTCTTGAACTTCTGGCCTCAAGCCATCCTCCCATTTCAGCCTCCCAAAGTTTTAGGAGTATAGGTGTGAGGCACCATACCCAGTCTGGATGCTTTTAATTTCAGTTTCTTTTTCTTTTTTTTTGAGACGGAGTCTCGCTCTGTTGCCCAGGCTGGTGTGCAGTGGTGCTATCTCGGCTCACGGCAAGCTCTGCCTCCCAGGTTCATGCCATTCTCCTGACTCAGCCTCCCGAGTGCTTTTAATTCCTTACTCTTGCCTTATTGAGCTAGCTGGAAACTCAGTACAGAATAGAATTGTTGCAAGCAGATATCTTTGCCTTGTTCCCAATCTTAGGGGGAAAGCATTTAATCTTTGACCACTCTTTAAATGTGATATCAAGTATAGGTTTTTCATAGATGCCCTTTATTGGGTTAAGGAAATTCTATTCTACTCCTAATTTCTTGAGTTTTTTCATGATTTGAATATTGAATTGTATTGAATATTGAATTGTTCAGTTTTTCAAATGTCTTTTCTGCATGTGTTGCGATCTTGTGGTTTTCGTTTTTTATTTTGTTACCGTGGTGTGTCACATCAGTTGATTTAAGGATATTAAATCAACCTGTGTTCCTGGGATAACTCCCACTTGGCGGTGGTATATAATCCTTTTCATGTGTTCCTGAGTTGGTTTGCTAATATTTTGTTAGGATTTTTGCATCTGTGTTAATACTAATAAAATATATTGGTCTGTAGTTTCCTATCTTTGTGATGTCTTTGTCTGACTTTGGTATCAGAGTAATACTGGCTTCATAGGATGAGTTAGGAAATGTTTTTTTCACTTATGTTTTCTGAAGGAGTTTGTTTAAGATTGAGATTTATTAAATATTTGATAGAATTCACCAGCAAAATCCTGTAGGCCTGGTCTCTTTTTGTGGGAAGATCTGTAATTACTAATTCAAGTTTCATTTGCTTGTAATAGGTCTTTTCAAATTTCCTATTTCTTACTGAGTGAATTTCAATAATTTTTGTCTTTGTAGGAATTTACTCATTTAAATTGTCTAATGTGTTGGCATAAAGTTATTCTATACTGTTATAATCCTTTTTAATTCTGCAGTGCCTGCAGTGATGCTAATTCTTGATTTGGGTAATTTTATCTTCCTTTTAACGGCTTCAGTCACTTGGGCTAAAGATTTGTCAATTTCTCTGTTTTCGTTTCTGTGTCATTGGTTTCCATTCTGAAATTGATTATTTCTTTCTATGTTCTTTGGGTTTTGCTTGCTCTTCCTTTTCTAGTTTGTTGAAACAAAAGCTTAGATGACTGATTTTAGAGCTTCCAAATTTATTGAGACTTGTTGATGGCCTAACATATAGTTTACCTAGATCCTGTTCTATGTGTACTTGAAAATAATTTGAACTTTGTTCTTGTTGTGTGGAGTGTTCAAGAAATGAAAGTTTGATCAAATTGGTTGATGGCATTCTTCAAGTCTTCTGTATTGTCTTGGTCTATCCAGGCTACCATGTAAGGACAGTAACCCCATTCCTGAGAGTAGAGCCTTCCAAAGTCCTTATCGCCTAATACCATCACTTTGGAGGTTAGGCTATCAACATATGAATTTTGGAGGGGCACAGATACTCAGATCATAGTATATATTCTTACTGATTATCTGTCTGGTGGTTTTATCGGTTACTGAGAGAGGCATATTGAAGCCTTCAAGTTTAACTGTTGGATTATTTCCTTCTCCTTTCAATTCTTCCTTGTTTTGGTTCATGCATTTGGGGGTGATGTTATTGAATTATTGTTATAGCTCCCCTGATATATTGC